>NC_000007.14:41149332-41452363 GCF_000001405.40 Homo sapiens | reverse complement strand
CTTACCGAGACTCTCTCCTACATTAAAGTTGCCTCTTCATTAATTTCATTCTAGATTTTTGGCTTTTCCTCGTACTTTTCTTCTGCTCTGTCTCTTTGCTTTCTTTCTACCCATCAAAGGTTAACAAATAATAATAATGGTAACAATAATAACAACAATAATAGAAAACCAGTCAAACAGCTACCATGATTGGACATTTACTGTGCAGTAACAGATGTTATCTCGTAACAGCCATGGTTAGTGGGTATGAGTCTAACAGATCTGGAAAAGAAAATGAAGCTCAGGTAGGCAAAGTGATTTGCCTCATGTCCAGGCAGTAGCTGACAGTAGAGTTGGGATTTAGACATAGATTGGTTGCTCTAACTCATCTGTGCCCTGTGCTTAACCTAGATGTTAAACTAATGACTCATATAAAATAAAATAATAACATCCACTTGTTAAACATGCCAGAGAGTCTACTTAAATTCTCTCATTTATGAAATGGGTACATTCTCCAATTCTACCAATAAGAAATTTCAGGTTGTTTAAATATTTTATCTAAGGTCAAATAACTAGGAACTGGCAGAGTTAAGTCAAATTAGCTTTACCAGACTGTAAGCCACGTATATATTTTTTCACTATGTTAGTGTTTACCCGTTTTTGGAGGCCTAATCTTTTCCAAGAAATCATCTCCATAGTAGACTTTCTTTTTTAGAAAATATGCAGGGTAGTTTATCTACACATTTTGGCTATTTAAAATAACCTGTTTGGAATTTCCTTGAATATTTCTTCTGTGTCTGTGTTCTATGAGTTCCAAATATGTTATTTATCCCCATTGAGAGTGGGAACACCCTGAGGCACACACAGAGCTTGGTTTTCTTTTGTATTATATACAGGGTTATACGTCACAGGGCTAGGCACTTAGCCCCCAATTCAATTTTTTGTAAACCAATTAATTCATTATTACTAAATTTTTAAATTCCAGTAAGTTAATTGATGCCCTATCCAGGGGATTTTGGATTCTTCAAGTATATTTCTGGATTAATGCATTTTGGATATAACAAGTATATATCTCACTAACTGAGGAGAGGAAGAAGACGGCTTTTATGAAGTGCCAGCCCATGTCTTGGGTCAGGAAATGCCAACCTCCCATTTACACACACAATAAGGGCAAGTGTTTCCTGAGCATCTCACTATGTGCAAGGCACTGGGCTGAGCACTCCATAGCATCCTCTCCTTTATTCCCTACATCAAAACTTTTACATACCATGCACACAACCAAAGCTTGAAAATGTCAAAGGACTTATTCCAATTCACTCACCTGCAAAACGGCCAAGCCAGGATTTGATGTTTGCCTCTTCGCAGTCAAAGGGTACAGTGGGTGTTTTTTTCCCTGGACTGCATTCCCAGAAAAGCAAGGAGATGTGCCTACATAGAGCTGGGTCAGATGGGGCAGGCTTATGAGCCCATGCTCAGAAACAGATGTGAAGGCCCAGGCTTTTGAATCTGGGGTAAGAAGTGAAACATGAACTCTAGCACAGAAACCCAAACTACAATGCATTGGTAAGGCCTTGTTTCCAGCTTCCTTCCCCAAGCCTTTTGAGCTCTACCTTCCTGCCGCACTGGAATTCCAACTACGCTGGAGCCACGAGCCTTTGCATTGCTGTTCCTTCTGACAAAAATCCTCTGATTAAAATCCCACCACAACACACGTGCACCACACATGCATGCACACCCCTTCAACTAGTCAGGTCATTCTCATCTTTCAGCTTCTAGTTTGAGATCACCTCTTTAGCAAAGCCACCCCTGAAGGCCACCCCGCCTTCACCCTGTCCAGTGTGGGTCATGATGTTCCTGTGTCGCTGACTCCTCCTGAAATCTGGAAGAGTTTTTCCTTCAGAGAGTCGTCTACATGTGTAATTAAACAGTCATCAGTGTGGTTATGTGATTAACTTTTCCTTTTCCCTATCAGAAAGCAAGCCTGTTGAGGATAAAACATTAAATTTTTTTGCTCTTTATTCTATGTCTACCAGCTGGCTGTGTAAAATAGTTAAGTGTTCAGCAATTAATTGTTCAATGGATGAATAAATCAATTAATGAAGTTTTCTTTGTTTGTATGTTTGTTTGTTTTTTCAGATAGGGTCTCACTGTCACCCAGACTGGAGTGCAGTGGTGCAATCTCAGCACACTGCAACCTCTGCCCCATCCAACTCAAGTGATCCTCCCACCTCAGCCTCCTGAGTAACTGGGACCACAGGCACACACCACCATGCAGGGCTATTTTAATGAAGCGTTTTAAAGTCCCAAATAATACATCTCTAGATTAAGGATGGTAATCCTAATTCCTAAAGCTGTGATGAAAATAAAATGAGATCACCTGTAAAGTGCCCAAGAAAACATTGCTGTTCAATACATGAGCGTTCTTGTACTCTTTGGCACCAGCCAGCGGACCACATCAACTAGTGCCAGCAACCCAGGGTCCCTCCCACTGTGGGAGGTAACATTGCGGGTGGTTACAGTGTGCAGACCTAGTTCAAGTTTCAAGTTCCAGATTTTCAATGTACACGTGTGTGAATTTCAGCAACTTTCTCTCTGAGCCTCACTTTCCAGTCTTAAAAATGGAGTTAATACTCCATATAAAACTCTCAACAGTGCCAGGCAAATAAACATGCCCCATGGATATTGTTGGTATTCTTAGGATTATTTCCCTCTTCAGAACTGCTTAGTAGCAGAGCCCACACTTCCTACATGATCTGCATGGTTTTTTCCATTTTCCATACCTATTTCTCTCTATTACCCTCCTTAACAATCATTTCCTTTTACCCCCTGATCTTTCCCCTACTTCCAGTGGGGTGGGGGATGAGCTGACAGGCCAGGGCACTAGGGGACTCCCCCAACGTTCATGAAGCTGGGTGAAATTCCAAGCTCTGGAAGCTGTTGGCACGAGAAATCACATTCATATGCTGGTATCGTTATGAAGGCTGATGCTTTTCCCCATTCCAGATCCCAGAGGCTTCTGTGAATTATTTTAAGACTGCTTTTATATTGGAAGCAGGAGGAAAAGCTGTAGAGGGGCATCATTTTTATTGGCATCTGTGAATTCTTTGAAGATTTTATTGTTGAATTCAAAGTTTCTAGCTGGGCAAGGAGAGGTAGCCACATAGTAAGACTGGTCCATTGTCACCTGCCTCCTATTCCCATCCACTCCTCCTGCCAGCCCCCCAACCCATACACACACCTATCTTCCATAGGAATAGTTGACTGTTCTCTCTCAGCCCCAATATTGAGCTATCCTCAGCTTTTCAACCTGTCTCCCACACCTATCATCTCAATCCAAGACCTTCTGCAATAGGACGTTTCAACCTAACAAAGCTGGCATGAGATCTGACAAGGTTGCAAGTGCTGTGGGCCCAGCAATATGAATAAATGCTGGTTTTATTCTGGTATATTTTGGATGTATACGTGAATCTGTGAATCAGGAAATTTCAAGTTGGAGAATGGAAAGGTAAGAAAAATGTCACTTTTGCCTGTCCTGACGCAGCAAACTTTTTTTAAGTAAATTATGATTGCCCTCATAACATTTGTATTTTGGTCACTTCATAATTTTTGTTGTCGTTTTTCTGCTAACATGATGCATATTTCTTGATGCCTTGTTTTTACAACTTTTAATATAATACTTCCCTTTTTACACATTTGCATATTATATTCTTGTTAGAGAGTCCTCATGGGGATCCCTGGTTATGGACCTGAGAGACGCCTAAAGGACTGTGTAATACTATCGCCACCCTAGTGGTATTCTATTTGGAATTTAGGTCCAACTAAGGTTTACTACTAAAATAAAAATTCCTACTTTATAAACTCTGATTATTTCTTTATTCCTGCATACCTGTTTCTAAGGGTAAAAGACAAAATATAGAGTGTTTGCTTGCTGTAGATTCAGCTATCATTGCTGTGCTTGAAAATCCACAGGCACCATATTTGCTCCACTGACTGGACATTTCTGAAATAGTACCACTATCAGGTAGATCAGATTGTTGGCAAAAGCTTTGGCACCAAAGAGATTCAACAAATACATTTCATCACACTGACCCTGTACTAAGAGCAACTTTATGTGGATAACCTCATGGGAATGGAAGTTGAGAAAGAGCTATTTCAAGGCTGCCAATGCCTTAATCTCTGCTCTGTTCAAAATGCAAACTTGCTGCTTTTTATGCTCACAGTAGTAAAACAAATCTGTGGGATTTTTTAATCCTCAGCATGGGAAGGTAGAGAGAAAAGTGAACAAGGGGAATCCCACAAAAAATATCTACAGTCACAATAGAGAAAAGATAATGAGCAGTAAAACACCTTCTTAAAAAAAAAGAAAAAGGAAAAGGAAAAAAATTATATAGGAAATTCACCCAACCTCAATTATAGGAGGGCAAAAAATAGCTTTTATTTGAAGCACCAACACTCACTTCTTTGTTACAGAAAACTAGAGCAACACTCGGCAGACTTGGAGGCTCCTAAGTTATCAGGGAACTGTTTCCTGGGAATATGTTCACCC
Organism: Homo sapiens; assembly: GCF_000001405.40. Lineage (NCBI taxonomy): Eukaryota > Metazoa > Chordata > Mammalia > Primates > Hominidae > Homo > Homo sapiens. The sequence goes on along the minus strand of NC_000007.14, from coordinate 41,447,838 downwards.
GTTCCATGCAGCCTGCTTCATAAAGGCAGAATGAGTAGTGCAAATAAATTCTGTAAAACAGATGAGTGTTCCATGCTTTGTTCTAACAACTATGATATTGATGTAATGGAAATTTCAGGAGATGTCTGATCAGCTCTGCCCAGAGTTGGATGGCTGCAGGGGGGACCCTGACTATTCTTGCTACAGCCAAGCACTCTCCTGCCACTCAAGGCCTCTATGCTGACCAACCTGCTATGCTCTGGCTGGAATGAAGGCCCCCGAGAGGCGCTCATTCCGCCCAGGCTGTGAAATACGGACATCGCTGTGAGACAGGGAGGTGGACCAGGGGCACAAAGACACGGACACGGAGACCCACTTATCTTGACCACAGTCTCCAGAGCAGCCATGTGGAAGGGTTCCACGGCCTTGGGCTCCCAAGTATCTGCTGTAAGCCTGTCTGTGACCCTGGGATCCTTCTGTGCCTTCTCACACCATCCTCATAACTGCTGGGGAGGATCAGGAGAGAATGGGATTCCAAGTGGTTTTCAGAACATTGAGAAAGAGGCCCTTAGTCCCCTTTCTCTGTTAGTCATTACCAAATGATGGTTCTCAGCGGGCAATTTAAACAGTGTGGTAGCTTTGTTATGACTATATAGAGTGATTCCAAACCTATTGAACGATTTTTTATTGTGATTTATTTGTGTTCCTTAATTGAAACAAAATGGTACAGCATTCTATAATAATGGTACCAAGCCTTACAGCCCATAATAATGTGCAATGCTACTTTTTTTTTTTTTCTTTTATGGGGTCTGGCTATTTAAGTTCGTCCTAACTACTTGTATGTCGGAGTGTGACATTCCAGATTGGCTACAACTGAGAGAGCCCTGCAATGTTCATTTCTAAATCCAATCCTCACAGCCTTGTTATCTTTGTCAGAACAACCTAGTAACTGCTTCCTCAATGTTTTAATTTAGATTTCTGAGATACATGAGGAATTTAGATGTTATCCCTGCCCCCCACCCCCACCTTAAAAATGTGGCAGTGCCTCACTGTTTCTAGGACAGGCTAAAAAGAAACAGATCAAGCAGCAGTGAAGCCCTGAAATGTTATTCTAAGGAGTTTTCAGATTTCAGTCCTTCTGTACAGTAGTTGGGCCTCACTCAGGGATATACTGCTCAAGAAAACAGTCGCGGCATGGCCAAAGGGTGATGGTGATGCTCATTTAATGTTAAACAGCAGGCAGCTAATTGTTTCAATTCTGCAGTTTCAAGGGGTCATAAATGAAAAAGAAAATGAGAACAACTCCTATTTCTTTTACTATAAATCTTGAATACAAAATTTTTTTTCAAGGCCCATGTACAATACAATGCATCTTTTCATAAGTTTTTTTGGAACGTTCGTAGTTGTATATATTTAAGTTAAATAATTATTTGGGTGGGACTGAAAGGGGAGACCAAGTTATTTTATGAGTGGAAGCTTTCTGGATGAGAATTACTAGTCTTAGCTAGCCCCAGATTTTTTCTGGCAAAAAGTCTTTGTAGCAATTCCATCTAACCCTGTTCGGACTAGAAAATACCTTTGCATTTTTTCCCCCATTTTGTCCTTGAGAAAGTCAGGTGTCCATGGTTAGTATATCTGGACACTAAACCAGACACTCAATCCAAATTCAGGAAAGACAAAGACCTATTGTGATAGGATAAATGCTTCCTTCTCAGGCGGCATTTGCAGTTTCACTGTCTTTGTTTTTCAGTTCACTGCTTTGGTGAGGTCTCTAGCAGCTGACAAACAGAGCCTAAAATTTAAGACAGTCTGCAAAGGTCAAGTCCGCTTTCCTTGCATTTTTTGTGAAAGAGGGGCCCAGGCATCTTGCCTTGGAAAAGTAGCAAAACAAGACAAAAGAGAGGCTTAAGCATTTATCTATTGGAATTCTTCTGCATCCTAGACAACATCCTCATATTGACGTCCTTGTTACACTGTTGAACTCCACTGTCAATAGAATTTTTTACAGAGTTTTGGATTCTGGGACCCTGAGATACCATAAAGTAGTGTATTTGAAACCTCTAGAAAGAAAAAGAAAAAGAAAGCAGCAATCTCAACAAGGGCAAGGGCAAACAGAGTTGGGACAACAAAAAGAAAAACATGATACTAGCTTACTAAGCCAACTTCTAAGTGTAGGGCACTCCAAGTTAATTTCAAAAGCTAATTGCAAGCATTAACTATTGTGATCTTTGTAGAAAAATCCAATAAAGCTGTCAAAGGGCTTCAGTAATAAGTACTTTGCGGTTGGGAGATATCAATTTGTTTGCTTTTGGATTTGTTTGTGCCTTTAGTCATTTAGGTGTTGTTTTTTACTGTGATGGTTTAGCTTTTTTTGCATAAATATAACCATTTTTCCATTATTGAAGCAAAAGAAACAGTTACAGTTTCTGCACATTTTGGGCAGATAAAGATCAGCAGGGAAGTGAATATCCATTGTCTTCCTTTAACTCTTTCCTCAGTCGGTAACTGTATCCTTTCAGTTTTCCCCAAAAAACTTTTTCAGGTTGGGAACACAGCAACCAGCCTTTTTTTTTTTTTTTTTTTTTTTTTTTTTTGAGATGGAGTCTCACTCTGTCACCCAGGCTGGAGTGCAGTGGCGCGATCTCGGCTCATTGTGCAAGCTCCGCCTCCTGGGTTCACGCCATTCTCCTGCCTCAGCCTCCCTAGTAGCTGGGACTACAGGCGCCCCGCCACTACGCCGGGCTAATTTTTTGTGTTTTTAATAGAGACAGGGTTTCACCGTGTTAGCCAGGATGGTCTCTCGAACTCCTGACCTCGTGATCCCTCTGCCTCAGCCTCCCAAAGTGCTAGGATTACAGGCATGAGCCACCACGCCCGGCATTTTTTTTTTTTTTTTTTTTTTTTAGAGAAATGGATACTTCTTAAAATAAGGTTTTCCCTTTCCCAACTCCCCACCCCACCCCCAGGTTAATTCTCACCATTCAGGTGGAATATGTTTGCCTACCAATTGCATCTGGCACCCCAAAATGAGGAGAAGGTGCCAGGTCAGAATAGCAGGGAGCAAATCTCATGATGCCAACAAGTAGAGGAAAAAGACATCTCAAAATAAAAAAATATCTCTTTTTTGGAGGACAAGGTTGGAGGTAATGGAGAAAGAAGGAAGTTCTTTGAGGAGATAACTTTTTCTTTTTTTTCTTCCTTTTTCTGCTTACAAGGAAAGGAAGTGTGCCAGGCCTTTGCACTTAGAAGCAGCTGTGGATATACATGTTGGTTGTTCAGAGAAGAACACATTCATTGCCTGTTGACATTCCTACTCAAAGCCAGGATTATAATTATCTTTTCCTAATGGCTTTCAAAATCTTTAAATAGAAAACAAAATGTATCTGTATTTCTCTACTGTTTAGGTCCAATTTCTGTATGAATTATAATTTTAAGTCTTTGAGTTTGCCCTTAGTCCATCAACACACCCATCTCAAACTGCTAAAGGCAGTTAATTTTATTTATTTATTTATTTATTTGAGACAGGGTTTCACTCTGTCACCCAGGTTGGAGTGTGGTGGCGTGATCTCAGCTCACTGCAACCTCTGCCTCCTGGGCTCAAGCGATCCTCCCACCTCAGCCTCTTGAGTAGCTGAGTTGACAGGCGCACACTATCACACTCAGCTAATTTTTGCATTTTTGGTAGACACGGGGTCTTTCCATGTTGATTTTAATTTTTAAATAAAATTATCATTATATATGTCCTGTACGGTCATTTTATACCATATATGCCCTGTATGTTCAAGTGTTGAATAAAAAAATCAATCCTTCATTCTAGTGTATGAGCTTGACCAGTGTTCAGATACTTAAAGTTTGCATGAGACTTGGATTTTGCTAGAAGGTGGAAATCACAGCCGCTGGTATTGTATTATTGAGCCCAGTATCACAGACAGCCAAGCACTTATTATAATGCTGTTGCAGGAGTGCCCAGGGCATGTAAAATGATTTTGATTTAAATTTAAACTCTTGGTAATGAAATGTCAGTACTTACAGAAAAAATGATATTCAAGTACATTTCAAAAAGAAACTCCTTTACTTTTCATCATTCAGTGGTTTCCTGGTTTGCCACTCTAGTGAAAATCTCTTGTCTGCTTGCCCAGTATCCATTACCCTCCTTTTGGTGACACTTCGCATTTCCTCAGGGGACTATCTACCCCCACCACCCTCCTTCCTCACTGCTCTCTCCACAGCCCCTTCCACCCCTAACCCCTATGTGGTTTGAATGAGACTATCTCCATCCCTGGCTGCAAAGTTGGGCTTATAACCCAGTATTAAACACAGTGTTTATCCCACTGGCCATAGTCATTGGTTCATGGATGAAGATAAACGCAGTCAAAGCAAATCAAACCTAACATGGGGCTTCTGTGGGAAAGATTTAGAGATGCTGAGAGAATTGGCCATAATATGGGCTTCAAGCTGCTGAGGAGCCATTTTGCCATCAAGAAGGAAGTACATAGAAGGACTAGAAAGAAGTGGAAAATGTTTCCACACACTTTTAAAAGGTAGAGCCAACAAATCTTGCTGAGTTGACTGGATATAGTTGTGGCTTGAATGTAGGTGATGAGAAAAATCAGAACTCTTGGATATGTTCTAGATTTGGGGCTGAAAAACTAGGTAGATATGATTGCCATTTGCTGAGTTAAGAAAACATTGAATGACACAAGATTGAGGGGGGAAAAATCAACTTTTGTCGAGTTAGGTTTGACGTGTCTTTTAGACATTCAAGTAGAGATGCCAGTATGGAAATCTGAGAAAGAGGCAGGTTTGGATAGGTGGATTTGGGGTCACCAGCCCTTGGTTGGCATTTAAAACCAACCAAGCTGGACTGAGTTCTTGGGCGCATGCCAATTTTTGTCCAGGGTCAGGAGGAGGCCTTAGCAATAAAACCGAAGTGTCTCTGCATATTAAACAATTTATGATCTATTTATTTATATGTTTCCAACCTTTTCTCTCCCTATCTCCTTCCTGTACCTTGCATTTCAGACATTTTAACTTCCTGCAGCCCTTGACTAAGATGGCTCAGTTTTCCCCTAGGACTCTGAAAGACTTGTCTTGTCTACTGGAAGTGTCCTCCTATCCCACTCCAACACACCTTTGGTTTTTCACAGTTTAATTTAGAAATAACTTCTTTTCTGACTCCCTCTCTGAGTTTGGATTGGGGTCCAAGAGGAATTTAGGTGTTCCTCTTGCTAGTTTATTATCATGCTTGGTCTATTTCTTTGTCTCTTTCACTAGAAAGCTCCCTGGGATCAGAGGCTGTGTGATTTGTTCATCTTTGCATCTTCAGAACCCTCAATGGTAACTGGCTCTTAGTAAGTGCTTAAAAAATATGTACCAGTCCAGTACATATCTGACCAACTGATTTGCCACCCTATTGATTGTTCTACCGCCTGAGTCAGACCACTGCTCTGGAAGAGATTCACCTAGTACTATGGTTCTCACACATTAACAAGCATCAGCATTACCTGGAAGACTTGTTAAAATGCAAATAGCTCTACTGTACCCTGAGAGCTTTTGACTCAGTATATCTCAATGGGACTGAGAATTTGCATTTTGAGTAAGTTCTCAGGTGATGGAGAGGTTTCTGGTCAAGGTCTACACATTGAGAATTACTGCCTAGGAACTTCCTCAAGTAAATCATTCTCATTGTCTACTCACCTCTACCCTATGCCTGCCTAATTAGCTCAGCCCCAAAACTTGGAGATGCTTCAAATTTTAATTACATGAAGCTGTGTACAAATGGCTTGATTTCTCAGTGTTGCACCAGATATCCATGTGGCTAGTTTCTTCTGGTGCGCAGAGACACAGAGATATGCCTAAGTGAAATTTACCTATCTTATGCAAAAGTTTATTAAAATGCTTCCACGTAAAATTACACTAAAACACTCCATTGGCCAAGCCTGAATACAAATTTTTCTTATGTCTCAGGTTGTGCAAGGGGCACCAGTGTTAAACTTCGTGTTGTTTGCATTATTAAGGGAAGTTCTGTCAACACATGAATCAAAGATTTCCAGAGCCCAGTTCTCAGTGAAAAATTACCACGTGTAAGTTGGCTGGATTTCAACCTGTATCAGATACCACAAGGGCTCACCATCTTAAATCCTCTTGGCCTCACTTTGCCTTCTTCTGTGTGTGTATGTGTGTGTGTGTGTGTGCGCGTAGAGACAGGGTCTCACTTTGTTGACCAGGCTGGTCTTGAACTCCTGGCTTCAAGAGATCTTCCTGCCTCAGCCTCCCAAAGTGTTGGGATTACAGATGTGAGCCGCTGCAGCTGACCTGCCCCTACTTTTTAAAAATATTTTTAAGGCAAGGTCTCAGTCTGTCGCCCAGGCTAGAATGCAGTGGCGCCATCATAGCTCACTGCAGCCTGGAACTCCTGGACTCAAGCGACACTCACGCCTCAACCTCCCAAGTAGCTAGAATTACCGGTGCACACCATCGCATCTGGCTAATTTTTAAACAAAAATTTGTTGTAGAGATAGGATCTTGCTATATTGCCTAGGCAAGTCTTGAACTCTTGGTCTCAGCAATCCTCCCCATTGGGCCTCCAGCCCTGCTTCTTACTCCAGCCACTGCTGCAGTGACTTATTTTGTGCAAGCTTCAAACAGCTTTGTTCAGGTGCAGTCTGATGGTGCTTCACCTCACCTGAGCCATGTCCTTCTTGCTTCTGCCACAGATTTTTGCTGACCCTCTGGTAAGGGTACCTGCAAGATCTTACCCTGTACTCATGCCTGCATAGCTCTGTGAAGTTCAGGGATCCAATGGTTACACATTTTCCCCTTTTGTCCTTGGACACACATTGATAAGGCTTCTTTTGAAGGTCATCTGAGACAGAGCACCAGCCTCTGGATGTGGCCAACTTGATCCTGTATTGCTGAATTGGCTTTTCCTGCTCGCCATTACACACCTCAGTCCCTTATTTCTGCTCCGTAGGATCACATTCTCAATGAAACTATTCTCATACAAGCTTTTGTCTCGGCTTTCGAGGGAATCCAGGCTAAATTATGGCCCAAAGCAAATAACCATACTGAGAGGTGAAGATTTAGCTTCAGGAGGTATGTAAGACCAATGTGCACTGCAAAGCCAAATTACAAATAAATATAAAATAACAATAGATGTGATTATTTTTCACTTAAGTGCATAGTAGGAAGTCTGTGACTTGAGTGATTTGAAAGCTTTGGAAGTAATCCTCTGTATAAGTTTAGAGCACTGATTAGAAAATTCTGTGTTTGTTTGAGAGAATATGTAACAATTTTACTGAGCAGAGAGAAAAGAAAATCTTCCCTTTGTCAAACTTTTGGAAATTCAGGGGCAATAAAAGTATTCACATCTAGCTAAATGTGGGAATTACTAATGATGATAAAAACAATATTATTTAGCGATATGTATGTGAAATATTTTCTACTTTAAATTGTGAATAATAGTAATTATTATCTCCTTCATTTGTACAACAGTTTGTACAACCTCAAACTTTTTAAGCACGCTGAAATTTCAGTTGATTTTTTTCAGCCAGCATGGGAGTGAGATAAGGCAGGTATTAGTTTTTTCATCTGTAAAATGAAGTAACTGAAGCTAAACTAGTTTACTTCCCTCCTCCAACAAGGTCCCTTTTTGTTTCTAAATTTTCTATGATTTTATTTTAAGTTTAAGGAAAATGAGAAGTTAAGCAACTTACTTAAAATGGCAGAGCTAGTGAATGTGGAGAAGAGGGAGAATCCAGGTCTTCTATCTCCCAGGTTACAATCTTTTAAAATGACCACCCTAGGCAGTGAGTTGATAAGGTCCCCATGGCCACTGGGACGAAATGTAACGGTGATGATTCCTGGAGCCCACCGCTTTCTCCAGGGATTCCAGGGAACATGTTTTGCCTTTCCAAAATACTGCTGCAAGGATTGTAAATCAACACAACAGGTTGTCAAGAGCTGCTAGATTAAAAAATAATAATAAAGCAGGAAAGAAACACCAAAAAGTTTAGTTTGAATGCATGCTTGTCTTGAAAATTATTTTATAAAGACTGAAGCTAATTCGGTTGCCTGTAATGACTTTCTAAAGCGAGCACAGCCCATGAGCGAGCCTTATCACGTTCGTCTTTTCTAATTGGCTTTATTTCCATGGCAGCCAGAGCTTTCACACATAGGACAGGGCCTCTTGCTTATCCTGGAGGGCACACAGAATCCGGGTCCTCACATGGGGTGGCCAGATGTCCTAGATTAACCAGAATGACAGGGGAGCTGGAGCTACTGTCTGTCTTGTTGTGTGCAGACATTCTGGAGGGAGTGTCCTTCGAGCACAAGGCTCTGAGAACTCTTTGAAGGGGAGACACTCACGTCTTTCACCATTTTGGTCTCAGGAGGATGAGGAATGAATCTCTCAGGCCCAGCCCTAGGGAGTACTTGATTGCTTTTGTTTAAAAGGAAATGTTTCCAGTTCTATAAAGAGCTTTCCTTTATTTCTAAGAAGAAAGGAATGATACAACTTTACACATTTTGTAAGACTCCTAAGGGCGGGCATTCCTGAAAGGTTGCCACTTGGGATAGATTACTAAGAGATTCCAGGGAGAGAAGGAGAGAGGGAGTCAGGGACAAAAGATGCTGACCCACAGGAGATATTGTCTTCTGCACAGTAATAGCGGGAAGGGGTTCTCAGGAAGCAAGAGTGGGAATTTGGGACGGGGGCAGAAATTCCAGCCTATTGCTAGAGCGCCATCTATTTACAGGGCCCACAAGGCACTCTTGAAGTTGTCATTAATCACCGCTTCTCCTTCTGAAGAAGAAATGTGTTTCCTATAAGCCAGTTCTTATGAATAGGGCTGATTACAAAGTCAGACATGAATTAGTGTGCAGTCCCTAAAGTCCCTGAATGCCACACCAAGGCAGGACTTTTAAGTGCAATTATAACTTCTGGAACCAGCATAACACGATGTTCTGCATTTGAAAATCTGGGAAAGCATCTGCATGAATTTCTTATTCCATTTGCTATTTGCATACTTGCAAAATGTAAAAACCTGCTTTGGCATATGTCAGAAAAACTACAAAATCCCTCTCAGAATAATGGAAGTAAAAAAAATATAAAATGCGGTGTAAATATTTGGGTCAAAAGCTTGACAAGGGCAATGCCACATTTTTCTTTCGTTTTGTTAATAGTTCCTTGCTTTTCTTAGCACAGTAATTTCAATGGACAAGCAGTTAGGTGAAAAAGTATCGATTTCCCTCACTTACTAGGGGAATTCTGCTCTAATTAAATGGCAGAGCTAAAAGTTGGCCTTTGCCAACCAGATTTTAGTGCCAGTTAAACTCCTAGTGGGTTTTGAGTGGCCCATGGGTCTGTATTACCAAGCCAAAACTCCTCTTGAGTTTCAGCATCTCTGCCCCTTCTCACCCACCCCCAACCACTACAGCTCCTTTCCGTAGCCGCCTCTGAATTGCAGTGGGTAATTTTTCTGAGTCTCAGTGAAGATATAAGCAGACTCATTTTGCTGCTTTTACTTTGAAGTCTCAACTTTGTAGATTTGCTATCAAATCTGTAGTTAGATATGGGTTCTCAGGGGTAGGGGATAAGGAGGGTAATTAGTTGAGTTTTAATTTTTTTCTTTTTGAGTTACATTTCCAGGCATATAGACAATAAAATCCTTGCAAACAAAGTCTAAGACTCTTTTGTATGGTCACGAGTGGACATAAAGTATAACTTTTGAATGAATAACAATGAATGAATGAGTGAATGGGAGGTTTCAGAAACCCCGCAATGAAAAATTCCTCCTGGCCTCCCTGGGTGTGGCTATTTGCTGAGCACATAGGTATCACGTGCCTCCGTCATGCCAGGTGCTGTTCTGTGCACCATGAATAGGAAGATGAACTGGCTTTTGTATTTGAGAAGCTAATTCCCTCTTGAAGATGAGAAGCCTGTAAATGGTTATAATGCCGGATACTGGAGGCCACAGTGGAAGAGTGGGTGGGAGCTACCAACAGTCACCAGGGGAGACAGCAAGATCCAGGAGCCCTAGGTTAGCTCTTAGCTAACTGAAAACCAGGAGGTTGTCCTCAATCAATGGGCGGTCACTTCTGCACCAGGACATTGGCCAGAATAAATGATTCGTGCAGTCTCTGGGGCCATGGGCTTTCATAATAGGCAGGGTCATGGTCTACCCACACTATTTTTAAAATAGTCTATTTTTAAAATAACCTTTTCCTTAATTCCAAATGTAATGCCATACGGGTTCATTGTAGAAAACTTGAGGCCACCCATCTGGTAACTCCTGACTCTGCTACTCTTGCTAGCATGCTTTATAAGTTTCAATTATTATTAACAGTGCTGATTGGGCAAAAAGTATGCCCAATCTATGAACTAAGCAGCTGCCTCGTTGAGGTGAGGTTTGGTGCCAAAGCTCTGCCCAGCAGAGATGGTGGTGATTAACTCGATAGGAATTTGATCTGAAGAGTTGACTGTTGAGAGCAAGGGCAGAGAGAGGCTGAGAGGCACAGGGAAAAGTGGAGGCACAGAGATCTGCTGGTCCAATATAATGGAAGGGCATGACAAAGGAACCAGTAATTCTAATAGCTGAAATTGAAGTGTGTATTATGTGTCAGTCACTATTCCAAGTGCATTTTACGTATAGTAACTCGCTTCCAAGTTCACAATAACCTTCTGATGAGGAACAGAGAGGTTAATTAATTTGCCCAAGGTAACACAGACAGGAAGTGGGAAGGCTGAGCTATAAACCCAAGTAATCTGGCTCTGGAGTCCAAACTCTTATCATTATAACCCACTGCTTATCAATGGAATACATATAAATACATATATGTTTTTTATGTATGTATGTGTATATGCATATATGTATGTGTGTAAGTTTATATGTATACGCTATTTTGTCAGTGAAACTGGCCAGAAGGAGGGTGACCAGATAACCTCAATCAGTGTATCCAGAAAACTCTTCAGGTTCCTAAATCATGTCTCCTTGTCCCGGTAGCAGCTGCTACTCCTAGGCTCCTGCCAGACTCTTGGGTGGGTGACAAACTACCCTATTTTGTCCAGAATGTTTCTGGTTTCAATATTGAAAATCCCGTGTGGTTGGATTCTCATCTTCCTCATTTCTACCCACTCGTCACAATAGGACCCTGCTGATTAGAAAAGCCTGACTATCTCTCTTCTTTGTAACCTTAAAAAGCTTGGTCGGCATCCCTGCCTTTGAACACTGAAATCCCTTTGCAAATCCTTTCCCCTCAGACCCTCACCACTCTGCCCTTCCTTTCCTTCTGATGGTACTGGAAAGGTGGTAGAGTTCCCGTTCTCTCCCTCCCCTGTCCCTACAGGATCCCCTTCAAGCATTGCTCCCCACCCCTCATGCGGTAGCAACAATGACTTACCACACCTTGGCAAAGCACTTTCCTCATAGGTCACCTCACCTGATCCCCTCTGATGACTCTTCAGCTCAGAGGAGGGAACCCATTTGAGAAAACAACCTCAAGGTGTGTCAGTTCCATCTTCCATCTGATGCAAAAACTCCCATTCCTGTATGGCGAATCATACTTTTCATTTTCCACAGAAGCCACCAAGAGTAAAGTTTGTACCAGTAAACTAATGGTCTCCATGAAGGGAGCAGAGATCACACAGAGTGGGAAGAGGGATGGATTCAGAAGCTGACCTGCTACACAAGGGAATGGAGAATGTGGGTAGCGCAGTTGAGGAAAATAAATGCACCCACAGGTCGGGCGCGGTGGCTCACGCCTGTAATCCCAGCACTTTGGGAGGCCAAGGTGGGCGGATCACGAGGTCAGAAGATCGAGACCATCATGGCTAACATGGTGAAACTCCTTCTGTATTAAAAAATACAAAAAAAATTAGCCGGGCGTGGTGGTGGGCGCCTGTAGTCCCAGCTACTTGGGAGGCTGAGGCAGGAGAATGGCATGAACCCAGGAGGTGGAGGTTTCAGTGAGCCGAGATAGCGCCACTGCACTCCAGCCTAGGCGACAGAGTGAGACTCCATCTCAAAAAAAAAAAAAAAAAAATGCACCCACAGTCCCTTGGATGCACCAGGTTTTTAACCTAGAAAGATGACTAGCAAACAAAGTGGGCCTGGGCACTGCTAGAGAAAAATAGAAGTAATAGTTTTCAGAAGCGATGTAATGGCTTCAGGGAAAACTATAGAATGGTAGTGCTATGGTTTGAATGTGTCCCCCAAAGGTGTGCATGTTGGAAACATAATTCCCAATGCTACTGTGTCCGGAATTGGTTCCTTCTGGTGGGTTCTTGGTCTTGCTGACTTTAAGAATGAAGCCACAGACCCTTGTGGTGAGTGTTACAGTTCTTAGAGATGGCCTGTCCAGAGTTTGTTCCTTCAGATGTTCAGATGTGTCCAGAGTTCCTTCCTTCTGGTGGGTTTGTGGTCTTGCTGGCTTCAGGAGTGAAGCTGCAGACCTTTGTGGTGAGTGTTACAGCTCATAAAGGTAGTGTGGACCCAAAGGGTGAGCAGCAGCAAGATTTATTGCGAAGAGCAAAAGAATAAAGCTTCCACAACATGGAAGGTGACCCCAGCGGATTGCCACACGTGCTCTGGTGGCAAGCTTTTATTCCCTTATTTGGTCCCGCCCACTTCCTGCTGATTGGTCCATTTTACAGAGTGCTGATTGGTCTGCTTTTACAGAGTGCTGATTGGTGCATTTACAAACCTTTAGCTAGACACAGAGTGCTGATTGGTGCGTTTTTACAGAGGGCTGACTGCTGCGTTTACAATTCGTTAGCTAGACAGAAGAGTTCTTGAAGTCCCTATCCGACCCAGAAGCCCAGCCGGCTTCACCTCTCACTACCATATTGGGAGATGGGGCCTAATAAGAAGTGATTGGGCCATGAAGATACACCCCACATGAATGAATGAATGTTATGTGCAGGACTGAGTTAGTTATCATGAGAATGTGTTGTTATAAAGTAAGTTTGGCCCCTGGTGCCTTTCTGTCTCATGTGCTCGCTTCCACCTTCTGCCATGGGAAGACCCTTGCCAGATGCCAGTCTCATGTTTTTGGAGTTCCCAGCCTTTAAACCATGAGTCGAATAAATGTTTTTTTCTTTATAAATTACCCAGTCTTTGGTATTCTATTATAGCAACAAAAGACAAACTAAGACAGGTAGCAAGAGGAACTAAAGGGGGGTCTGAAAGGACCATAGAGGTCAACACTCTCATTTTCCTGTTGAGCCATCTGAGGCATAGGGAGAGGACAAGACAAGGATCTAAATAACAGTGGCTGAGGTGGAGGCAGTGCACATCCAGCACGGTGCATGGGCAATGAATAAAGTGAGTTGCAGATTAAAGCTAATTTGACCAATCATGAAGAGTTGTTGGAGGAGACACATGACTGGAAGGCAGCAGTGCAATCGTACACTTTCTACAAGGCCAATTGGGGCAAGCATCCAACCTTGATGGCACAAGCAGAAGGGTGTCCAGTGGGTTGGGGGACACATGAAAAAGAGTGCAAGGAACGTCACCCTATTTGTTCAGGAGTCTTATGATTACTGTTTTCAAATACAAGACATGCTTTTATCTGGAAGAGTTAAGAAAACTTCTTAAATTAAAAGTACGTGTGTTCATTATATTTATTGCTTAACAATTTGGAAAGATATTAAAACTTTTGTAAAAGTGACTGTTTCTACCTGAAAGTAACACTATTAACATTTTATTTAAAATTTTCCAAGTGTCTTTTATGCCATGCATATTTTTTTAAAAGTTCAGGTCATATTACCTGTGCAATTTTCTATCTTATTTTTAATACTTAGCATATTATTGGTATTTCTTCATGTTATTGAAAACTTTTCGTAGCTATTAAGAACCAACATAGCCTTACATTGAGTGGATAATTTATAATTTATCTCATAATTTCTGTAATAGATATTTGACTTACGTCATCATGATATAATTGCACTGCGACAAAAATCACACGTTGATCTTTATTTTCTGTTTGTGAATAATTATCTGGTATATATTCCAAGAAATAAAATTATTTGGCCAGAAAGCATACTGTTTTAGAGTTGTTGATAAAATTACAAAAAATATTTACAAAAAAATTGTAAAAATTAACACCACCACAGCATTGCACGCAGATGCCCATTTCACAAGCCTTCATCTACAAAGACCTTCAGCTGTAATAATCATATCATGTATTTGCTAATTTTGTAGATGTAGCTTTCTTGTAATTTTAATTCACTGATAATAACTGAGGTTGAAAATCACAATATGTAAGAACAAATGTCATGCAAGAAGAGGTGGAAAGCCTAAGAGACCAATCACATAAATACAAGTTTTAAATTTTCTTAAATAATCTCTCCTTATACTCTAAAATAGTACTCTGTTTATCCACATTAGTTGGAGCCATAGGGGAGTTCTTTTAAATGTTTAAGGGACAAGTAATTGTAATTGCGTGGAAGAACAAAATTTGAGGAAAAAATCAGAAGTCATTTGTTATCCTACCAGAGATGATACAAACACCTGAAAAAAGTAACACATACACACACACACAAAGCTGAAGGTAATTCACTCATAAACACAGATATTAAGTTTATTATTAAAATCCAAATCCAGAAATTCATTTTAAAAATACCCCCAAAAGTCGACTGGGTGCTATGGCTCACACCTGGAATCCTAGCACTTTGGGAGGCCAAGGTGGGCAGATCACGAGGTCAGGAGATCGAGACGATCCTGGCTAACATGGTGAAGCCCTGTCTCTATTAAAAATACAAAAAATTAGCTGGGCGTGGTGGCGTGTGCCTGTAGTCCTAGCTACTCGGGAGGCTGAGGCAGGAGAATTGTTTGAACCTGGGAGGCAGAGGTTGCAGTGAGCCAAGATTGTGCCACTGCACTCCAGCCTTGGCGACAGAGCGACATTCCATTAAAAAAAAAAAAAAAAGCCAAGTAAGATTTATATAAGATGGCAAGGTAACTTAGTATTCAAAATTGATTAATTAATTATATTCTCAGTCAAGAGAAAAAAAAATTCTACAATTATCTTAATTGATATTGAAAAGGCATTCAGTTAAATTTAACTTCAATCTTTAAAAAATTGCCAAATAGGGATTCATGAATACATCTATATTGTAATAAAGACTATATATCTCAAACCCATATCCAGTGTAAAAATTAGTAATGAAATATTTAAGATGCTACCGCTAAAGGCGGGGAAAAAAGTTGCTCACTCATCCCACTTTTACTTGACAAAAACCAAAATAAAACTATACATACTAGAAAGAAGAAGACATATTATCATCCCTAGATAGTATGGTTGCAGAAAATCTAATAGAAAATCTCTACATAGTGTGGTTGCAGAAAATCTAATGTGAAAAACAAACCAATCAAACATTAGCTTGGATACAGTAAGTAAATGAGAGGGCCAGTTACTTTGCCTCTTGGGTTTTTTGATATTTTTTGTCTTTTAGGTACTTTGAAGTGTAGCCAGTTCTCACCATGATGGCCATTTTGCTCAACAGTTCCAACCGTAGTATAGTGGTTCCAAAGCCACTCCGCTGACTCAAAGGCTCTTCCAATGCTTGCCTCCTCATAGGCTGCTGGCCAGTCTATAGGTTTCTCTCCAATTCCTGGACCAATGAGTAATGTAATTGGTAGTATGGAAGTCTTATTTGTAATAGAAACAAAACATATAGAACACCAAAGCCTGAGCCTAAGATACGTAAAGGACTTGTACATTTGAAACTTTAGAAGTATAAAGAGACATGTTTTATTATATAGAGAGAACTCTCTTATTTGGAGGAAAGAAATGTTAAGAAAGCATACAAAATTTTTCAAGTATTATGGTATAAGTGGGTGAGTTTTCCAAAGCTGAAATTAGTATCTTTTAGTATGAGATTTTGATGATGGAACACAAAATGGAATTTCTGGTTCTGAAAATGACATTAAGCTCACGCATTGTGCCAAGCCAACAATGGCCACACGAAAAAGCTACGTGGGTGGTAAGAAGAGGGTTAGATATGCTTCAGTGTGGGCAAATGGAAAGAAATGAATTTAGAGCAAAGTCATCTAAACCTGACTCATAAGATAATGGAAACCAAATTACCAGCTATAAGCCAGAGAAAGGAAGTAAGAGAAACTGACTTTTTCCTAAATTCACTGGCTTCTGTATTGAAGTCACATATAAAGGTCAACACAATTTTGGGCATCACTGGGAAGAGCACAAGAAAATAATAATGGAATGCATGCATTTACTGCATGGTCATTCAGCAAATATCTAATCAATGTCTACATTGTACAAAATGGCCCTTGGTAGAGACAGGCCAGTGGAGCAACAAAGGGTAATAAAGGAAGCAAACAGCACCCTGTGTTATGAGGAGATGGCAAGCAAAATTGGGACCAGCAGGTGGTCGGGTAGCGGGGAGTCAGCAAACAAAATAATTATGTTATATTCTCTATAGGAAGGTATGAGTGCTGGCCAGGCATGGTGGCTCCCGCCTGTAATCCCAGCACTTTAGGAGGCTGAGGCGAGTAGATCATTTGAGGTCAGGAGTTCGAGACTAGCCTGGCCAACATGGTGAAGCCCCATCTCTTCTAAAAATACAAAAATTAGCTGGCCAAGGTAGGCGGGCACCTGTAGTCCCAGCTACTTGGGAGGCTGAGGCAGCAGAATCGCTTGAACCCTGAAGGCAGAGGTTGCAGTGAGCCGAGATCTCATGTCTATACTCCAGCCTGGGTGAAAGAGTGAGACTCCATCTCAAAAAACAAACAAACAAACAAAAACAAACAAACAAAAAAAAGGAGGTATGAGGGCTTAGCAGAAAAATAAAGCAAGGAAAAGTAAAACAAGTGTGAAGAATGACAGGATATCAAGAGGTCAGGTTCTGGGAATTTTTAAAAGAATGAAAGAGACATGTTGATGTTTTTGATGTAGGGTATAAAAGAAAAGGGGAATCAATTCTGGCTAAACATTTTGGGCTAGATAACTGGAGAATGGAGTTGTCTTTATTGAGATGGCTAGGTCAAGGGAAAAAATAGGTTTAGGAGAGTATCAGGAGTTCACTTTGGGGCATGGTGAATTTGAAATGTGGTTAAATAACCTAAGATGATGTCAACTAGGCAGTTGGATTGATGAGTCTGGAATTCAGGAGAGAAGTCTCAGCTGAAGACATACCTCTTGGAGTAATTGGCACATGGGTGAGATTGCCAATAGTGTAGATATACAGAGAGAAGAGAAGCACAAGGACTGTCCCTGGGCACTCCAACATGAAGATGTTGGGAAGATAAGGGGAAACTGAAAAATGAGCATGGGAGGAAGTAGCCAGGGAGGGAGGAGGAAAACCAGGCGAACACTGTGTTCTAGAAGCCAAGCAAAGATGGAGTTTCAAGAAGAAGAGAGTCATCAACTGTGTCAAATGCTGCTTATAGGATGATAGAGGACCACTGATTGGATTTAAGAAAGTGGAAGTCCTTGGCCACCCTGATAAGAGATGTTTCAGAGCAGTGGTTAGGGTGACAGCCTGATTGGACCAGGTTTACAAGAGAATAGGAGAGAAACTGGAGACAGCAAGAGACAGCTCTTCAAGGAATTCATCTATGAAAGGAAGGAGAGATACAGGACAGCAGATGGAGCATGAAGTGAGGTCAAGACAGCATTTTCTTCAAGATAAAGGTAAATGGCAGCCTTTTGTATGCTCTGGAATAGCCTGGTGGAAAGGGAAGGATTGCTGCTGCAGGAGAAACAGGAGAGGAAGGCTGGAGAAAAGTCTCTGAGTGAGAGAGAGCAGCATCTCGTGAACTCATGGAAAGTAAGTATAATCCAGGAGCCTGGCCAGTTCCCCCCAGGGAAAACAGGGAAATGGAGAAGTAGAGAACAAAGCCACAAAAATAGTCGGTGGGCAGGTGCAGAAGGGAGCTTGTGGAATTTCCCTCCCCAACGCTTCTCTTTTCTCGGTGGAGTGGAAAGCAAGGCTATCAGCAAAGAGTAGGCTGGAGGAGGAGGGTTTGGAAGTTTGAGATGAGAAAATACAAAATAGTGGTCTAGTAAGTGGGACAGTAATTGGACTCGGGAGCACTTTATGGGGAGAGCTAGGGCTTTGCTTGAGGTTCATGGTCATGGATAATAAATGCCACCAGCTATCATGGTGGTATGTCCTCATTCTTCTCAGAGCACTCAGTGACTCCACTGTCTTCAGAAAACTACGAAAGATCCATTATATGGTTGACAAGGGCCTTTAAGATCTTGCTGGAGCAATCTCCTCCAGCACAATCTCTCTCAATACTTACCAACTTATGCCCTTTTTTCCAGCCATTTACCCAAGTGCTGCTGCTTTCGGACTTGAAGTTCTCTCTCCTTGGATCACCTCCTCTATTAACTATTTCTCCTTCAATATTTAGTTCCTCCATTGCCTCCTTTGGGAGGCTTTTCTAGAAATGTCTCAATGAGTTATTTGTTTATTATTAATAATTCTTCCATCTTCATGTTTATTATATAGCACCTTATGAGGTAGGTATCATCATCATCATCCTTACTTTATAGATAAGGGAAAGGAAGGAAAGAGACAATAAGTAACTTACTGGGCTCCCACGAGTAGTGAAGGTTAAGGCTGGGAATTGAATGGAGATGTTACATTCAGAGTTCATACACTTGTCCAGTATGTCACGCTGTTAGTTTTAGGTCAGATAAAGATGCTATCATTGCCACAAAGGGAGACTGAGCCAGCTGAATAATTCAGAGCTAATTCAGTTGACTATTATGAGGCTAAATACAACACCATGGAATTTGGGATTCTTTTTTTGTGTATATTTGTGTGTAATGTGTGTATTTTTTTCCAGAATGTGAGTGTGGCTACCTCTGGAGGTAATTGCACTTACGAGATTTAATGTCCTTTCATGTCATTCTATTTAAAAGAATTTTGCTGTTAACATTTTACTGTGAGATCATCGTAGAAATGTATATACTGCCTACATGTTTTGATTAAGATATAAGCTTTCAAATTTGAATTCTGAATACCTTCCCATGAAAATCCTTGGGGATGGATGTTCAAAATCCTTCTGGCAGCAGTTGCCTAATTTTCCAAGCTTATGTAGAAAGAAGAGTTTTTGAGGGAAAATCATATTCTCCTACAGTTAAAATCAAAACGGCACACATAAGAGCCAGCATACTTGACACGAGTACTTTCAAGACTTACTTCTTGGAAATGAATACACGTTTCTTAAAAACTTTCTCCAATGGCATGTCTAATAATAGTGAAATATAAACTATTTGGCTTTCTTAGGCAACTTCTTCCTAACATATTATCTAATGGTATTCATCTCCGTCTGCCCAGATCCTGTGTTTTCAGCACAGTATAATCTCTATGTACCAATACTTTGTTGTTCACAGCTGTGTCCTGTTAATATGCTCACTTACAGAACTGCCATGCTGCCCCACAAGCTGAGAGCCTGCCAGTGAGTGTATGACTCTAAAGTCATCACCATCCCTAGGACATGAAACCAAAGGAATCACATAGATGGCTTTTAATTTAATTTAAGCCACTGGAAAGAGAAGGAATAGGAAGGTTACATGAGGGCCAATGTTGTCTGATTTTTGGATTCCATTTATTGTTTACCTTTTATTGGGCACAACAGTTTATATAAATTATTTCATTTAATAATCATATCAACATTCAGCTTCAGAGATTTAGTTTGAGAAACATTTATTAAGAAAACGAACAGATCCCAACATTCTGCTCTGCAATGAAGTGAATTTGAACCTCAATAACACGTAGTCTCTGCCTTTGTAAAGATCACCATCTAGAAGGAGCATGTAGGGACTTCCATCAAGTGACATACAATAGAGATAAGCCCTTGAAGGAGCAGAAATGGCTGGTGAGGGAGTGTAAGAAAACTTTCAGGATCACAAAATGTGGCTCTCTAGAGAAAAAATAAATGAGATTTGTCAATGTCATATGAAAAAAAATCAGTGTAAAAAAGAAGAGGGAGGGAGATACCCAACAAAATAAACAGGCTTCACTGATGTAACTCTGGGTGAAATTCTACCAGGTTCTCATAAGGTGGCCAAGCTGTGCATCGTGGAGAAGCCCTGAGACCTCCAAGTATACTAAGTTGGATCCAACAGGGCTTTCTGCTCTTCTGGATGTTGAATATTAGGGCTTATTGTAGAATGTGTTAGCGACCCATTTGGATATGTGTCCAAAACAGGCCTTAGAGGGAATGAAAGTCAGTTCCTCAGTGGAGTTCTGCAGAATGCTATTGCTTGATCTTCAAGATTACAGGTATCTCAAGGTTTTGTAAAAAGTGTGATAAATACCTTTTAAAAACCAAGCCATTTTATGAAGTGTCCCCTGATGTTTGAGTGTGGTTTATGCATTGTCAATTAAACCTCTTCACGTTATTGGAGGAAGATAAATTTATCCCACATTTGAGAAGTTTCTTGAAACACAGCTTTTAAAAATGATTTATTCAGGAAAACTTATGCAGCAAACATGCTGATTCAGTTGTTACAGGTGATGAGACAATTATACAAATAACTTTTAAAACGATAAATGTGAAAATCTTTTAAGAGAGGTACACAAAGCAGAGGCTTTACAGAAGGTTGAGAATATTAAATCAGAGGAACTAATTAAGGCCTTACAGATGAGGTGTCTTTTGAAGGAGGGATCAAAAGTGATGGCTAAGATTTCAACCAGTAGAAATGAGGACAGAAGTTCTTGTTATTCCAACCGTATAAGCAAAGGCATATAGGCAGGCAAGGTCAAGTCCACTGTGGATACAAGTAGGAAAGTTTTAAAAGGCTGGAAATTTAGGTTAGGGTCACACAAAAGAGGGCTCTGAAAGCCAGGTCAATGGTTTTAGTTTTAATTCAGTTGGCTGCTTTTACAGGGATGAACTATGAAACATGACTGGAGTAGCCCTGTTGGAAGACTAACCTGGCAAATGTCATAATTGGAAAAGAGATGAAGACAGGTACCCTGGTGACAAAACCATTAGGTGGGAAGATTGAGGATCTGAATTAGTTTGGGGACAGTGAGACGGAAAGAAGGGAATGGAGGTGAAGATGTGGCAGGGGCCTTGGGGCTTTCCTAGCTATGGGAAAAGATACAAAGTTTTGAAGTTGATAGATAAAAACAAAGTCATATAGCAGATATGACAATATGATAATGTGGCCCCTAGCAATGGCCTTGGCTGGAAAACAGAGGTACAGCATAGACCTAGAAGATTCAATTCAGTAATAGCTCCTGTCCAGGAATAAATATGGAGATGAAGAGAAGAGTTGGTATACAAGTGTTCAAATAATTCCTGAGTTATCTTCTTTTAATTTCAGGGAACTTGATTCAATATTTTTTAATACAAATGAGTAAAATAAGAAGAATCAAAACACAATATGTGGATTATGTCAGTGGTTCTCAAGCTCTGTGCTCAGAAGAACCGCCTAGGGAGCTGGTATAAATTCCAGACACTCAAGAACACCCCTAAAGATTCTAACTCATAGGTTCTGGGTAGGCTCTAGAAATAAATAATATTCTCACCTATGCTAGATAATTATGAATTAAGTAATCAGAAAAAAAACATGAGAAACAATGGATTATGCATGCAAACTAGTACCTGACACATACATGTAACTTCAGATAATTACGGTGAGTATTGGATATCTGATGTGGCCACCAACCTTCTTTCCAAGGGAAGCGAAGAGCTTCCCATCATGAGTAGCCAGAGGGTTAGTCTCTGACTCATCTTAATCTTTGTTCTCTTTCTGAATCATGTTTAAGCCATCCTCTACTTGTTTATGAACTTTGGGAGCTTTCATTCCCTTGACTGCTGTCTTTATAAGAATGCTGGCTATAGGAACTACTTATACTCCATTTACGTATAGTCCAGTCCATCTTAAAATAGACAATATATAAAACTGTGATCTGCTGCTGCTGCCACTGACAATAATGAGACCCTGGGGAAGTAACCTCACAGAGTTTACATTTTGTCATCTTTGAAATGAAGAGGTCTGACTAGATCATTTTTATGATCCCTTCTCTGATTTTATGGTCTTGTGAGTTATATTCTGGATGCAAATACATTTCAGGGTTAGAAGGAGTCTTAAGTGGGATTTTGCCAGTCTGTCCTTCCAAATGTTGAAACTGCCCTGCCTTTCCTGTCCCTGTTCAGCGTAGGGACTTCAGTTTCCCCAAACAGCTCATTCCTACAGAGGGAAGAGGAATAGCCTCTGTGGCAAGACTCACTTAGGTGAAGCTGGAACGTATCTGTCTGTGTTGACTCTCACACTTCAGAGATTCACCAGCCTGAGGTATTCTTCTCTTATTTTTAGGGTTTTATGATCTCAGCAAACTTTTCTCCACAGTTTTAGATGAAAAATAATAATTTCTGGGCAAAGCACTAGGAAGCCTTGCCCTGAGGGAGCTATAGATTCCTTTTCTGAGGGAGAGATGTTGAAGGTTTTTCAGTGGTGGACCACATGAACAGAAAACAGTGATGAACGGATCGTGGCAATGTTTTATTAACAAAAAGAATGAGTTAAGGGAGTTCAAGATGGGGTCTGAATATTAAATGGATTGAGGCATACGTGCATATTTCTTTTTTACTTTTGTAGTTATCTTTTATAATGGCCCAGTTTTATGCTGTAATTTTATGTATTCATTTCTTATCATGAGATAATACACCTTCAGAAAATAGATTATTAAAATGAAGAAAATTCATCTAAATATTTCAAAACAGGAATGACTAATGCTTTAATATGTATTATTTTAGTCATTTCTTTCTCCCTGTCTCTGCCCATCTCTGTTTCTTTAAGTGTGTGTGTGTGCGCCTGTGTGTGTATGTGTGTGTGTGTGTGAGAGAGAGAGAGAGAGAGAGAAAGAGAGACAGAGAGAGAGAGATTTTATTTTAATGGGCCAATACCATAGATGCTAACCTGATTTTTTTCCCCCAGGTTTTTTCTTTTTAGATTTATTCTTAATGGCAGTCTTGAAGTCCATCTTATGAATACATCACAATTTATTCATCCTATTCTCTTGATTTTAGTGGGGTTAATTTTAAATGGCACATATTATGTAATGACTAATCCCTGCCTTGAATTTCAGCTGTGTGATCAAACCTAGCAGCAAAGGTCCTCAGCACCACATCAGGGCAGTGGTCAGTCCTAACCAACCTGGCCCAGTTGAACAAGACAATCTACTTCCTCTGGTTTTTCTAGAGTCTTTCATTGGGCACCAGTGGGCCCACAGGCCTCATGTGGGGTGCCCAAGGTCTTGTATGACCTCCCCCTGGGGATTGAATGGGCCATACTAGCTGAGTGTAATACCAAAAGCTTTAAGCTTTATTGAAACTGCCACTCTCCCAACAGAAATGGCCTTTCTGACATTATTCCATCCCAGGACATGTGGGCTATAGCAGTTCTTTGGACTCCTAACAGAAAAGAGTTTTTCTGTCCAAACCAAGCAGCTCAAATTAAACCTTCCCTTTTTGTTTTTGTGAGGCTTACTAGCACATACTTAAACCTAGGGAAGAGACCTGTACATTAAGAGCTCCAGTCATAGCACGCGGAAAGATAAGTCCTTCTCATTCCAATAAACTATTGACAGGCTCCTCTGCACATACATTTGTGCCTCTTGCCTTGTCCAATCGAGCCGGAGATTCTAGATCATTACTGCCTTGCATGCTGTGAGCATCTCGTGACCAGTGTGGGCTCTAGCCCTTACAGAGACTCTCTTTGCACTTAACCTTTCTAAAATCATGCTTATAAACCTTTACATTACAGCCTGGTTAGACTTGCTGACATCTCCCTGTGGAGTATGTACCTGGCTGAAAACCACTTGCAATAACTTTTAGCTAAAGTATAATAATACCTGGGTCAGTTATAAGCACCATACCAGGAGGAAAGAGATGAAGGTCAAGCAGAGCTATCTTGGGAGTAGGTTGGACCAAGAACAAGAAATACATATGCTCTGCCCATCGTTTCCTATATCCGCACAGCTGCCATGTCCTGTGAATTCTCCCTCTAAAACATCTCAAACTCATTCTTGTCTATTCATCTCTATTAACTACAGCCCTTGCCCAGGTTACTAGCTATCCTAGTCAGTGCAGGCTACTATAACAAAGTACCATAGACTGAACGGTGCATAAACAACAGAAATTTATTTCTAACCATTCTGGAGGCTGGAAATCTGAGCTCAGGGTGTATTATGACCAGGCTTTATGAGAGCCTCCTTCTTGGTTGCAGACTACCAACTTCTCATTGTGTCCTTACATGGCAGAAAGAAGTCTAGAGAGCTTGCTGGGGTCTTTCTCTCTCTCTCTCTCTCTTTTTTTTTTTTTTCCTTTTTTGAGACAGGGTCTCACTCTATCACCCAGGCTAGAGTGCAATGGCACGATATTGACTCACTGCAACCTCCATTTCCTGGGTTCAGGCGATTCTCCTGCCTCATCCTCCCCAAGTAGCTGGGATTACAGGCACCCGCCACCACCCCCAGCTAATTTTTGTATTTGTGGTAGAGACGGGGTTTCACCACATCGGTCAGCCTGGTCTCGAGCTCCTGACCTCAGGTGATCCACCCGCCTTGACCTCCCAAAGTGCTAGGATTACAAGCATGAGGCACCACGCCCGGCTGCTGGGGCCTCTTTTATAAGGTCACTAATGCCACTCAAGAGGACTCCACCCTCATGGCCTATTCACGTCCCAAAGGTGCCACTTCTTAATGCCACCACATTTTAACACACAAATCTTAGAAACATGCAAATATCTAGTCTACTGTACTACCTTATCTTGTCTACAATATTTCTACAGCTTCCTCAATTGATCTCTCTCAATATTCTTCTGTTACCACCCCATTCATTTCCTGCAGAATAGCTAGAGAGTAGTTGTTTTAAAATATAAGTCTGTTGAGAGGTCGAGAAGGGAGGATCACTTGAGGTCAGGAGTTCGAGACCAGCCTGGGCAACAAAGCAGGACTCCAACTCTACAAAAACAAAACAAAACAAAAACCATTAGCTGGGTGTAGTGGTATGCACCTGTAGTCCCAACTACATGCGAAGCTGAGGCAGGAGGATGCCTGGAGCCCAGGAGTTTGAGGCTGCAGTGAGGCATGATTGTGCTACTGCACTCTAGCTTGGGTAACAGAGTGAGACCCCAACTATTCTAAAAAAAATCTTAAGTCTGATTATATCCTTCCCAATAGAGTTAAAACTCTGAACAGACTTCTTCTCAAATCTGGCCTCGGCCAAATCTCCAGCTTCATATTGTGCCCCAATCCCAGATACAAAGGAGGCTCCTTCTCCCAACTTGGAGGTTTTTATTTAAATGTCAACTACTCAGTGAGGCTGCCTTTGGCCATCTCACACAAAGTTGTAACACCTGTCCCTCCCAACATAGGCCCTAGCCTCTTGGTAGTCTTTTTTGTTTTATTTTTCTCTTTAGCTTGTTTCACCTTCTAACATACTTTACATTTCATTTCCTTATTTTGTTCATTTTCTTTCTTCCCTTCCTGAATGTATGCTTCATGGAAGTCAGGGTTTGTTTATGTGTTTTTAAAATTTTGTCTATTTTGGTTATTGTTTCATTCTGAGTACTTAGAAGAGTTCCTGGCAAATAGGAAATATTTAAAAAATTGTCAAATGAATATTTGTTGAATACACTTCTTATTTTATAATCTAGACACTGGTAATACATATTTATAAGCAGTATTTCTATGGCACTCCTATAGCATATCTATAGGAGATGGGTGTGTTACGAGAAGCTTTGTAAGTAACAGTGCAGGAGAAGGAGGCCAGGAGTAAGTGTTTTCTTCAATACTCCTCCTTACCACATCTCCTAAGTTAAATCATATGATTAAAATTTTTGTATTATGCTCTACTTCATTTTTGCAATTTTTATCACAATCATGACTAAGTAACATTTTAATGTATTTTGTGATTATCTGTTTTCCTAATAGATTAGAAGCATCATGAGGTAGGGACCATGTTTGTTTAGCCCAGGGCCAATGAGTGAATGAATAAGGTGCCTCTTTTCAAGCAGCCATGAATAGGGAGGATGGGAGATTTCAACCTGGAAAGTAGAAGACTCAGAGGTTATGTAGTGGGTCTCATGGCCTCCTGTTCCTGCCTTTCCCTCAAGGCAGAAAAATGTAGTGATTAAGGAAAGTGTGAAAATGGTCTCCTTCCCTTAGAAGGATTCGATCCTTGTCTTCTGAGAGAAGCCACAGAATTTCCTGCCTCTATGTTTTCCCCCAGCTTGCTAGATTTCCATGTGCTAGGTCTTACATGAACTAAAAGGGCCCTGGGTGGTTGTTCTTTTGCGTTTGAGAAGAAACTAAATACTTACAAGGGTTTTCACTTATCTCTTTACAAGCTCTTCAGACATTATTGAACAACAGTTAACAATCCTATTTAAGAACTAGTATCAGAAACTGCTCTGGAATCAAAGCAAAGCAGAGGATGCTTTGCATGAAATCAGTCATTTAGAGGATTTTCTGCTGGTCTAGGGATAGCAGAGGGAGTTTTTCTTTCCTAATTATTCAATTTTTGCTCTACAATCATGGTAAAAGTGTTTTCATTCTACTGTGCTGAATGCCAGATGGTAGAAACTTATGAGGAGGAAAGTATTTGTGAATAAGCACGCAGCCTTTTGATGGCCAGCTTTCATAGTCATCAACTCAACTTCTTGCCTTTTCCACCTACCACAGCATGGCTGGGATCATGAGTGGGAGCAGTAGCTGCAAGTGAACTCAACTTTGGAAATCTCCCTTCGTGGGAATTCACCCAGTCCAGGACTGGCTCAGAAGCAAACTGCGGGACACATCTCAGGTGATTAAAAATGCCAAACAGAGAAGCATGGTGCCTGTGCGATTTTCTCAGCAAGGATTTGTTACCAACTCCTTGAGCACGTTTAGCTAGAGGGGATTCTGCTGACATTTTTCTTTTCACTGTTTTCATGAGTTTTGAATATTGAAACAGATTTTGCTGGGGATAATGGAAAGCAGACTTGGGAAACACTTTTTTTAAAAGAAAATCTAGATCCAATCTAGCTTTTGATGTAGGGCTAACAATATGAATATGATGAAGCAAGCAAGTGGGATTATACAAGTTAGTTTTGTTGACAGTATCTAAAAACATTTTCACTTCAAACCATTTTCCTTGAATATAATACTTGCCTTAAAAAGTCTAGCCTCTGCCAAATATTTCCCAATAAAAAGTTGGCCCATTATTCACATTATGGTTGCATTTTGATTTTCTGGTCATTGGAAGAATGTTCCATGGACATTTATCATGTAGTCATCTTTGTTATTACAACCACATATTGAAACAAAATGAACAAGAGTCACTGGAACTGTTAGAATAGCCAGACCGCGATGAAAAAGTATGTTCAGGTTGCTCAAACCAAAGAAATGTCTAGATTCAGAAAGAAAGACCGTGATGTTGCAGGTCTTACTCCAAGCACTCTATGTCTACCAACCAATTTAAATGGAGCCGCAACCCTGTGAAGTGTGGGCTGTTATTATCAATCCCATTTTAAAGAAGAGGAAACTGAGGCCCAGTGATTAAGTAACTCATCCTGGGTTATATTGCTACCTAATAATAATAGCAACAAGTAAAACAATAACAGCTGGATGTGAAACTTGGAAGCCTCAACTGGAATTCTTATACTTAACCACTGCTCATATTGCCTACCTGTATGACCAAAAACGTACATCAGAAAAACCTCTGCTTGATCACATGGCTAACAACATACATCAGAGAAACCATTTTTTATGAGAGGAATGATAAAAGATGGTGTTATTTCCTTTTTTATAGCATTCCTCATATTTCTTATCTTGGAAACTCAAGGACACTAAGAATCCTTTGTGTGAGTTGGGTGAGCATTTTAAACCTAAATTCCTTCACTTTCTCATTTGTGAAATAAAGTTATTGCAACGATAATGGTTGTGATTCCAGGTGTTCACTGAATAAGCCATTGAGCGTGTGCCTGTGTGGTTGAGAGTAAGGACCGCATGAGGGAGGGAGAGGGGCATGGGCTTGGGTAGGAGGATGAAGATGAACACAGTTTTCAAAGAAAGAAAAAAATGAAACTGAATAACTTCTTGAAATGACAGTGAAAGCACAGTGACATCCCTGGTGAGCAGAGGGACCTTCGTGACTTACTTCAGGTTTCAACACTTGTAAGTTTTATGCCATGTATCTACTGGTGGGAATTGTGCATTACACCCCTGACCATTAGCAAGTGGTTTAGATGCATAAATGTTTTTTTACCTCATCAGAGTTTCACGTGGAAGTAATTAGATTCTTCTGGTCACAAGGAAATCCTGTTTGATATCATCACTTTTGATGTTTTCCCCAAGTTGATCAGCAGAGGCGAGTCTGCTTTCTATAGAAAATAAAGGTATCTTAAAGACTGCAGATACTCAGGCTCTCTGGAGATATTTAGAAATTCTTTTCATGTGATTTGCAGGATTAATAAATAACAATAATCACAATTAAAGCAATAATAGTGTTATTTGGTAGGGTGCCTAATGGGCACCAGGCATTGTACTACACAGCTTATATAAATCTATATAATCATCCCAAAAAACAGCCAAATGATACAATTATTAGCCACGATCAGTAAATAAGGAAAATGAGAGGCTTAGAGTGGAAATGGAAGAAAAAGGACTCAAATGCTGGCTTATATAGCTTTCACTACACACCATGCAATGCAATTCACTCCAGGAACACAAGCTGCTAACTTAAGAAAACAAACCATTATCTTTTTTTTGGAATACTGAGATTTTCATTCTCGGGTCATCTCAATTTTTTTCTACCTTTCCATTATTAATTTAAGAGGATTCCTGACTCCTGACCAGATTCTACAACAATAGCGTAATTGTAGCTACTCATGGTGTCCTTGGATCCATTGGACCTAAACCTGAAAGTTTAAAAAAATGCAGCCTCTTGGCCCCACCCAGAGCCACTCAGTCAGAATCTGGATCTTAACCAGATCTCCAGGTGATGCACATACACATTATAATTGCTGTGTTTTGTAGCTCTCCTTAAGATTAACCTGCCTTCACAATCTAGCCATCCCTGATCGTCTAACCTTTATGCTTTCCCAACATCAATTCGTCTCTGTAGTGGAGCAAGTCTCTGCTCATGCCCCAGACTGCTTTTTCACAAGTGGCTTTCCTCATGCCATTCCATCCCGCCTGATGTTCCCTACTACTCCCTTTTGCCCCCTAATCAAAACCTGCTCTTCAAAGGCTGCTTCATGATTTGAAAGGAATCCCAAATTCCTCTGATAGGTGTTGCTTTACCACACATGGTGTCATTTGTTTGGTTTCATGTTATTCCCTTGCAGCCTTCCTTGTGCAAACTTCGCATTACAAATATACTTGCCAACTCACCTAGGAATTAAGAGACAGCTAAGGCCAAGAGCACCCAGAGGCACGTTTTAAAAACCACTGATTGAGTTTATCTCTATTGGTCCTTCTGTCTTTTACAGTCTAGGATTTTACACTTAAAAACCAGCCACACTATAACTGTATTGATCACTATTCTGTAACGCCCAGGGCCTAGTATGTCATAGAATATAACAGAATTAGATTTGTGTCTTTATGCTGCTGATAATTAAGAAAAATATAACTGAGCACATTTGATCTTTGTGTTTCTAAAATCGGTACCAGTATTTTAGATGAATCTGCCTTAACTGAGGTCAGCGAGCAAGTCGAAGCAGACCCAGAAAAATTCAGAGCATTTGGAAATGAAGTTGAAAAGCAATACATAGAAGAAGGTAGAAGCAATTAATTACATGAACTATTTTTTATCATTTTTAGTAATTTAATAGACTTAAAACAGTTCAACTTATTTTTACCAGTTGCTTGCTTATGAATTATAGTAGCCAGGTTCAAGTTCGAGAAAAAGTAGGGATGAAGTATCAAGTATTTTGATCATCTTTGTTAAACTATTTCACAGTTTTTCTTTATTAAAAAATAAAAATAGCAATTGAATACATGCAAATGAAGGAAGTATTAACATATACACATAAAATTTACCACTGTTTATATTTATTTAGATTAATTTTTAATTCCCAATAAATCTCACTAGGCTCTTAACTATAAAAGGTGAAAACTCAAGTTTTGCCACTGAATGGACAATTTCACATCAAGTGGTCCTACCACTTTCTATACCAGTCCAGAGATTCTAAAATCATAGTTTAGATGTCATATTTAATTGGAATATATTTGGCAGTCATAGAATATTCAATTACTTATGACTTAAATGAAATGGGATTTATCTCACATGGCAAGATGTCTGGAGGCGGGTTGTTTCCAGAGTTGGTGAGCTCAGAAGCTAAGGATTCAAAGGGGGCTTCTCCTCAGTTCTCTTGTCCTTGCCCTCATGGTTGGCCACAGAAGTCTCAAAACTATGTCCTCACAGACAATGTCCAAAGGCAGGAAGAGTCCAGTGCCTGTACTGGGTCACTGTTTAAGAGGGAAGAAAATGTTGCTAGAAGTCTGTTCAGTAGAGCGCATTAATCAGCAGACCACATGACGATGCTCAAAATAATCACTAGCAAGAGGGAAGGAATTTACGTATTTGGGGAATATAACAAATATCAACTCTTCATCCTACCTTACTCACACCCCCACTTAGCACTGGAGGGAGATGCCTGGGATATAGAACTGTCCAACATCAAGATAGCATTGAGGTTTGATTAGAAAAAAAAAATGCGATCTATTGGGTAGGCAAGCAACATAGACTGCCCCAGATATCACTGGGTAAATGCAACTTTATAGATGACGACAAATATTTACACAAAAATCTCACAATAGCTCTTACTAAAGAGCATGTTGATGATCTATGTGAATGAACTGAGGGGCACATGGATTAAATTTCCCCTAAAATATACATGGGTTTAGATTGTGGGGGGATGTTCTTGGGAAAACATGTTGAGTTTTACTAAACGCAAACGTTTGAGAAAAAAATAGTCTCAGACAGTTGACAACCAAAAACATAGTGAGAATTACCCACCCAGAATCCAATCCTAAGGGTGGTTTGTTGAAAGTTTTGAAACCCTTGTGGTATGGCCTCTGATGCGTCAGTGCCTCTGGCCACCTACAGCTTATTGTGATTGAACCAACCTGCAGCCTAAGCTCAGAAACAGGACCAGTTGCAAAAAGGATAAGTGGGCTCCAGTTGATTCATTAATTAACCCATGCATCCATTCATTCATATAACAAAGTTTTTCACTCTCCTAATACATAGCAAACACTGTATTGTGTGATGGAGATTCAAAGATGGCAAGTCAGAGCCCTTGTTTGAAAAATAGTCAATTATAAGTGATAGCCTATAGTGAAGCATGTCCACGTGTAATGGAAGCTGAGAAGGAGGGCCTGCCTGTGCATGCCTTGTGGTTGCAAGTACACTCTTTCTATCCCAGTATGTTTAAAACTATAATGTGAATACACGAGACTGGATAAAACCCCAAACGCAGGTTTCCAAGGCATTTTCCCCTTTAATAGATGAATCCACATGTATGTGAAAGGAAATTCAATCCATATGTTTCTGAATCATTCATACTTAAATCATCATAATTTGTTTTGTAAGAGCTGTTAAGGTCCAAGAAGCCTTTGAGAGTTGTTTTTTTCTTTCTTTTTTTTTTTGTCAACAGGAAGTTGATTGAACCAAGAGAGAATGACCCCTGATAGCAAAGAAGTTAGTGAAGGCCCAATACTATGAAAATATGAATCCATGAAATTCAAATGGCCTGTGAGCTTGGCAGACTCTGCAACAAATTCAAACATGTTGACACTGGTGCAATCACATGCCTCTTTTCCAGGATATGGGCCTTCATCAGAATTCCTGCCCAGAGGTATTTGGATTATATGTGCCCAATTACATCTTCTTTGTGTGCTCACATGATGAAACAGTCCAAAGGCTAAAGGAACTAAAACTGAACCATCGATCAGGCCTATTGTGAAAATTGGAAAACTGGTCTTTCCCTGCTTGTAAATGCTGCCCCAAATGTCCCCAAACAACTGTTACAAAGTTTTCCTTGGGATTTAACTAAGATTCCTGGGGATTTAAGATACTGGCTGTCAGATTGTTAAAATGCATTAATGTTTATAGTGATTATGATTACGAGAACTAATAATAAATACTTGCATATACCTGGAATGTAGCCCAAATCCTACTGTTTCACAAGAAAGACTCAGTGTAAAGGCGTAGCTCTTCGGAAAGCTGCACACAGGAAAATATGAGACCAGTCTAGACCCACAGAACTGCGGCTATGTGCCAGAAGCAGGCTAATCAAATTCTTCCCAGACCTCTTGCAATGCTTTAGAAAATTAAAAAAGAAAAAGAGCTATCTTAATTGTATCTTTTCATTGCTACCAATTTGGATAGGCTGACTCTATAAAAATACTGCATTTCTGATTGCACCAGGCGCAGTACAAGTAAAAGAAACAGTTGCAGACAGAAGTGGCTCATAAATGTTACTGTCAGTGAATGACACGATTAATTACTCTGTGCCTCTATAACCTTAAAGGCTGAATTGCAGCTATCTCATCACCCTTCAGTCTGTCCCAGGATGGTTAGCTCAAGTGCTCGAAGCCTTTGCTGGCTAATGAAGCCAAGGTCGGAGGTCCAATTTATTGTGGGCCAGTTAGCTCTCCTGAACTGCTTGGTCACAACCCAGGATGGAGTCACTGGTCCCAAGGAGCCAAGTTGTTTCTAATACTCAGAAGCAATTCCAGGTATATTTGCTCTAATCACCAGCTAGTAGCACTGCTGTGATGTGCAAGGTACGGAATGATCACCACTTTAATTCCAGAGTTCCTGTCTCTCTTGAACTTAAAAATCCTGTAACACTCCCTACCCAATCAACAACAGAAGTTGCTGATTGCTTTGTTCCCCACCAAAAAAAGTTTTCACACCTTTTGATGGTAATCATAATATTCAGGTATCATTCAGGAGATCAGTTTTCCTTTCACGGTCCTAGAAAAGGTTTTCATTGTAAAATATATCTCACTGGGGAAGATAATCAGAAGAGTGAAAATTACATGAAAATAGGAAAACATATTTTCAGAGTCAACAGAGGGTAAAGATCAAATTTATCCTAAAGAAATATTTGCTGTACTGAAAAAAAAAAAGAGTAACAACTTAGAAGCCGATAAACTTTTAAGGCTATTCAAGTCTCAGTGGTATTGTGTGTCCTTTTTACAGGACAAAGGGGCAATCTGTACCCCAGGAATAATACCAGGGACTATATAAGGCAAATGTTTACAAACTGTGCTGGATTGTTGAATCCAAAATGTTTCCCTCCTGCCTCAGGATTGTGTGTCTACATGAAGTTTAAAAGGCTTTTAAAAGATAAGGTAGACCAGCAAGTGCTTGAGAGCCAATAAGGTGGCCACTTGCTCGGTCAACCTGATATGGACTGATTTACTGATAGCCAATCCACAGCTTGAAAAGTGATGAAAGAAACTCAAGCAGAGGGAAAGTGTTGATGCAGTCTCCAGAAAGACAATTGGCTGAAGCCATAGGGTGAGACACAAAGAACGTGGGAAAAAAAAAAAAAAAAGAAACCTACTTTACAATTTTACACTCCACTTGCCACTTATAAACAATTTTTTAAAGTGACCACCCTTCACTGGACTTGGAGTTACAGAATCCCAGTTAGAATCAGGGTACCTGGGACAAGTCTCCAAACTTCTCTGATGTTCACTTGTCTGTGTTTAATAGTTTACAGTTTAATTGTTTACACAGACAAGTGAACATTAGTTTGAACTATTTTAACTATAGTTTTAACTATTTATTTATACACAATTTATACACAAACAAATGGAAAAACATCTCATGCTCATGGATAGGAAGAATCAATATCATTAAAATGGCCATACTTCGCAAAGCAATGTACAGATTCAAAGCTATTCCTCTCAAACTGCCAATGATATTCTTCACAGAACTAGAAAAAACTATTTTAAAACCAAAAAAAGGCCCACATAGCCAAGGCAATCCTAAGCAAAAAGAACAAAGCTGGAAACATCACATTACCCAACTTCAAACTATACTACAGGGCTACAATAACCAAAACAGCATGGTACTGGTACAAAAACAGGCACATAGACCAATGGAAAAGAGTAGAGAGCATAGAAATAAGGCCAAACACCTATGACCATCTGATCTTCAACAAAACTGACTAAAACAAGCAATAGGGAAAAGACTCCCTATTCAATAAATGGTGCTGGGATAACTGGCTAGCCATATGCAGAAGATTGAAGCTGGAACCCTTCTTTACACCACAGACAAAAATAAGCTCAAGATGGATTAAGAACTTAAATGTAAAACCCAAAACCATAAAAACTCTGGAAGACAATCTAGGCAATACCATCCTGGATATAAGAATGGGCAAAAAATTCATGACAAAGACACCAAAAGCAATCACAACAAAAGCAAAAATTGGCAAGTGGTATCCAATTAAACTTAAGAGCTTCTGCACAGCAAAAGAAACTATCAACAGAGTAAACAGACAACCCACAGAATGGGAGAAAATATTTTCAAACTATGCATCTGACAAAAGTCTAATGTCCAGCATCTATAAGACACTTAAACAAATTTCCAGGATAATAACAAACAACCTCATTACAAACTGGGCAAAATACATGAACAAACACTTTTCAAAAGAAGACATACATGTGGCCAATAAGCATATGAAAAAAAGCTCAATATCACTGATCATTAGAGGAATAAATCAAAATCACAATGGAATACCATCGCACACCAGTCAGAATGTCTACTATTAAAAAACCAAAAGGTAACAGATGCTGGCAAGGTTGCAGAGAAAATGGAACACTTATACACTGTTGGTGGGAGAGTAAATTAGTTCAACCATTGTGGAAAGCAGTGTGGTGATTCCTCAAAGAGCTAAAAGCAGAACTACCATTCAACCCACCAATTTCATTACTGGGTATATACCCAGAGGAATATAAATCATTCTACCATAAAGACACATGCATGTGAATGTTTGTTGCAGCTCTATTCATAACAGCAAAGACATGAAATCAGCCTAAATGCCCATCAGTGACAGATGAGATAAAGAAAATGTGGTACATACACACCATGGAATACTATGCAGCTATAAGAGAGAACGAGATCATGTCTTTTGCAAGAACATGGAAGGATCTGGAGGCTGTTAAACTTAGCAAACTAATGCAGAAACAGAAAACTGAACACCACATGTTCTCACTTATAAGTGGGAGCTACATGATGAGAACACATGAACACAAAGAAGGAAACAGACACTCGGGTCTACTTGGTGGTGGAGGTTTGGAGGAGGGAGAGGAGCAGAACAGGTAATTATTGGGTACTGGACTTAATACCTGAGTTATAGAATAATCTGTACAACAAACCCCCATGACATGAGTTTACCTGGGTAACAAACCTAACATGTACCCCCAAACCTAAAATAAAAGTAAAAAAAAAACTAAAAAGCTTCTGCATAGCAAAGAAAACAGTCAGCCCAGCAAAGAGACAACTAGCAGAATGGGAGAAAATATTTGCAAACCATACATCTGATAAAGGATTAATATCCACAATATATAAAGAATTCAAACAAGACAATGGCAAGAAAAACAAATAACCCAATTCAACAAATGGGCAAAGGACCTGAATAGTCATTTCTCAAAAGAAGGCACGCAAATGGCCAACAGGTGTATGAAAAAAATGCTAATATTACCAATCAGCAAGAAAAGGCCATATTTAAAACCACAATGACTTTTCACTTTACATATGTTAGAATGCTTATTATCATAGAGACGAAATACAACAATGTTGGTGAGGATGTGGAGAAAAGGGAACCTTGTACACTGTTGGTGGGAATGTGAATTAGTATAACCATCATGGAAAACAGTATAAAGATCCCTCAAAAAACTAAAAATAGAACTCCCTTATGATCCAGCAATCCCACATCTGGGCATATGCCCGAAGGATGTGAAATCAGTGTGTGAAAGAGGTAACTGCACTCCCATGATCATTACAACATTATTCACAATGACAAAATTATGGAATGAACTTGTGTTCATTGGCAAGTAAATGGAGTAAAGAAAACGTGGTATATATCCACAATGAAGTATAATTCAGCCTTAAGAAAAGAAGAAGGTTCTGTCATTTGTGATGATGTGGATGAAAATGGAGGACATTGTGTTAAATGAAATAAGCCAGGCACAGAAAGACAAATATTGCATGATCTCACTCATGTGGAATCTAAAGAAGTTGAATTCATAGAAGCAGAGAGTAGAATGGTGGTTGCCAGGGGCTGGGGGTATCTACGTGTGTGAAATGGGGATATGCTGGTCAAAGGGTACAAAATTTCAGTTGTACAGGATGAATAAATTCTGGAGATCTATTGTATAGCATGGTAACTATAGTTAGCAATAATGTATTAATTACATGCTTGAAAATTGCTAAGAGAGTAGATCTTAAATGGTCTCACCGCAAAAAAATGATAAGTAAGGGAGGAAATGGATGTATTAATATTAATTCCCTTATTGTAATCATTTCACAACATATACATAAATCAAAACATTATTTTGTACACCATAAATACATACAATTTTTATTTGTTAATTATACCTTTGTAAAGCTGTGGGGCAGGGGAAGAAATAAATAACATGGCAAAAATACAAAACTAAATTATAAAAATAAAAAAATAAAAAATACTCAAACTACTTTTCAACAGATGCAGACATATTTATTACACAAAAATTTACACACATCATCTTCAATTTGTAAGATCTAAAAATCTGTTATTAAAAGAAAAAGCCAAAGAGGAAAAGAAATCCAAAAGGACTAAACTAAAATGCTCAAGTTCAATGATCAAAAATAAATAAACAAATGAATAAATAACTAAAATTGTGGCTGTACCAAGAAGCTTTACATCTAAACTTGATAATTAGATTGACCAATTATGGGTAAATATTTTGGCATTAAAAAAGTTTCTGGTGTCCAGGTTATTGGAAAGAACACTGGAGCATTAGCAGAGACCATGATTGTATTCCTGACTCTGTCTCTAATGGTGTACAACTTCAATAGGTCACTCATCTCCTCTGGGATTCTATTTCCTATCTGGGAAATGAACATGGAACTACATGATCCAACTCAGAAATTCAGTAATAAGGGACCAGATCATGTTAGGCTTACCATCTGTGAGTTATTGTTTTTTATCTTTGCAGGAGATAGGGCAGAATTTGCATATCATTCCCCAACCCCATCACTTCCAGCAATCCAAGATTTAATGTAAATTCTCTAAAGACAGTGGAGAACTCTACCTGAAGGGCTCATCTATCCCCATCCGTCAAAAAGGTGTCTAGTTTCCCAGATAATCTCAGCTGACGCATCCAGGATATGTGTCTTTGCCTCTTTGCAGCAATGCCCTTTTGCATACCTGGAGAAGTCAAGGGAAGATTGTGTTGAATGCTGAAACACTTGGCTGGGCTATGATCTGGAAATAGTGGTTGGTACTTAGCTCCTTGCTGCCAAATCTCAATTTAAGAACAGGATAGCGTGCGGCAAGGCTGTAGTCTTTTTTGTTTGTTTGACAATCTTTGTTTAGCATTGGCGTATTCATTTCTTTGAGAAGTTGTATTGAAAGAGTTTGGTGAACTGGTTTTTATTTTTTTCCCTCTGCTCATTTCAATGATGGTTTTATCAGAAAGGCAATTCTGAACAACACTGGCCTGCATTACAAAACTGTGGAAGGCCACCCCGACTCAGCAGCATGCGCAACCATTTGCAGCACCACCAGCCTTTTTCACCTCCTTAAGCACAGGGGAGGTAAATACAGATATTAACCTTCATCTCTCCCTCAGCGCTGGTAGGGTGCTTTATTTCTGAGCAAAATCTAAACACATTGGCTGTATGTGTATGTGTCTAACAGAGGATTAGAGGGAGTAAAGGTACATTGGGAATTAAGCAACATGACATTTACATAACAACCATTTATGGCTTAGGGGGATATGAAACAATAGAAAGAATTCTCAGCACAGGGCTAAGGTTTCCACTGCAGGATTCCCAGGCCCATTAATGAGAATCATGTGGTTGGATCTTGTCACATCTGCTGAGAACTCAGCCTCAAGTGTTCCCATTTTGTGAATGTGGGGAGCTCACAAATGGTGGATTGAGCTGTCATGCTCTTTTCTGGAGGCCATATCCTCATCCATGTTCTTTTGTCTCATGCATTGCAGCATGAAGTTTTCCTTTTATCTCATTTTGTTTCCCTCTGGTTATTTGTAGGCCACAAGTGGAAAGGACAAGAGGCAGAGGGAGAAAACCAAGTTAATGACAAATATCAGCTTTATCAGAACAGCTGCCACTTGTGTGATGTTGTTTTTCATAGGAAGACCCATTTAAATTGGGCTTTACATGATATTACACAAATAAATACCTATCATTTCCAGGGACTCAAATAGATTCATTCTGAGAATATGGTTCACATCAGAGTCTGTCGTAAAGAGGCATTAAAGAAGAGCACAAGGGTGTGGCTCTGGGCACTGAAGAAAACCACTGTCCACCTGTGAGCCTCCTTCCCAGCCTGGGATGGAGCCTGGAGCTGCCTCCTCTGGCAAGGCTCTGAGGAGGCCCATAGGATGGTGCTTATGAAATGGCTTATCTTGGTAGCATGTGCTTCGAAAACAAAGAGCACTATTTAGCTGGTTCTCTCTTCTTTGAAGTCTGTATCTCTCATCATTCTGATGCCTCATGTTGCATTTCTCTCATGGGCACACCCAGGCCAGCTACAACAGAGTTGTTCAATAACACACCAAGCTTCGGAGAACGTAATCATATTGCTAATGCTGGGGCCTGGCTCGAAAACAAGCAGAAAACTCCCTCCCAGGATCTGAAATGCTTCTCTTTTCCCTAGTCAGTTCACTGCAGCTTCAGAAGTTATACCCAAGTTTGTTCTTTGGTTTGGTTTTGTTTTTAGTGTAAGTTAGAGTGATAGACAACTCATTATTCAAATGCAAAAATACTCTGTGCTGTAGACTTTGTTTTAAAACCCATCATCCCAGATATGATTCATGAAATTCAATTAAGAAATAAAACATCCAGGCTGGGCATAGTAGCTAACACCTGTAATCCCAGCACTTTGGGAGGTCAAGGTGGGTGGATCACCTGAGGTCAGGAGTTCGAGACCAGCCTGACCAACATGGAGAAACCCTGTCTCTACTAAAAATACAGAATTAGCCAGGCGTGGTGGCGCATTCCTGTAATCCCAGGTACTCGGTAGGCTGAGGCAGGAGAATTGCTTGAACCCGGGAGGCGGAGCTTGCGGTGAGACAAGATTGTGCCATTGCACCATTGCACGCACTCCAGCCTGGACAACAAGAGCAAAACTCTGTCAAAAAAAAAAAAGAAAGAAAGACAAAGAAAGAAAGAAAGAAAGAAAGAAAGAAAGAAAGAAAGAAAGAAAGAAAGAAAACATCCAGTTGCTCCTTCCTTTTTCCCTTTAAATATTTTTCAAATTCATGATCTGTCTCACAAAGTCAAAAACCAAAACACAAAAAACAACACACACAGGAAAGAAGCAAGGCTCTAAACAGGTATAAATGATAGGCCAAAACCTAAAAGAAAACTTCGTATACCATCCAAAGAACACAATGACACTTAGGATTTTCCTGGTGCACTGAGTCTCCAGAGAATAATATCAGATTCCAGAACCGTATCTCCAGCATTCTAGGGAGGGTTTTTTGTTTGTTTGGTTGTTTTTTTTTTAATTCTCAACTGCTGGTTCACAACATTTAAAAAAAATCAACAAAACAAAATAAAATAAATAGTTCTATGAAACATTTAGTAGGAAGGTCTTTATTTTTCAAAATAAACGACAGCTATTTAAAACATAGTTTCTTAATTTGTGTTTTATTTCAATAGAAGATAATTGAATAAAGAAATTGAATTAATTGCCTTTAGTTGAAGAATATTTGGGTATTCTCATTTTTCAATTCGGTTCATAATAAATATATAAATAATTTAGTTCACTAGGCAATGGTACTATATTCTTTAAAAACAAATATCATGTAGAGCTGGGGTATGCCAATCTATGAGAGGTTTAATTCAGACTTACAGCAGCTTCCCATTGGCTCTTTCTCCTGTTTTATCTTTTGCGTTGCTTCTAATTGCTTCTATAGTTACTATTGTATGATAAAAATCCTGAAGATGTTGCTTTCATGAATAATATCCTCATGATCATTATTGGTAGTCTTCTAGATGTACAGTCCTGAGTGTAACAAACACCAGTGTTCATGGTTGGACACCCCTACCTCTAAACGGCTCTGCCAAGGACTCCTGTTCTAATGACATGGGCCCTTTTGCAGCTGCCTGAAATCACCACACCTCCTGTGCCTCTACACACGCTCTTCCCTCTGATGAATACACTCATCCTTAATGTTGCATCCAGGAAAATGCTTTCTCTCCCCCAAACTCAGCCCAGCTGTCATGCCCTCGTGAAACTCACCTGACTACCCAAGCAGAATTAGCAGCTATCTCTTATACCATAGCTATCTCTATCTATCTTGTTTTTAACACGGTTTGTCATTATCTATTTGCTTTTCTAATATTTTTCCTTTGAAATACAAGTTCTTCAATTTTGGGGACCATGATTTCATTTGGTGGCATCTCTGGCTTGTCACACAGTGGATGCTCAATAAATCTTTGTTGAAATGGTAAATAAATGAATGAACATCAGTGTTTTGGAACCCTGAACATGGAGGGCAGAACCAATCATTTATCATGTTTTCAGTCCTGTACCTATGCTTTGAAATACTCTTCTAAATCATGATTTTAAATGAATTCTAGTAAGCATGTCACAACTTTTTCTGCACCTTTGCCTCAAAGGGCCATGGCCATTTTCTGACATGAAAGGAAGGGGACAAGTTTTTATTTACTTGGGGTTCTTATTCACTTGGGACCTAGAAGCTGCTATATTCTTGTCATGATGACTGGTGGAATGGCCTGAGTACAATGTACTAAAAAAGTGTTTTCCTAGGCCAGGTTTTGGAAATACGAGGCAATTGTAATGTGGCGCTTTCTAAATATGTGGTATACAGAAGAGCTAATATTTTTTCACTTGTAAGTGAACTAATTAGCATTTACATATAGTAATAACTTTCAGAATTATTCATGAATTTGCACTTAGGTGATTCTTTAAAAAGAGAGTCTACTTACCAGACTTTGGCAGGGAGTGAGGCTCCAAGTGGCTGGTGTTGGACCCACCGAAGGCTGCCACTAAGTGTGCACTTGCTGTAGCTTCGTGCTTTCTGCAAGTCACAAACTTGACTACAGTTCTCTTCTTTTTGTTTTCCCTTCAGCAAATGATGAGAACAACTTGTAGCATATGGAAGCATTTCCACACTGTGAGTTATTCTGAGGGGTAAAAATGTAATTTGCAAATTCTGTCAAATGAAACAGGCATTTCCAAATGTTACTACGATGTTCAAACACATCCTTGTGTGTCAGAAGTGTCCTGCAGATGTTCAAAAAAAAAAAAAAAAAAATCCTCCAGGGCTGGAAATGAGGAGGATGAAAAAATACAAGAAGCTTGTCCTACAGTCATTGTTCCAGACAGACAGGGAGACCCTCCTCAGCCACTGCTTCTGCGGCATCAGCCTCATCATAAAGCTAGCTCAATTATCTTCAAATAACCACATGTTGCAAGCAGCTGTCTACCAGGAAAAAGGACTGCAGTAACTACATTTGTGGACAAGATGATACCTAAAGATCAGGACAAAACAAACAAACAACTTCTTGCAAGTCCCTCTGCTTCTATGGACTTGCCTCATCAAGGCAGGCAGTGAGTGTTTCAATACTAAGGGAAGGAAGCAGTAGTCAGTAGTCCCCGTGGTGGGTTTTGAGTGGGTCTTTAAGCATTTGGATGTCAATGGGTGGTATGGGTAACAGGAAGAATAAAGACAATGCCGTTGTAAATGCCAGAGTTATGGTTTGGCAGACAATGTCACAGAGGAACGGAATTATACAACTTTTTAAGAATACATTCTTAACTCATTTTTTTTTTTTTGAATAGAAGAACAAAATCGGACAAGAGAGAGCCATTATGGGATATATCAGCACACCGATAGAAGATGGGATAGAGAACAGGAAAAAATACCTATGTTTGTTTACGGATAGTAGAATAGGCTTAGAGCCCCGAGGAGACAGCAGTGAATGGGGAATCACACTTGCTTGCAGGGCCACAGAAACTTCTCCAGGATATTAATGGGGCTTGTTTCCCAACAGATTTATGGAAGAGGAAAAAAATTATCAAAAATAGGTGAAGCCTACTCTTGACATAATAGCTGTCACCTTTTGGAAGTAAGAGTTATATAACACATGGTAAAAACTGATAAAACTATCATCTGAACACCAGAGAGCCCTCTGTAGGAGATATTCTTTACTAATAGCCTCAATAAACAAACTGGTCAGTTTGTCTGTGCATTTGGTTGTTTTAAACTTAAACTATATTTTAATTTATGGGGAAGAAGAAAGGGGAACAGAAGATGGCATTTATAACTGGCAAGAAATTTACTGTGAGTGATATCATGCCGCTAACTAGATTCAAAAGCAGAAATGTAAAGAAAGATAATGTTTGTTTTTGAGTTTTTGTTGTTGTTGTTGTTGTTGTTGTGGATTGCAAGATAAGAATTACACTTAAAAGCTGCCTAAGAAAAGTTATTTCTGTGTT
This sequence comes from Homo sapiens, assembly GCF_000001405.40. Classification (NCBI taxonomy): domain Eukaryota; kingdom Metazoa; phylum Chordata; class Mammalia; order Primates; family Hominidae; genus Homo; species Homo sapiens. The sequence goes on along the minus strand of NC_000007.14, from coordinate 41,405,166 downwards.
ACAAAATTGAGACCATCTCCAGGACTGGACTATTAGGTGGTATGGCGTTCTCCTGAGCATGTGGTTTATATGAGTTATCTCAATTAATTCTCACAACAGCCCCATGAGATATGCATGGTATGTTATTCTATTTGACAATTGAGGAAACTATAGCTTAGGGAGCTAAAAATCACAGAGCTGAGAGATAAAGGGAGAGAATATTCTCACCCAGCCTGCCAGAATCCAGCCAGGCCCTCCCAGTATTAACTAGCATCCCATGACAGTGAAAGTGAGCCTCTCCACGACACCCCTGCCACCAGCAAAGCCAGCAATGCTCATCACGAGGTCTCTCACTTCTCCCCAGTTTAGGGATCCCTCCATTTCTTACAACAGATAAAAGGACTTGATGTATGCCTGCAAATACACCAAATTAAAAATAAGCTAACACATGAAAGAGAATTGATATCTACATTAACTTTGACTTTTTGGAAGTTCACAAAGTTTGTATGTAGGAAGCAAGAGAACTGATATCTAAATGAACTTTGACTTTTTGGAAGTTCACAAAGTTTGTATGAAGGAAGCATCAGAAGAAACAGGAAATAATCATGATTGTTCAGCAAATAAACCTCATTCAACAAAGTTCCACGTGTTCTAAGTTCTATGCAGGCTGATCCTTGGTTTCCCTTTTTTTTTTTTCCTTTTCACTTCTGTCTGACATCCAGTGCTTTCTATACCTGCTTGACACAGTGGAGATCACTAAAGCTGGGAAACAAAATCACCTTTATTGTGTTACTAGCAATGTGGATGGCTTACTCTCTTCACTGTATGTCTGTTTCCCATACAGACATACAGGTTTAGGAGAAATGAGTCCAGCCACACGCATAGCCATTTGTAAAACAATTAATAACATATAAAAGTGAATTCAACAAGTACTTTTTAAATAATTTCTGAGTAGAAAAAGTTTTTAGATTTCATGTGCAATAAATAATCACTTACAAATAAACTGTCATGTCAAATATACATTGTTTTATTAAAACAAGTGATTGAGTTCAAATTTACAAAACTCAATTTCATTCAAAATTTCTCACGTTTTAATATTCTCCTGGCTTTTTGTCATTTTAAAATTTCTAGGAATTTTTGAATCTTTAATTAAGGTCTGATGATCTCATGTCTAGTATATCATGTTAGACATTATCTTCTAACTTGATTCTTCACTTTATTCTGCTTCTCCAATCTAGATGTTACCATGTTGGTAAAGAAGTTTCTTTCAATTCTCTGGAGTATAAATCATGGTATTCCTTTGTCAAGTTTCTACAGAACTCTCTCATCTGTTAGTTTCAGTCTCAATGACTCTGCCTATTTTAAAGATCCTATCCTTGCACCTGAAGCAATCCCAAATTTCCTTTCCAAAATTATTTCAATATACTCCCTTCATATGAATTTTAACTTAAGTCAAACCAGTATCCTCACAGTTACCTAATTATGCATAAATGCATAAGGAAGACCATGTGTATGTGTTATTTTTGGAGTAATTTTCAGATATAGTGGCTCCCTACCTAAGACACATATTTTTCCTTCTCTGCAAATTCTTCTTATCCTTTAATGCCTAGCCAAAGCCTGCTTTCTTCCGGAAAGCATTTAAACACCTTCTACCCATTGTTATCTCCCCTTTTCCTGAATTCCTAAGAGTATTAGGAATCTGAATTGACGTTTTCCAGGGGTTGGTTTGCAGGCCAGAGGGTAAATTTTTAGTGACTCACATTAATTGACAGCTCTGTCCCTCACCTTAACTTATTAGGGGTTCTGTCTTTTGACTCTTTTGCCTTCACTTCACTCTAGGATTTCATTGTCAGAAATGTAGATATATTGTGAAATGTCTTGTGAAATTTGGGTGAGAAACTTTAATATTATATATTTTAATATGTTACTATAATATATATCAGTAAAAAATATACTGACGTGTAATAATTTTCTTTTCTTTTCTTTTTTTTTTTTTTTTTTTTGAGTGCAGTGGCGTGATCTCGGCTCACTAAAAGCTCTGCCTCCCGGGTTCACGCCATTCTCCTGTCTCAGCCTCCCGAGTAGCTGGGACTACAGGCACCTGCCACCTCACCCGGCTAACTTTTTATATTTTTAGTAGAGACAAGGTTTCACCGTGTTAGCCAGGATCGTCTCGATCTCCTGACCTTGTGATCTGCCCACCTCAGCCTCCCAAAGTGCTGGGATTACAGGCGTGAGCCACCGCGCCTGGCCTGACGTGTAATAATTTTACATTGATTCATGAGAGACAGACACATCATTTCAAAGGTCCTTGAAGACTAAAACTTCCTTTCATATCCCCTAGAAGGAGCTGCTGGTTGAAAGAGAGCCTTGTCATAAGAAAGAGCCATTCTATCCTTCTGCGGCAACTTCTGGTGGCTCTAAAGGTGACACAGCCTGGATTTTGACTTTCAGAATTTAGGGGAAATTATTTACCTGTATTACTGTTTCTTAAAATAAGAGTAATGGTGATAGAGTTTGGTAAAGTGATATAATAATATATCTATAAATCCTTTGGGAAACCATCTAGATCAAAGTAAGAAGAGAAAACCTAACTAAAATGATGGATTAATTTCAATGTGGTTATCTATTATTTTATAGCTTTGCAGGCTTTACTCTCTGGACACTCGACAAATACATATTGAGCATATATATGTGTATCATGCAGTATTACAGGCACTGCAGTAGAGCAGAGAAAAGAAGCAAGCAAAAATCCCTTTTCTTATGTAGTTTCCGTTCTAGAGATGAGAGCTACACAATGAACACAGAAAATAATTAACAGTGCATAGCACATCTGCGAGTGGTAAGCACTGTAGAGAAAAAGCAGGGAAAGACAATGGCATTGAGGGCAGATGGTTACAATTTTAACTAGAATGGGCAGAAAGATTCTACCGAGAAGGTAACATTGAATGAAGGCCCCAAATTCCTGAGGAAGTAAAATCAGTTAATTCCTGGGAAAAGAGCCTTTCACTAGAAAAGCAGAGAAAGTGCAAAGAAAATGGTGCAGGTAGGTGTCCGCTTACCATGAGCAAGAAAAGGCAATGGGACCTGGATGGCTGCAATGGAGGAAGCCACAGAGAGAGTAGTAAGAAATGAAAGCAAAAAGGAAAAAGGACCAGCATGTGTAGGGCCCTGAGTCATAAGGACGCAGCTTTCGCTTGATTGAGGTACTCCACTAGAGGGTTTTCAGCAGAGGACAGATACAATCGGTTTTAAGTTTTATCAATAGCAATTATCAGGCTACTAAGAATAATAAATTAAAAGTCAAATTTAACAAATTAAATTAAATTTCATAGTATTAAAGACCACATTGGGCAAAAGAGTGGAGGAAAGGGGTTGGGCAAGAACACCTAGCAAGGGCTTGAGGAAGAAATGGCTGAGGATTCAACAACTTCATTCCATTCCCTAATCAAACAAATGAGCATTAGCCTCTCTTCATTCATCTCTTATTGTACTGATCAAAATGAGAATTAAATTGCTTAGAACTCTGGATGCTGAAAACATGAGACTGGGTTAGTTTTATTCTGTTTTTCATTTTTTGTTCTGTCTAGAATTGTGATACAGAGGTTCAATATTGTTTTTCTCAGTTTCTAATGTAAACATTCTACTTTCAGGTATAAGTTTGGGAGTGATTATGTTGAACATTAACGTTTAAAATATAAAGGAAATGATCATTTTTATCTCAGCTTGCGGTGGTGGTTATTATTACAAAATAACTGACGATTTGATATAATAATGGTTTCTTTGGTTAGTGATAGATTTAAAAATTTTGTATCACAGGTTACAAGTTAATTATAGTAGGCCAAATGTTTCTCTTTAATAAATGGATCTTTAAGAAGAATCCATGGAGAATACAATCTCACCAGTCCAGAATTTCTAAGGGAAGGTTTTGGCAGATTCTTTGTTAACCCAGAAATTTAGATCCTCTGAAGGTGTGGGGTGAGTTACCATTGAGGGTATAAAAGCTGTCAAGTTAGTTTAAGGGCTTATCAAGTTAAATAAAGGCATTTTCAGATGCTTTATGACTTGAGGGCTGTGATGCCAGCTAGCTAATTGTTTTAATTCGCTGTCTCTCAACTCTCCATGAAACCAATGGGGAGGTAGAAAGTTGTCCCAGCAGAGACTCTGAGAGAATTCATTTACAACCTCCCTTCATCCGAAGCAATATAAAGAGTTACATGAGTGATGGATGGGATTGGAAAACTTTCTGGAGCGTCCACATATTCCTTTTGAAAGAGAAAACATAAGACATAATGTGAAGCAGAGAGGAGGCACTATATGCTCTCTGCTATATCTCACAGACACGTAGAAGATCCATCTGACAGACATGAAGCATTGCTGCACCAAAAAACACTCAGAAATGCTCTAATCTGTGAAAGAAATGCTTTCTGAGACAGCTGGTGACAACTCCTTGTCCCTAGTCCACATCCACCAGTACATTTCATCCATTATCCATTTGGAGATTACAGCTGCCACAAATGCAAGATGGCAGAATGAGGAAGGACATAGGCAGTGACGCATTGCTTCATGAAGTGAGGTCATTCATTGAGTTGCAGATAGAAACAGGAAGAGCCAGAGAGAAGCATACTCAGGAGATTGTAGTCATCTACCCTCTATGGCAAAGACGGACACATTGCACTACATAAAGGGTAGATGTCGGCCAGGCGCAATGGCTCATCCCTGTAATCCCAAAATTGGGAGGCTGAGGCCGGGCGGATTATGAGGTCAAGAGATCGAGACAATACTGGCCAGAATGGTGAAACCCCATATCTACTAAAAATACAAAAATTAGCTGGGCTTGGTGCCACCCACCTGTAGTCCCAAGTACTTGGGAGGCTGAAACAAGGGATTCGCTTGAACTCAGGAGGCAGAGGTTGCAGTGAGCCAAGATCGCACCACTGCACTCCAGCCTGGCGACAGAGCGAGACTCCATCTCAAAAAAAAAAAAAAAAAAAGTAGATGTCTACAATTTACATTAAAGGGTAAATGGAATGAAAGAACAATCTCCTTTAATCAAAGTGGCAAGGCCAAGCTATGAGAGGATAGGACTGTTGTTATTTTAGCAGAGTCGCATGGACCTCAACTCTACAGTTTTTAAGTTGAAGTGGGGCTAGGGAAAAAATGAGCTGCTTAATAAAAAATAAACATCAGATTTGCCTTGTACTGTCCACAGTGTGAAGTGCTTATTTTTTAATTGAAATAAAATAAATGCCCTGAATAAAATTAATTTTAAAATTAACTACTTTTTTTTTTTTTTTTTTTTTTTTAGACAGAGTCTCTCTCTGTTGCCCAGGCTGGAGTGCAGTGGCACAATCTTGGCTCACTGCAACCTCTGCCTCCTGGGTTCAAGCGATTCTCCTGCCTCAGCCTCCTGAGTAGCTGGGACTACAGGCGCGTGCCACCGTGCCCCGCTATTTTTTTGTATTTTTAGTAGAGACAGGTTTTCACTGCGTTAGCCAGGATGGTCTCCATCTCCTGACTTCGTGATTCACCCGCCTCAGCCTCTCAAAGTGCTGGGATTACAGGCATGAGCCACAGCACCCAGCCAAAATTAACTTCTTGATTAGATTTGCCCCTATTTAGAAAATGATGAAAATAAAAATAAAAGCACTGCACATAAAAATATATGGAGCTTTCTGGTGTCCAGTCCAGCCGGCAGGTAAGGAGCTTAGAAGTCACCACTCCAGTCTAGCAACTAAAAAGCTAAACAAACTGAAAAATCAACAACTCATTTTAGATTAGTCAGAGAAGTGACATCACAGGGAAAACCATTGTCCCTTAAATTGGAGAAACAGATGGATACAAAGAATCACAACATAGACCAGAGCAAAAACCCATACGCAAAACCACCATGGGAACCAGTGCTGGGATAGAGAAACTGGAGCTGTAATTGACAGATAGCTGGAGGCTTGTTTACTGTGGACAAGTCTGAGAGTTAAAAATGCTGCGGGGAACCCAGTCATAAGGGACCCTCATGTTTCTGTGAATTTTACCTCCAGAAGCTCTGTGAGGCATTCACAGTGAAAGTGAGAAAAAAAAAAAAAAATTCCCTCCTGCTTCTTGCAGGGGAAGGGGAAAAGGAATCCTTTCAAAATATACTAGGGCATTCTGTTCTTCTTAGCAAGGCCTGTCTTTGGGAGAAACTATTTTACCAGAGTCCAACTTCGGAAGTTTTGTCAGAGCCTAATCCACTTGGGAGATTCCCATCTTGATCTCCCGTTAGCCTTCCACTTGTGGAAAAAGAAAAAAAATTCCAGCTCCCTCTAGCCATCCTGTTTCATGCAATGCTAGGGGATGGGACTGGGGGCTAGGGGACCTGAGATGCACTGGTGAAGTTCACAGTCCACAGGGCACAGGCTCACCAAAAACCTGAGGCCTAATCATGTCACTCTAGAATAATTTCCCTCCCCGACACCTGATCATTATATTATTAAAGACTTATATACCTCCGTTTCTTTCTTTTACCCACTATTTCAAATCTACCCTCCAACAAAAAAAGAACAAGACATATTAAAAGGCAAAAAATACTTTGAAGAGACTGAAGAAGGCATGAGAACCAGAGTTAGACAGGGCAGTAATGTTGGAATCATCAGACCAGGAATTTAAAACAATGGTGATTAATATGCTAATTGATTTAATTGAAAAGGTAGACAATAGATAATGGATACTCTAAGTGGAGAGATAGAAATTTGAAGAATGTATCAAAAAGAAATATTAGAGATTAGAAACACTTTAACAGAAATGAGGAATACTTTTGATGGGTTACTATTATACTGGACACAGCTGAGTAAAGAACTTCTGAGTTTGAAGATATGACAATAAAAACCTCCAAAACTGAAAAGGAAAGAAAAAAAAACGAGAACAGAATATCCAAGGATTATGGGACAACTACAAAAAGTGTAACATATGTGTAATGGGGATACCAGAAGGAGGAGAAAGAGAGAAAGAAATAGAAGCAATATTTAAAGCAATAATGACTGAGAATGTCCCCAAATTCATGCCAGACATTAAATCACAGATCTAAGAAGCTCAAAGAGAAGCAAGCAGGGTAAATGCCAAAATAATTAAACCTAGGCATATCGTATTCAAATTTCAGAAAGTCAAAGAAAAAAATATTGAAAGAAACCAGAGGAGGGGAAAAACACACCTTATCTATGTGAGGTGAGATAGAGGAGCAAAGATAGTAATTACATCCAGCTTCTCCTCGGAAACCATGCAAGCAAGACAGTGGTATGACATATTTACAGTGTTGAGAGGAGAAAAACCCCACCAAGTTAGAGTTCTGTATTCTTAACATTATCTTGCAAAAGTGAGGAATAAACAAAGACTTTCTCAGACAAACAAAAATGGAAGAAATTTGTTGCCAGAAGACCTACTTTGCAAGAAAGATTAAAAGAAGTTATTCAGAAGAAAGAAAAATTATATAGCTCAGATTCTCAGTTCTACATAAAGAAGGGAAAAAGATCAGAGAAGGAATCAGTGAGGGTTATATAAGAACTTATTTTTCTTTTTATTAATTTTGAGTTGGAGGCCTCGATGTCCCTCTTTCAGAAAGGTACAAATCTAGCAGGCAGAAAATCAGTAAGGTCATAGTTGAATTCAACAGTCCCATCAATCAACTGAATGAACATAATTGACATCTATCAACTACTTCATCCAAAAACAGCAGAACACACATCCTTCTCAAGCTTACGTGGAACATACACCAAGATAGTCCACATTCTAGGCCATAAAACACACCTTAACAAATTCAAGAGAATAAAAATCACGCGTTATCTGCTCTCAGAGTGAAATGGAATTAAACTAGAAATCAGTAACAGAAGGATAGATAGAAAAAATCTCATAATATTTGGAGATTGAACAATACATTTTTAAATAGCACATGGGACAAAGAAGAAATCTCAAGAGAAATTTAAAAATATTTTGAACTAAATAAAAATGAAAATACAACTTGTAAATAGTTGTAGGGTGCAGCAAAAGGAGTGCCTCAAAGGAAATTTATAGCATCGATGCATATATTAGAAAAGAAGAAAGACCTAAAATCAATAATCTAAGCTCCCACCTTAGGATACTAGGAAGAGCAAATGAAATCCAAGTAAGCAAAAGAAAAGAAATCATAAAAATTAGAATGGAAATCAACGAAATTGAAATAGGAAGGCTATAGAGAAAATCAACAAAACCAAAAGCTGGCTCTTTAAAGTGATCAATAAATCAATAACGCTTCAGCCAGACTGAAAAAAAAGAGGAGACACAAATTACTAATATCAGAAAGGTAAGAGGGGATGTCAGTACAGATCCCATGCACATTAAAAAGATAATAAAGGAATAATGTGAACAACTCTGTACCCAATAATTTGATAAGCTAGATGAAATTGATAAATTCCTTGAAAGACAGGATCTGCCAAAACTCACATAGGAAAAAATAGGCAATCTAATTAGGTATAGATTTTTTAAAGAAATTGAATCAATAATTAATAACCTTCCAAAACTGAAAGCAGCAGGCCCATATGAGTTTACTCATAAATTCTACAAAATATTTAAGGAAAAAAAATACACAATTTTGCTACAATCCCTTCTAGAATATAGAATCAGAAAGAATAGTGCCTTACTCATTCTGTGAGACCAGCATTACTCTAATATCAAAAGCAGACAAAGACATTAGAAAATAAAACTACAGGCCGATATCTCTCATGGACATAGATGCTAAAAGAGAAAAACTAAAAAAAGAAAAGAAAAGAAAATCTAATCCAACATCTAAAAACATGTATCTAAATCAATAGATTTATCAATATCTAAAAACTTGTATACCATGAACAAATGGGATTTGTCCTAGGTATACAAGGCTAGGTCAACAGTTGAAAATCAATTAATGAAACTCATCACATTGATAGGTTAAAGAAGAAAAACCACATGATCATATCAATAGATGCAGAAAAAGTATTTGACAGAATCCAACACCCATTCATGGTAAAAACTCTCAACAAACTAGAAATAGAGGAGAATTTCCTCAACTTAATAAAGACTCTCTACAAAAAAATCTACAGCTAAGATCTTACTTAATGGTAAGAAACTCAAAGCTTTCCTGCTGAGATCAAGAATAAGGCAATGATGTCTTCTCTCACTATTGCTTTACAACATCATACTAAAAGTTGTGGTTAATGAAATAAGACAAGAAAATAAAATGAAAGCTATACGGATTGAGAAGAAAAAACACTGTTTATTTGCTGATGACATAATCATCTACATTTAAAAAGTCTGAAACAATTGACAAAAAAACTGGAACTAGTAACTATTATAGTGGGTTGCATGCTACAAGGTTAAAATAAAAAAGTCAATTGGTGTACTATATACTAGTAATGAACAAGGGAATTTGAAATTAAACACACATTGTCATTTATACATTAGCACCCCAAAAATGAAATACTTAGGTATAAATCTAACCAAATATGTATAGGATATGTATGAGGAAAAGTACATAACTCTGACAAAGGTAACAAAGGAGAACTAAATAAATAGTGAGATATTTCAAGTTCATGGATAGGAAGGCTTAATATTGTCAAAATACCAATTCTTCCAAAATTGATCTATAGGTTCAATGCAATACCAATAGACATCCCAGCAACTTATTCTGTTGATATCAACAGACTGACTGTAAAGTTTATATGGAGAGGCAAAACACTCAGAATAGGCAATATCATATTGAAGTAGGACAACAAAGTTAGTTGGGCAAATGACACTACTGGCTTCAAAACTTGCTATAAAGCCACAGTAAACAAGAGAGTGTGGAATAGAAAGCCCTGAAATAGACCTACATAAATATAGCAACTGATCTTTGGCAAATAGCAAAGCAATACAATGCTGCAAAGATAGTTTTTTCAACAAAAGGTGCTGGAATAACTGGACATCTATAAGGAAAATGATGAATCTAGACACAGAACTTACATTTTCCATAAAAAATAACTCAAAATGGACCATAGATCTAAATGTAAATGAAAAATTATAAAATCTGAATACATAACATAGGGGAAAACCTACATGACCTCAGGTGTGGCAATGACTTTTGATTTTATGAATTTTTAATTAAAAAATTTTGTAGAGACAGGGTTCTTGTTATGTTGCCCAGGCTGGTCTTGAACTTCTGGCTTCAAGCAATCCTCCCACTTTGGCCTCCCAAAGTGCTGTACAACATCAAAGGCATAACCTATAAAAGAAATAATTGGTGGTCTGAACTTCATTAAAATTAAAAATTTCTGCTCTGTGAAAGACAATGTCAAGAGAATGAGAAGACAACCCACAGAGTGGAAGAAAGTATTTGCAAAAGACATACTTAATGAAGAAGTGTTATCCAAAATAGCCAAAAAAACTCTTAAAACTCAACAATAAGAAAATAAACAACCTAATTAAAAAATGAGCACAAGAGCTGAAACAGACACCTCACCAAAGAAGATATACAGAAGGCAAACAAACATATGAAAAGATGATCAACATCATATGTGATTAGAGAATTGCAAATTAAAACAATAATGAAACATATCTATTAAGAGGCCAAAATCCAAAATCACTGACAACGCTAAATGCTGACAAGCATGTGGAGCAAGAGGAACTCTTATTTATTGCTGGTAGGAATGCAAAATGGTACAGTATTGTACTTTGAAATATAGTTTGGCAGTTCTTTATAAAGCTGAACGTACTCTTAACTTATGATCCAACAATCATGCTCCTTGGTACTTACTCAAGTGAACGAAAATTTATGTTGATACAAAAACGTGCACAAGGATGTTTATAACAACTTCACTCATAATGGCCAAGACTTGAACGCTTCTAAAATGTCATTCTGTAGGTAGGTGAATGAATAAATAAACTGTGGTACATCCAGGCAATAGAGTATTATTCAATGCTAAAAATAAATAAGCTATCAAGCTATGAAAAGATGTAGAGGAAACATAAATGTATATTGCTAAGTGAAAGAAGCCAATCTGAAAAGTCTACACACTTTATGATTTCACCTATATGGCATTTTGGAAAAGGCAAAACTGTGGAGACAGTAAAAAGGTTAGTGGTTTCCAGGGGTTAGGGGAGAGGAAGAATGAATAGCCAGAAGACAGAGGATTTTTAGGGCAGTGAAACTATTCTGCATGACACTGTAAAGATAGTCATTATACATAGTCCAAACTCATAGAATATACAACATCAAGAGTGAGCCCTAAAGTGAACTATGGACTTTGAGTAATAACGATGTGTCAGTGTAGGTTTATTGACTGTATCATGTACCACTCTTGTGGGTTGTTGATAGTGGGGAAGATTGTGTACATGGGAAGGGAGAATGTGGGGGACATATGGGAATTCTCTGTACTTTCTGCTTCGTTTTTCTGTTAATCTAAAACTACTCTAAAACATAATGGTTTTTTTTTTTTTTGAGACAGAGTCTCACTTTGTCACCCAGGCTGGAGTGCAGTGGCATGATCTCGGCTCACTGCAACCTCTGCCTCCTGGGTTCAAGCGATTCTCCTGCCTCAGCCTCCGGAGTAGCTGGGATTACAGGATTGTACTAAAGCTCTTTTCAGAGGCAAATTCATGCCATTAATAGTATCATTAATAGAAATGAAATAATAAAATAAAGTAACTGAGAATGAAATTTAAGATATTTAAAAATATATAACAAAATAAATCTAGATCATATTGGAAATAGGAAATAATGAATAAAAAAGTACAATTCAGTGACATAGATAATAGAAAACCAATCAATTGACAAATCTAGGAACTAGTTCTTTAAAAAAGAAAAACAAGGCCAGGCGTGGTGGCTCAAGCCTGTAATCCCAGCACTTTGGGAGGCCGAGGCAGGTGGATCACGAGGTCAGGAGTTTGAGACAAGCCTGGCCAACATGGTGCAATCCCGTCTCTACTAAAAATACAAAAATTAGCTGGGCGTGGTGGCATGCACCTGTAGTCCCAGCTATCGGGAGGCTGACACAGGAGAGTCGCTTGAACCTGGGAGGTGGAGGTTGCAGTGAGCTGAGATCGTGGCACTGCACACCAGCCTGGGTGACAGAGAGAGACTCTGCCTCAAAAAAAAAAAAAAAAAAAAAAAAGAAAGAAAGAAAGAAAAAAGAAAAAGAAAAACAAAAAAGACACATCTTAGACAAATTAATGTGAGTAGACAAATTAATTTAACCAATGGAGTAAAAGAGGAAAACAAATGACAAGGAAGCATCCTTAATAATAAATAGAAAAGAATATATAATATAGATATGGGTAATAGTTTTTAAAAATACAATGTGAAGTTTATCACAATATATTTGAAAATTTTTTTGAAAGAATAAAATTATGGAAGGTCACACACACACACATACAAACATGAAGAAATAGACAACCTGTTAGGCTGATGGGCCAATAACAATGTAAAAGAAAAAAAACAGAAGAACTTGCCAAGAAATTATTTCCAAAAACAATGTCAGGTCCCAGCGGTTTCACAGGTATCCTCTTTCAGAATTTCAAGGAAGAGGTGATTCCCATGGTTTTTAACTGTTCCATGAAAAAAGTATGAGAAAGCTTTCCAATTCTTGGTGAACATAATTTATACTGAAAGCTGGGCACATACACTTCCAATAAAAATAACAACAATATGAACATGGATATAGCTACATTCGTAGTGAAGAAAATAACCAGAAATACAATTTAATAATAAATTAAATGAATTCCTCCCTATGACCAAATGGAGTTTATGCCAGAAAACAAGAATGCATGAACATTGTTCAATCATTAAGTCAAAAGAGAAAAACCTCATAATCATGAAGTTTAAAAATAACCATCTCTCTCTATGCATATATATATACATATACACACATACACACATACACATACACACACACACGAGAGATTAAATATCATGTTAATAGTACTTGAAAGTAGGTGCTTATCAGGAATTTGCATATTACAGTAAGCTTAAATCAAATCTACTAAAAATGGGAATGGTTAACACTTAGAAAGTAAAGCAAGGGATTATTCACAACATGTGAATAAAGTTTGTAATGACATCCCTTAAAAGCAAAGTGATGCTTTTACATTTTCTAGAGAGGACAGGTATTTTCAGGAAACCCCATCCCGCCTTTTGAATCACCTGATCATGTGACCCAGCCAGAGGAAAGGCCTCTGTCCCTGGGGAATGTTGACATTTTAGGAGGCCTGAGTGAATGACATTCTGAGGGGGGCCACCTGGTCCGCAGGAGGGGAGCTGAAGGAGCAGCAGAGGACCTGGAAGGGAAGTCCAAGAGACTGGTATTTCAGGTCTCCTTCCTCTCTTCTTGATGGCTGCTCAGCGTTATCTGTTTTATATATTGAGGTCCAACTTAAGATTCTGTTTAAAAAGTGAGGTCCCAATCCTAACTGCAAGAAATAAAAAAAAAACCAACTTTAAAATTACTCCTTAAATACTGAAATCAATGTGAGCATTAAGAAATAAAATAAAATTTGAAACAATCTTTTCCCATAACATTTGAAAAAGTGGGAGCTTTTTTGAGACTGTAAGCAGAAACACATCATGAAAACAGTTAAATATACAGAATTATTTTGGTGACTTATTTCAGCTCTTTATATTGTATGTGTGTTTGTGTGTGTGTGTGTGTGTGTCTTAGTCTTACTCTCTCTCTCACATGCACATAATCTCACATGGCTTGTGAAATGCCACCATGCCCTTAATATTAAGAATTGATTAGCGGTTGCCAGGGGTCATGGCGGGAGCTGAGATTGACTGCAAACAGGCAAAACAGAACTTTTGGGGTGATGGAAATATTTTATACACGGATTATGACAAGGGTGGCATAGCTATGAAAATTTACTAAAACTCATTGAACTGTAGATCTAAACTGGGTGAATTTTACAGTGTATAAATTGTACCTCAATATAACTGTTTCTTTTAAAAAAAGAATTGATGAAACATATAGTAATACTCCAATGCTGGTGTGTAACAGGGCACATTTGCTAACCATTCACATTCAAGGTCTTATTTTACAGCACCCGAACAGATACTTTGAAAGTTTGTCTAGAACCTTATATCTTTTTTGTTGTTGTTTTGTTTTGACAGAGCCTTGCTTTGTCACCCAGGCTGGAGTGCAGTGGCACAATCTCGGCTCACTGCAACCTCCATCTCCTGGGCTCAAGCAGTTCTCATGTCTCAGCCTCCCAAGTAGCGGGAATTACAGGCATGCACCACCATGCCCAACTAATTTTTGTATTTTTAGTAGAGACGGTGTTTCACCATGTTGGCCAGGCTGTTCTCAAACTCCTGGCCTAAAGTGATCCCCCTGCCTCAGCCGCCCAAAGTGCTGGGATGACAGGAGTGAGCCACTGCGCTAGTGAGCATTATATCTTCTCAGGGATACAATTAGCATGTCACTTTAAAGACTTAAAAGTCTTCTCATGCAATCTCACACTGGAAATAGAAGCAGGAATCTGATAATACCAAATCCCAATTACCAGGTTTCGACTCACCCTCCCTTTGTATAAGGCACTTATAGTGTCTTTCTAGTCATCTTTCTCAATCCAAATACTATCATATCTCCCCTGTTCTTCAGTGGCTTTTGTTGCCTAAAATTGCTTTCTATCCAAAGTCTTCAACACATTTTTCTTCTTTAAATATATAATATACATATACCATTTTACTCTGCCTTCCTCTTACTTTTTTAACCTTTTATTTTTTACTACTCCACTTCATGTGTTTTAAGCTCTAAATAAACTACATAATTTACAATTTTCTTTCCAAACCTTACACATGTGAGCAATATTTTGGAAAGAAACATGGAATCTTGAAGTTGGAAGTGACCAGTGAAATCTATTAGCATGGTCTTCCATGGAATACAGATACCCTGAGCATCCCCCGCTTTGCTGGGGAATATTTCTGGTTCCATGGAGCTCGCCACCTCTCTGGGAATCCATGGGCCTCCCCTTGTAAAGATCAAGAATGCAGGAAGACCAAAGAATAAAATATTGATGTCTCACTGTTGAATGAAAGAACTGATTCTCCGACTTGCCAAATGAAGCATTTTCAAACTAGAAGTTGGGGTTTAAAAAGCTCTAAAAAAAATTCAGTAGTCAGCAAAGCAACAAGTAGTGAAACTTTATGTGGAAAGTAAATTCTACTTTCCTGATAACTTAAGACCACTGATTTACCTTCAAATAATAATTTTCTGAAGCTTTTTCATTATGTGAATTAAGGGGAAATGGATTCTTTTAATATTCCATCCAAAAACCATTTGTTATGCTTCCCCATCCCTCAGTCTAAAACTGTTAAGATCAAGTCTCTTTTTTTGAAGACTTTAAGGAGGCAATTAAGTAGTGAGTTGAAGATTGTGCAGAATAAAGAACACTGGCAGACATGAATTTAATTCCACTGGACTCTGAATCTTGACCTAGTTATGTGATTTAAATTTTCTGAGCTTCAGTTTCCCCATCTGGAAAGTGGGAGGAGTAATGCCTTCCTGGAGCATTGTGGTGAAGATACTGACAATCTGTAGAAAGTATCTCACCATGCCCGATTCACTGTCCTGGCTAGGCGGTGTGATTTTCTACATCTTCCCAAGTTGAATCCTGGGTTCTCATCAACCAAGGCTCACTTTCCCAAGATGGTTCTTTCCACTTTTGTTAGTATGCCGTAAAATACAACACCAAACACTCCCCTCCTCCAGGATGTCCTCTCGCTAACCTCTCAATTATTGAAAACCCCCGCAGTCTTTCAAGGCCCACTTCAAGTGCTTTTTTCTGAGCACTTATCTACATGCTCCTAGACAAACAAGGTCCCAGGAGCTCAGAGGGGTACAACAAGCAGCAGTCTGAGGTGGAAGTAGGAGCCCACATCCTCCATCCATCCATCCATCCATCTATCCATCCAACCATCCATCCATCCATCCATCCATCCATCCATCCATCCATCCACCCATCCACCCACCTACCCACCCATCCGTCCACTCATCCACCCATGCATCCACCCATCCATCAATCCATCATTCCATCCACCTATCTACCTACCCACCCATTCATCCATCCACCCATCCATCCACCCATCTGCCTACCCACCCATCTGCCTACCCACACACCCATTTTTCCATCCACCTACCCATCCACCCATCCACCCATCCATCCATCCATCCATCCATCCATCCATCCGTCCATCCTTCCATCCAGTTAATGTTAGTTAGTTAGTTAGTTAGTTAGTTAACGTATATTTGTCAAACCCCTATGATTTGCCAGCACTATTGTGGGTGCTGAGAAAAATGTAGTGAATAAAAAGGCAAAAATCCTTCTGTTACGGAGTTACTTTTTAAAAAAATCTATTATTCTATTATAGGAAGAAATGCAGAAGAATGGGATTAAAAAGTAAAATAGTAATATGTATTTTTTTCAATGGTTATGGTCAGTATGGTACAAAAAAAATAAACCTCAGAAGAGGAATGGAGCATAGGGCAGTTGGCTTTATAATTTTAGACAGAGGAGCCAGGGAAGAGAGTATGGAGAGGGGGATGTTTGCGTGATGCCCTAAAGAAGGTGAAAGAGGAAGTCATAGAGGTTTCTGGAGGAAGAGTACTCCCTGAGATAGAGTTTTCCGAGTGCCAGAGAAGGCCGGGAGCCAGGTGTGGCTGGAGCAAAGGGAAAGAGTAGAAAAGAGGGAAGGCATGAGGTCAGAGGGCTAAGCCTAGATGGTGCGAGCCTTGGGCACCTTTGGCAAGATTTCAGCTTTTACTCTGAGTGACAGGAGAAACCAGTGGAGAGTTTTGAGCAGAGGGGTGTGGTCTGACACAGGTTTAATAAGATATTTCTCATTGTGCACAAAACAGATTGTAAAGGATATGGTCTCTGGATTCCAAAGGTGGCCTCTAACAAGCCATTCCCTGTCCCCCTCGGCCAGCATTCACACCCTTTAGTAGTGATAGTCCTCTCCCACCCTGAATCTGGGCTGGCTCTGGGATTGCCTTTAACCAGAGGATTGCTTGAGAAGGCCTGGTGGCTTTGGCTTTGTCCACTTTAGGGGCCCCAAGACTCCATGTTGGAAGTCCAGCTACCCTGTTGGAACGCTCCTGTGAAGAGATCATATGGAGAGGAAGACACCCTGAGATGACAGGAAAAGAACTGGAGGCCTAGATGTTCTAGACGAGCCTGTTAAGGACCGAATGTGGGAGAAGCCACCTTGGACACTCCATCCTGGCCTTCATCTGATGCAGCCACAGGAGAGGCCCCAGTGGAAATCCATCCAGCAGAGCCCTGCTTAACCCCACAGAATCAGGAGAAATGATCAAATGACTGTTGTTCAAAAACACTAAGTTTACGGGAGGCTGGAAGAAGAGGGCATGGGCAGACCAGGAAAACCAGTTCAGAGGCTGCTATGGGACTCCAGGCTGGGAATGAGTTTGGCTTTGGTCATAGGAGAAGTGGTGGAGAGTGGAGGGAAGTGGTCAGACTCCATGTGTCTTAAAGGCAGAAGATTTTCTGAGGGATTGGATTGGAGGTGAGCTGCGAGAGAACCAGGAGGGAAGGATGACTGGAAGACTCCACCCGACTTGGGCTGAGCAGAGGCCCTGCACACTGGGGAGCCTCAGGGCCAGCCCATGGAGGCCTGGCAACCTCCAGGTTGTCTCCACATGAGGGCTGGGCAGGGAGGTGACATCCTGTTACAACGTGGCAAGATGATAACAAAAAGTTCACAAGCAAAAGCAGAAGGTGGTGGCCAAACCTCATAGGAATTCTCTGAGCCAAGAAGTGTGGTCCCTGAGTTTTTATAAGGTGTTGGTGGCTTCGGACACAGGCTTTGAAGTAACCCTCAAAGCTACTGATCTGCCCTGGACACCATCTCACACTCTCAGCTTCCTGTAACTGCATAGTTTAACATGTTTTGTTTTCCTAGAAGCCTAATCTCTTTAAGCTGGGTAGGAGGCCTCTGTTTCTTCTTTAAATCCCCACAACACCTATAAGAGTGCTTACACAGAACAGAGTTTCAGTAAGTTCTTCTCTGATTCACACAGGGACTTCTTACCACAAAAACCTTACAGATCCAAGGCATTTTTTCCCTTCATAGATCCATGGGTAGTTCAGAGATAAAAGACAGTATTTTTATGTGTGAAAAACTGTCTTACTAAATGTCCCACTTCCTCGGGAAGCAATGCATTATTTTTCCCATCTGGCATATGCTAAATGGTTGTGAAAATACAGGAAGTTCCTGTGAATTTCCTCAAAAAAATCTTGACAGGCTTTGCACTATTTTGGACTATTCTGATTTGTATTATGACATTTAAACTGTGATAAAATAATATAAAACAATAAAATAAAGGAAAACCTGGTCAGACAGTATGAAGCTTTCCTCACCTTCTGGGGTAACAAGTAAGAACATGTATATAAACAAAAAACAAGAGTGAAAACAAAAATGAGGAGAGATCTTGTTTTTGAAATGCATGGAGTTGAAATTAGCTCAGACATTTTAAGTTGTTTTATCAACATTATAGGAACATTTGCTAAAATATTTGGTTTGTTTATATCATAGAATCATGGAGTATCTAAACTCTAAGGAAGCTTTGCAATATTCTAGTCCAGTCTTGTTTCATTTTTTTTAACAGATGAAGAATCACAAGTCCAGAGAAGTTATGATTTTCCAAAGGTCACACAGCTGGTTAGAGGCAGAGAAAATCCTAGAATCCAATTCTCATAATTCTTAGTCCGGTTTTCTTCCTGAAGTATTCCTGAAATATTTCCAATATAAGTGTTTACATCTTATATTGTAAGTGCATCATTTACCTGAATGGATGCACCTCCCAGCCAAGTGAGGAACCAGAGCCAATGAGAAGGTGGGGTCAGGAGCCAAGTGAAGTGGGGTGGGGAGGAGGTGAGAGCAGCTCCTCTTCTCTCTCACATTCTTTTCTCCTTACTCTAGGGAGCCACAACAATGGTGTAGCCTGGGGAAAGTCAGCAAGTCCTGTCCTGAAAGAAATCCACCTCCTGAGCCTAACTATCCTCACTTCCTGTCTACCAGCCCCTTCACTTCACTAGGGAAATGCCGTAGCAACTTGGTTCAGCACAGAGACTGCATTGATTCCCTTCCTGGCTCCCCCAGTTTGAGCTATGTGACCTTGGGCAAGTTACCTTACTTCTCTGTTCTTCCATCTTTTTCTCTGTAAAATGGGAACAATAACACCTACCTCACCAGGTTGTTGTGATTATTCAAGTTAACGTATTTAAGAGCTTAGGACATGCCTGGAACATATTAAGCACTATATAAGTATCTAATCAATAAATTCAAAATAAATTAAGCTTATTTTGTAGTGCCATGTCTATTTTCTTGAAATTTTCCTATCATTTCAGGGCTCTTCATAAGGCAATTCCTGTCTTGTGATCTTCTTTTTCTTGCCCAGACTCACTCTCCTACCACCAGTGTCACTGAAGTTCTTGGCTCAGAGGAAGATGCTGGGGCCAATCCAGAGAAGTAGCTTCTTACATAGTGTAGAACACAATGGCTTTCAGGTTTGAGGACACCACCAAGTGAGCTGCACCTGTAGTGCTCTGGCTGACCAAGGCAGGGGATATCCCAGCCACACTCATTAGCACTGTTCACCTAGCACCTCAGCTCTTGTTTTCTTCATCTATAAAAAGGTCCTTGGCTCTCTGCTATTAGGGAACCTCTGCAGGTATATATGTGTGTGTGTGTTTGTGTGTGTGTTTGTGCATGTGTGTCTTTGTGTGTGTGTGTGTGTGTGTGTGTGTGTGTGTGTGTGTGTGTGTTTAAAACTCAGAATCCTTTCTACACTATAGTTGCTGGCTTCTTTCTGTTGGATCTCCATGTAACGTCAGAAATTGCAGGAGAATTTGATTATATTTTTCTTCCAGCTCTTGCTAGCAATAAAAAGTGAAGACATCTTATTTTCTGATGATCTATGTAAGTACACAGGTATATCCTAAAAGAATAAAGGTCTTATTCATGAATTCAATCAATCAAATAATGTACACTAAATATGTTATATGCATCAATGGCTGCACTCTTTCATTGGCCTAAATTTGTTATGCTGATCAGTATAGGGTCTCTGAGCAGGAATCTAAGCCAGAAGTAGAAATGGAATGACTTCAAGGACCAGCAGAATGTCAATGAGCTCATCGTGCCAAGTAAAGAAAAGGTGTGAACAATAGAGAATAGTGAGACCTGTGGCAAATTGGTGACACATTTCCCAGCTAGTTATAATATAATTAAAAAGGGCCGGGCACGGTAGCTCATGCCTGTAATCCCAGCACTTTGGGAGGCCGAGGAGGGTGGATCACTTGAGGTCAGGAGTTCGAGACAAGCCTGGCGAACATGGTGAAACCCCATCTCTACTAAAAATACAAAAATTGCTCAGGCGTGGTGGCGCACGCCTGTAATCCCAGCTACTTGGAAGGCTGAGACAGGCGAATCGCTTGAATCTGGGAGGCGGAGGTTACAGTGAGCCAAGATCGTGCCACTGCACTCTAGCCTGGGCGACAGCATGAGACTCCGTCTAAAAAATATTTATTTTTTTAATAATATTTTTTAATAATAATATAATTGAAAGACATTCGCATATAATTTTTAAAACTCAAAAATTATTATCTATGTCTAAGAAAACATGTTAGGATGGGCAAACAAACAGGGGGCCGGTTAGAGTTCTCCACGGTCTGGCCCTTTATATTTAGGTCAACCCAGATGTTCCTAGAAGACTAGGTAAAGCCTAGAGCTAATCTGCAATATTAATCTATAGGTAGGTCAGCTTCATGGGAAAGGCTCACATGCTCCTCTCCAGCACCTATTCTAAGAGGCCATAGGGCAAACAGCCATCTCT
Organism: Homo sapiens; assembly: GCF_000001405.40. Lineage (NCBI taxonomy): Eukaryota > Metazoa > Chordata > Mammalia > Primates > Hominidae > Homo > Homo sapiens. The sequence goes on along the minus strand of NC_000007.14, from coordinate 41,384,326 downwards.
TTATCTCGTCAGCAGCATTCCTAACAGGAAAGACTCATCCTGCAAGGAGAGAGTTTCAGGGATGGACTCTTGAAGAAGAGAGGTAATTAGATGCCACAGGACACTCAAACCTTTTATTACCTTCCAGCCCTGACAGGTAAACAGAGAAAGAACCTATAAAAAATAGAGATAAGGTGGAGGAAAAAGCTCTACCTTTTTGTGTTAGAAATAGAATATGTAATAACTGGTAAGATTAGCCCCAGGACACATTTGTGTTATTTGTAGCAGAACAAAATAGTGCCACTCCAACAACATAGAAGAAATAAATGGAGTTAGTCCTTCACCAGAGTGCCTTGAGATCATCCCAGCATTCAAAGGAATAGCAGTAGTGTATCTCAGAAGACAAAGAGCGCCTGGAGGGTCATGAAGAAAAGAGAGGATACCAAGGGGTGGGAGAAATAGACCAGAATATTCTGCACATCCATTAAAGTGCACAGGAAATCCCACAGAGCCATTGACTCACCAGAGAGGGATCTCAAGAGTCCTTGGGCTACAGGAATTTCACTGGAGGAGGTGGAGGCACTGTAACTGGGTCATTACGGTTGCACCCCAGGGCCTGGAAAAGCTCAAGCTGCAGAATGTCTGCTGAGGAGAACACCAGGGAGAAGTCCCCTCAGCCTGTCCTCTGTCCCAGTGTCATGAAGGGAACAGAATCAGAATCGTTTAAAAATAGTCAAACCTGTAATAACATAAAGTTGAAAATGACTAGGAAGTTTTTGAAACAGCATTTTCCATGGCTGAGACTCCAACAGCCTGAGAAATCACGTAGAAGTCAACAGCACGAAGGAGAAGTTTAAAGGGAGCCTCTGGGTGTCCCAGCTACAACACGCACTTCATAGTTTCAATATGACATTTATATGGATGTAAGTAGGCATGAAATCAGATATTTTTAACCATGAAATTTGTTAATTTATGACTTCCATAGGGTCCCCCCTTCAGACAAGAACATCAGAATGTGGCCCGAAGGCTCTTCTTCCTACCCTCGTAAAGAACCAGATAATTGGTTATTTTTTAGAATGAGGCACAACTGTTTTAAATTTAACTGAAGATCCGGAATGGGATTTGTCAGTTGGATGATGATTGGTTCTTTGGCATTTCTGTCCTCCACCAGTGGGTTTTCATCTCCCTTTGAGCCCTCAGGCACACCTGGTGTTAGCTTCCATGGACCATAAACCCTCAAAGTAGACCTCCAATGATAGCTGGCACTGACACATCATCAAAAAACATGTATTTTAGGCCAGGCATGGTGGCTCACGCCTGTAATCCCAGCACTTTGGGAGGCCAAGACAGGTAGATTACCTAAGGTCAGGAGTTTGAGGCCAGCCTGACCAATATGGTGAAACCCCATCTCTACTCAAAATACAAAAATTAGCTGGGCATGGTGGCAGGCAGCCTGTAGTCCCAGCTACTCAGGAGGCTGAGGCAGGAGAACTGCTTGAGCCCGGGAGGCAGAGGTTGCAGTGAGCCGAGATGGCACCACTGCACTCCAGACTGGGTGACAGAGCGAGACTCTATCTCAAAACAAACAAACAAACACACAAAGAAAAAACATGTTTTAAAAGGAAGGATCTCCCTTGATCCTTTTAAAAGGGAGAGGTTGATATGATTCAACAGGAAGCACTGGCCTCAGACTCAGTGTCCCCTCTCCTCTAACTCAATATTTTTACAGAAAAAAAGAAACATGGAGAAAACAGAACAAATCCATTTTTAAAGATGAGAGAAACATACAGATGTGCACAAAACTAACTTCCCATTCTAAACAATTCCCCCAAAAAATTAGAAAGAAATTGCACCATGCTGAGCATTCCATTTCTGTGCTTTGACTAGATGACCTTCAACATCCATTCAATCTTTAGAATCTAGGATATATGACTTTCTATTTTCATTATTACTTTTGGGCTGTGTTCTTCAAAATACAAAAAGAAAAATAAGATTTAAATTTTCAGCATTTCTGATTTGTATTTTGGGGGGACAATTGAAACCCAAAGATGCAAGAGAAAATGGAAAAGGAAGGAGGGCACTAAAGAAGTTACATCGTCTCTTCAACACAGGGCGACTATTTTGTCCTCACGCACTGTATCTGAAGAGTCACTGCTTTTGAATTCTATCCTCCTGCCTATTAGATTTCCCAACACCTGTGATCTCTCTTAGTTCTGGGAGAGTAGAATTTGGATGAAGAATGAATACATAAGGGAATGAGGAAATTAGCTGATCCTTTTGGCGATACATAGAATAAGCTCATAAGTTTCTTTCATCCTGCATAACTAAAGATGATTCTGTGCTTGTACATTTTGTGCATTTGAGGATAAGGAACTCATTCCCCCCGGCACCATTGGTTCCATTGGGTAAAGAAATATGTCACAGTAATTTGAAAAGGATGCCGAGGGTGGTCTTGCCTAATGGGAAATCTTCATCCAAGTGAGAAAGAAAATGTCTTATTTGGGAGGGTGTCTCAATAGTAGGCAGAACTCAAAAGTAAGAGATCTAGGTATGAGATACGAAAAAGTCTGGTCAGATGTGCACTCACTGTAAAGTTCTCTTGCAGCATTCTTTATAGGTCTGGATCAGGGTGGGATGAAAGTCAAGATTAGAATTCCATGTTGGAAAGATGTGCAAGATCCAAATAAAGACACATATGTAGTTTTGTGAGACTAATATTATAAGCGACAACTACAGAACACAGCAATGGATAATGTAGTTCTGATGTGGATGCAAAATTGGCACAGAGCCTCTCCTCAGGACACCTGGAAACATTGGTCTTGCGAAAGCACAACACCCGGGAGGTCTTGGCTTTCTTAGCTCTTGTTTGCCCCTCCTAGAAAGAGCTGCTCTCTGGGTTCCACAGCAGTGACGCTGTAAAGTAAATGGGATCAAAACTGGAAGATACATCCATATATATTAGAAAGCTTGATAACCAGGGAGGAAAAGATTGTATATATTGACACTTGTACTTTAAGTTATTGAAAAGATGGATTGAAAAGTAAAATAGGTTGGGCTCAGGCTCATGCCTGTAATCCCAGCACTTTGGGAGGCCAAGGCAGGCAGATCACCTGAGGTCAGGAGTTCGAGATCAGCCTAACCAATGTGGAGAAACCCCATCTCTAATAAAAAATGCAAAATTAGCTGGGCGTGATGGTGCATGCCTGTAATCCCAGCTACTCGAGAGGCTGAGGCAGGAGAATCGCTTGAACCCGGGAGGCGGAGGTTGCTGTGAGCTGAGATTGCGCCATTGCACTCCAGCCTGGGCAACAAGAATGAAACTCCATCTCAAAAAAAAAAAAAAAGAAAGAAAAGAAAAGAAAAGAAAAATAGACAGAGAAGGATTCCATGGTGTGTGGCAGAAAATGACTACAACTTAACTGACACTCATCCGAGGCTTATTTTATGCCAGGCATTGTGCTAAATCCTTTACAAGGATTGCCTCAAGTAACAGTCACAACAAGCCTATGATGTAGCTACTATTGTTTTATGAGTCCATACTAAGGTAGAGACACAGAGTAACTAAGCTACTTGCACAAGATCATCCAGGTGGCAAGTGGCAGGGATGGAAGTGAAACCCCAGCAGTCTGATTGCAGAGCCTGTGCTCCTGGCCCCTCCCTCAGGTGTATTTCCATCCTTGTTAGGAAGCTCTGGAAAACATAATTGTGACTGTCTCATTATAAATGATCTCAATAAAGAAGAAACGTGAGCAGTACCGTGGGGTGGCAAGAATCTTGGCTCTGGTATCATGTTGGAACAAATTATTTAACAGCCTGGTTCATTGGTTTTCTGATTTGGATATTTGGAAAGATATTAATTATCTAACAGATTATAAGATCTAAATTGAATAATGTTGTGCAGTATGACTCAAACAACATCTTCATAAAATAAAGATATTATAAGAAAAATTTTAGTTTTCTTTCCATGGAATTATCTTAAATATTTTTAATAAAAACTGTGTAACATAGCTGCTCTAATTTTTCTACAAATTAGCACTACCTTAAAAAAATAATATCAACTTCATTTTCACAGAAAAATATGTAAATAGTTGGCCATGCTTGATAAAATATATTTTTCATGAGTGTTTGTACATATGACCTGATATTTCATATGTATACCATTAAACACGTTCTATTGACAAATTATTTTTGCTCTGTATAACAGAAGCAAATATTTCATGGTGCCCTATGAAGAGCACCATGATTTTTCAGATTCTCTGCTTCCCTAAATATGCGGAGAAGAACTAATGTGTAAAAGATGCTTGCAAGTAATAAAATTCTTCTGAGTGTCTGTTGTATATTACCATACCCAAGAAATCAATGGTGGTGCTGAAGGTGAATTAGAACATCTGTGAATTCAGATATTAGGAAGTTTTATTCTAACATTGGGTGCAGGATCAAAGATAACAGTTTTCTGTAATTTCTGATAGTTACTTTAGGAAGCTCCGAGTGGAAGATAAACTTCAGCTTCCAAAAAGAGTCACTGAAAATAAAAAAGTGACGTTCAAATAATGGATTATCATCCATATGAGGCACACGGGGACATACAACAGATGGGACAAGAAGAAAATTTGCAGAATAGATTGCTGATTTATCATAGATAATCTTTAAAGGATCATGGTGATGTGGAAAGTCTGAGAAGACTAGAGACGAGTGAAATGTAATCAATTTTAAGAAAAGAATATATTAAATTAGTGTGAGCTCTGTAAGGCGACTCAGTAAATGGATGAATGAAAACAACTTCAAGGTGTCTGGTGGAGTGATAAATGGCTCTGTACTCAACATTTTCTTTTCAATAGTGTTATCAATTTCTCAGTTTTATATATTATACATATATATTATATTATCAACAATATATCATATTGATAAAAATGCTATCGATTTATTGGTTACATATAATATCTTTGTTTAGCCAGCAACATTATCAATTACTTGGTGAAAGGAAACAGGCTTATGAAATTTCTAGAAAAAAGTCAAATGGGAAGGGTCAGAAAATATATTTAACAACAAAATTAGATTTTAAAAAATGGTCTTGATAAATTATAGTGAAAAGTTGAATAATATAAAGTTTAAGACATTACATATGTCTTTGGACCAAAAAAAAAAAAAAAACCCTCTGGGTTTCATAGAAAACTAGCTGTGGTAAAACTTTGAAAGCCGTTTTATTCAATGTCAGTCTTCCCTTCTTAAACATTTCAAAGCAGATTGTCCAGTCCCTATTTAAACACTTCCAATTATGAAAAATTTATTTCGTAGAGTAGCTCATTTTGCTTTTGAACTACTGATTGATTGAAAATTTTCATTATTCCTTCCTAAAATTATCTACATGGAACAACCAGACCATACTAAAAATGTAATTTTTGAATTGGCCAAGTCTAACTTCTGCTGTTGAGGTTGATTTCACAATTTTCATGCCTATTTTCCAGTATCCAGATCACAAGGGCCACATTCTGGATGCCCAGAACAACCTCATCCTCCACCCCTTCCACCCAAACCATCACCCAAGCAAGTTTTCCACCTACTCCTCTTTCAGAATTTACATATGCCAATGATTGATTGCTTTGGGATTTTCTTTATCAATTAAATGACAGCTTGCAAATCTAATACTGGATTACCTCTTGTAGCAGTCTTTGCATTATACCATAATTCTCATGTAATAATGGAATATTCAAATTCCTCCTTGGACCTTGAATCACACCAAATGGCTTGCCCACTTTAAGCAAGAGCAAGGCCACTTCATCAGCTCCACTTCAAACTCCATGATGCAGTTGACCCCATTTCTGGTCCATTATGCATTTCCATTTGGTTGATGTGATCTCTGCAAACCCAGGGCAACTTGACCTTATCAGAACAGTGCTCCTGGCTCTTCCAAGAACTGGCTTCTATAAGAAGTTCTGAAGAAGAAAAAAAAAGAACTTTTGCTTTTCTTTTCCCCTGGAAAATGAACAGGATGCTTTTAATTTTTTAAATTCCTGAAAGAATTCCATTTAAATGCACGATGACTAACTAGAAGAGTGCACATGAGATGGGACTAGAACCCTGACCCAATAATTTCATGTGGATAAAGCCTCTATAAAATAAAGGCTACACATATAATTAACAGTCAACAAGAAACCGTGTAACTGAAACTCTGGACACTTGGTAGATGTGTTAGTTGACAATTTTTGAAAGGAGGGGTGACTCCAGATCCACCCGTCGAGCTCCACTCTCTGAACACTGGCGTGGTGTTGCAACCCCTGATTGGACAAGATGCTGTATTTTGCTCTTTACAAAATAAGAAAAAGCAATGTCAGTAGTTTCTCTGACATGTATGATTTCCTTTCTACAGTAGAAGGGATAGATGTGGGATTTCAGAGTGATTTCTTTTGGAGCTCAAAAGTAGTTTGTTCATATCCTGAGACTAAGAATGCTTGTCTTAAATCTCTAAACAATTCCCATCATTAGCTGTCCAGGCCACATAAGGAGGTTGATGCAACTTGCCTTTTTCTGCATCCCTTCCCACCCTTGGGTAACACTCAATAGCCAATCTGCTAACCCCAAAATCCTAATGACTTTACTTGCCAGCTCCTCCATTGCCTTGACTCCTCCTTTGCCTCAAACTTTGTTTCCAGGATAGGGTTTGAAATGATTGGTAAGCCTGTGTAAATTAATATCTGCCACATCTCAACTATTCCAGGGCATGGATAATCACCTGCTGCAGGACAGAACAGGTGAGGTGAGGTGCAACTGGAATCCGGTATCAGACCAGAGATACTCAACTGTGGTGGGATATCAGATTCTGATGGCGGTGGGCGGGGTGGTGAGGGTGCGGGCTTCTTTAGGAGAGTGAGTTGGGAAAGTTAAGTTTCAGAAAGGATATTCAAAGTTATGACTACAAATGATGAAATTTATTTTATGCAGCAATTTTATATAACATAAAAGAATAACAGTGGTTATTTATGTTATTAAAAGGGAATATGGTTTCATCTTTTCAACTTGATTCTGAATTCACTCACATGAGAAGAATCCTTGTGAGGGGATTCATCCACTTACTCTGGATGGAGTAGTTTCCAACGGTTAAGGCAACTTCAAGCACTAGGATGGTGCCTGGCCCATGATAGGAACTTAGTAAGCGTATGCTTACTGTGTCCTAGATGGCTCAGGGATAGCCAGCAATACCACCCACCCTAACAATGCAGCAGGGTGTTTTGACTTGGAGTTTCCCTTATGTACAGAATTATGAGAATCACGTTGGACAAGTGATACACATGAAAATTCCAAGGCCCTGCCACAGACTCCCTGAGTCAGTGTCTTCAGGGAGAGCCCTAGGAATATGTATGTTTAACTAATGCCCCAGGTATATCTCACATAAAAAAATGTTATTTCATTTTTGTTAACACAATCACCATAATCTACATCTAGTGCTTTTAAACACTTAATTAACAGACTCCAGTGTCTTTCATGCTGCAGAGTAGCCATTTATTTAACACAGGTATTGAACTTCTGTTATGCACTGAAATCTAGATAATGGAGTTACAAAAAAATGAGGAAAAAAGTGATGCCTGCCATTGAAAACTTGTAGCCTAGTGAAGAGATTGGAATATGCACAAAAAATAAGTAAAAATGTGTTCTATTACAGTCAAAGGCAAGTGATGCTGAGGTTGGAAAGAGGGCGGCAAATTCCCTCTGCCTAGGTGATTGAGTAAGGCTTCCATGAGCAGGAAGAAGAGTTTTCCAGAGACGTTGGTGCTGGAGGGAAAAAAAAAATGTACCAAGGCATATCTGTTCATGGAAAGTCCTGGCCTGGCATCACTGAGCAATGGTGAAATTCAGCAACACAGAAATATAAGGGATAGTAGGGGAATGACCGAAGATGAGAGACCTGGTGATCAGGTAATTCAGATTTCAACCTAAAAGGTCAATTAGATTTCCTCCCATTGGCAAGCAGAGGAATTACATGATGAATTTGTTTTTTGAGAAGATAACACTAAGTGACAGGGAAGAGGGCCATGGGGTGAAAGTGGGATTAAGAGGGCAATTAGGAAAATGTGATAGCAGGGAGACAGTGGCAGGGGACCCTGTAGACCTGAGATTCTGTCAACTTCCTTACATCTAAATGATTATTTCTCCTACCTGGGGTCCTTGGAACCAATCCAAATGGTGCTAAGCTCTCTCCTTGGTATGATGTAGAGAGAAAATTTCCTCACTTAGGTTCTCAGTGAAAAAAAAAAAAAAAAAAAAAAGGGTCTTCACAAAAATCCAGAACAATACTTTGTGCTTTTGGCACAGATAAAAAATAAAACAAACAAATAAAGGCTTTATAATTTGAGGCTTTAAACAATATTTCCAATGCCCCACTCCTTGGGGTTGTCAATTCTATTTCTGTTTCTAGCTTCTACTTAATCTATTGAAAAAAATTACACAAGCATACCTCTGTGCAATTTATGTTCAGCACAGCAACCCAGACTGAATAAATGACATGCAATATGAGTACACTTACAAAATTCACTATGGATTCTGGGTGATCATGATGTGTCAACATAGCTTCATTGGTTGTAACAAATGCACCACTCTGCTGGGGAATGTTGAGAGTTGGGAAGGCTATGCCTGTGGGGGAGCAGGGTGTGTATGGGAAATCCCTGTGCCTTCTGCTCAATTTTGCTGTGAACCTAAAACTGCTCTTAAAAATAAAGCCTATTAAAAAGAAAGAAAAAGCACGTTGCAGCAAAGTATGAAGTAAGGTCCTATGTCAAAATATACATATAAATACATAAAACTGTACACTTTAAGATATGTGCATTTTACTGTATGCAAATTATACCTCAATAAAGAAAAAAGGAATATATGAATAAAAAGAATTTATAACATATGTGATTTTGCAGGAGCTGCTTTCCAATCTTTAGTTCCGTTAAGAGTGTTGTATAAATCTACAATGAAGCAGCAACCTCATCCCACCTCAATTTTGATAACGAGATGCTGCTGACACCCCTCTCCTTCAGCCTTGAAACTCATTCTGCTTTTACAAAAAATGCCAAAGGTCTTAGTTTAAATAAGTTTAGATGTGAAGGGAGACTGTGTTCTTAAATAAAAACCTTCTTATTTATGCTGACTTTCTTAATTAAGGGCAGAATCCCTGCAACAACACATAGATATTTTTTCCCCTAGAAAAAGACTCCAGCTAATATTTTGAGTTCATAAAGCACATGTTTTTAAATAAAGCCTATTTACTTTATGATCACATCTTTTACATACACATTTCTTGCACTCTGTTCATAGAGACAGGTATAAAGGCAGGCATGGCCCTTTTTATTCTGTGAGGAAAAGCACTTTTGAACATTTTTTTTTAAATTAAAAAAAATCCCCAGAGACTTTAAACTGCATTCATGAATTGCATACTCCATTATGTTGTTCTTCAATTACAGAGTGCCATGGCCTCCCTCACTATATGGCCCTCAAGGAGAATCTCGGCATATCTGAACATGTACTACTGCACAGACTATGTATGCTGTTGCCCATATCTATATATGTGCCACTTTATCTCTATCTTTAGCTCTGTATCTATACATCCGAAACATTTTTATGTAGGACAGGCCCTGCCTTAGCAGGCTTTCTGTGGAATGAGTGGCTTCCTCTCTGTGTATGTTAACAAAAGATCTCTGTTCCCAAACAAGAAGGCCTCTCAATCCACCTGAGAAGGCACTTGGAGAGTGTCCAGGGCTGACACTTGACCCTCATTCCTTGGAGGTGCAGGGCAGCATGCACCGTGCCACCTGGCCCCCTGACACCCTTGCCATTTATGCTTCATCAGCCCCCGGCCTGATAAATGAGTTTGCTTAGAGGAATGCAAAGGACCCTCCTGTGTCTGTGCCCACCGTCCACATCCTCCCAGACTAAATATGCTTGGTATGGTGGGGAGAGCCAGACTGCCTCCACTACACCCTTTGTTGACTCATGAAGAGGCTCTGCTCTCTGCAGTGACCTCGTGATGCCCAGAAGCCTTCCAAGCACCCTGGACACCTGTTCCTTGCAAGGGAATCTCTCAGAGGCATGGCCTGCGTCAAGAGGGCATAGACTCAACAGAGTCCCCAGTGATAACCTTGGCCAACTCCATTCTATCTAAAGAGCTAGAGATACCACCAGATGCTGAATGGAAAACAACTGCAGTTGCACAGAAATTATGGATCAGAGATCACTACAAACACACACACAGATAGACTTTAAAAAAAAAACACACGTACACACAAATGCTAAAAATCTAAGGGATTTTATATTTAGCCTCAAATAGAGCAGCTCAGTTGCCTGTTCTTAAATCCATTCTACTGAGGAATTGAGTTCTTTCATACACGGACGGTGGGAACATAATTCCGGCACCCTATCTAGGCAGCCATTTAACAATACTTTGCAAAACCTGAAATGTGTCTGTGTTTTGACCCACTTATTCCACTTTCAGAAATCTACCTTGTAGAATTCTTATACATGTACCTGAAAATGTGTGTTTAAGTGCATCTTTTGGTACTTTGTATGGAGTGGCCAAAAATAAGTAACAACTAAATATCCATTAACTAGGGGCTTCTAAAATAAAGCATGAAGGCTGGGCACAGTGGCTTACGCCAGTAATCCCAAAACTCTGGGAGGCCAAGGCAGGTGGATCACCTGAGGTCAGGCGTTTGAGACCAGCTTTACCAATATGATGAAACCCTGTCCCTACTAAAAATACAAAAATTAGCCATACGTGGTGGCAGGTGCCTGTAGTCCCAGCTACTCGGGAGGCTGAGACAGGAGAATTGTTTGAACCCGGGAGGTGGAAGTTGCAGTAATCCGAGATCTTGCCACTACACTCTAGCTTGGGAGACAGAGCGAGACTCTGTCTCAATAATAGTAATAATATTAATAAAATAAAACAAAGCATGACATATTATTTAGCACTATGTACTGACAAAAAAGGTTGCCAATGTACCCTATGAAGTAAAACAAATAGCTCACAAAACAATACAGTTATATAATATGATTCCATTATATAGCAAACACACAAAAACTGATGTGTTTATGAAATCACACACAGAAACCCACACGTGCATACTAATTAGAGGGATGTACCAAGCCTGTTTTGAGAGGCTACCTATGGGAAGTGAAGTGGAATTGGGAGAAGTGGAGGAAAACTTTCAACCTTTATGCAATACATTTCTATTACATTTGAATTTTTATAATCAATTCCAATTCATGTTCATGGACTGATTTCACTGAAAAAAATAGAAGCATCTGCTCCTATCATGCATTTAAAGATTAGTGAGACTATCAGCAGGCAGCAAAACAGGTACAAAGCAAAGGAGATTTCTACACTACGAACATCTATGTCTCTGTAGAAGGGCAGTAGTTGTGATGTGCTTTGTGGACCCCATATACTGTAAGTGCATTTTTTTTTGCATCCTGAAATTTTCTTCTTTTCTTTTTTGGCATTTACAAATATATTGTAAATGTTTTGAGAATGGGAATTTCTACTGCTCTTTGATTTTCAAATTACTGAAAATCAGAGAATTCTAAGTAGAGGCCATATCTGGTATGAATCTTGAAAAATGAGAAAGCGTTTGTTAGTTGAAAACCAAAATTGTATTCCAGGCAGAGGAACTGCAAAGCATATTCGTAGCCATATTAACAGATGCCACGATACAAGCCCCCTGGTACTGACAAGAATGAGATGGTTCCCAGACCCCATGGAGCCCCAGAACTAAGAAGCAGCCCCAGAATCTGCATTGAGTCCACCCCAAAGCCACGCCCCTTAGAACGAGCCATGTTCAGAGAGCAGTGGTGTCTTTGCCTGATTAGAATATAAAAGTGTGTGAGGTCAGTGAGCAAAGGAGATGGTAAAAATTTGGTTAGGGAGAGAATGTGAGAGGCTTCCTGTGATTCCAGCTTTTAAAGAGCTGGATGTTTTCCTGTCACACTGAAAGAAGTGCTGAGGGTTTTTAGCTTGCAAGTGAAAAGAACAAATGTGATTTGTACTTACACCTCCCAATCTGTTTTCTCATTCATAAAATACGCTGTATCTAGGCCCTGGGTGGAGACTGCAGGGATAAGCTGGACTTCCGAGCCCAAGACACTCTGGTGTCTTCCTTGTATACTTGGAAATCATTTAAATTCTTTACTTAGAATAACAGTCTTACACAACATGCAGTTTCTCATAACTGTAATCAATGATTTTCTACACTTGGAATCCATTTTACTATTCTTCAAAATTATTTAAATTTGGCTTTCCTTAGATCCGAATTTCCTGCTTGTCACTGATTTCATCAAGCTTGACTTCCATCCTGAGTCCTTTAAAACTCCTCTTCCCCTTGGGCGGATTGAATTACTAACATGTCTAATAAGCACATTTCAGTACGAAACTTCCAATTATTTGATGTAAACATTGTTTATGTATACAGACCTAATAATTTTCTAGGCAGATATCTGGTTAAGGCCAATGGTATGCCAGAAAAATGTTTAACAGCTGACTCTCCAGGAAAAATAAAAGAAAGAAAGAAAAGGCCTGATGTGATGCATTGGCCCATTTCTCCGGTGTAAATATTCCCACTGTGGCCAATTTTAAATTGCCAATATAATATCAGTGAATGCAGAGTTGGAAAGAAATGGGCACAATCAGTTCTCCTGAACTGCTATGAGCCAGTTCCAGACTCCACTGGATGACCTTTGCCAGCATTTGAGCTCAACTAGTCTATGCAGGAAAGCTCTACTCACTTCAGTCTCATCCAATTTTTCACTACTTTCATGTTTATTGAGCACCTTCTATGCATCAAGCACTGTTTTAGAAAGTAAAACTTTATCAGTAAAACAGATAAAGTTCTTACTCTCATGGAAATTATATTCTAATGGCAGGAGATAAAACAAAAGCACAACAACAACAATGACAACAACAAAAAAACTAAAACAAAGAAATAAATAGCTGGCAAAAAAGTCATAAAGAAATATAAAGAATGGGAACAGGGATAGATATTCTGGTTGGGGAAAGTCAAGGTCAAGGAGGAATCATCTGTTTTTCACAGAGGAGTCAGGCAAGGACCACAAAATGAAGAAAGAAAAATAAGAAAGTCAGACAGAAATCCTGGGCAAGAGCTTTCCAGGCCAAAAAACCAGCATGTGCAAAGGCTCTGAGGTGAGGGACTGTGCTTGGCATGCTAGGGGAACAGCATGGAGGCTGGTAGAATGCAAGCAAAGTGATTTCCAAACCTCCCCATCTGGAAATCCATTGACATTTCCTCTACAAATTTGTTCTTCATTTCCTTTTTTCCTTTCCAACAACATCAAAAATAAATTTACTTGGAGAATTGACATTATTACTTTTTATTTTCCTTAGAAAGGAAATGAAATATAGAGAGATTAAATCAAAAGCCTAATTATGGATCCAAAGTTATGATTGGTCTCTGTTTTATATACACTGCAACAAAACTTGGGCCAGGCAAGTTCCCGCCTGCCTTGACCATTTACTGGATCCAGTAACCACATAAGGGCTGCTTCATGTGTTTGCTGCAACATCTGCAGCTCTCCAGAACAGAAACATGTTCTCCTGCCTCCATCAGTAGACTGCCCTTAAATTGTGTGATGTGGTTTCCATTAAAAAGCCATTTCTTCTGTGGTGAAATTAGAATGTCATTTATTTATTTTCTAATTTATCGGACAAATATTTATTGAACAAAAGCTATGCTGTAAACAATATTCAAGGAATTAAAGATCCAGCAATGGACAAAATGCACTTGCTTGCCATCCTAATGGGGGTCAGAATTCAGCAGAACAAGTAAACATGCAACAAATATTTGCATTTCTGGCAATTCTGGAAATCTTACTGTAAGGTAAGTATTATAAAAAGATAATACATATTAGAACAAAATGTTGTTGATGAGTGAGAAATTAATACATGTCAGACAAAAAAAGTTTTAAATGTAGAAAATGCTTTGGGAGACAAAATACAATGAGTTAGAATCCAGGGGTAGCCTCCTGGGGCCAAAACTTGATATTCTGGAGTTTGATAATAAGGGGCATTGCCACTAATGTCACAGGGAAGGTGAGGACAAGAATTCACCTGGGAAGAGTGACAACCTCAGAATCTGAATCCAAGTGGAATTTAGGGCTGTAATTTGAGTGGAAGCGGGAGTGACTAGCGTGGCTACCGACCGCATTTGCAGAGCACCTCAACGAGATGCAGAAGGTGTCAGTTACTCTTATCAAAAAATGTTGAGGATGCTGAGAAACCAGCAACCCCCCACCCCCTGGTCCCTCCTCACCTTGGACTAACCAAGGATAGCCTTCTTTCAAGGGTAGTTGGGGTACTTTGAAATCCCTGGTGGTGACCTTGCTTCTAATCATCCCCACAGTGGGTGACCAGTGGATATCCTGAGATGAAAGAGTAACCCCTCTCACAAGGGGATTCTGGAGAGGCTAGCCTCCCGAATCAGACCTGACCCCATTTCTGGCCCCTCTGAGCAGGGCCTGAACCTGGGGGGTGATTGTGGATGAGGAACGAAAAGCTGTGTCATGGTTTGGAATTCAGACTGAGGAGAGTAGAGAGACACATGGTTGATGTGTCAACCGTCAACCTATGTCTCTGTACACACCCAGCAGGCCCTGGCCGAGTGGGCTGGATCCCTTCTGGAGGGCAGTCCAGCCTGGAGAGCTCCCAACACTGAGAGGAAGCACTGCCACTCCCCAGATGCGGCAGGGACAGAGTGGAGATGAGTGAGGAGTGGGTGGCGTGGGGGATCCTGTAGACGCCGGACCTCCTGTTAATAAGGGTCACAGGAGGAGTGAGGTGAGGGCAGGGTGCTCAGGAGTTGCCACCCTTGCTGGATGGGGTGCAGAGTTGCATCTCCTACTACAGTGGACATCCTGTGATGTAAGCCAACAACCTGATTGGAAAGAATCCAAACTATGAAATCTGTCTTTTAAACTTACTATGAGATCTGAAGAGCTTTTTAAGCTGCTAAACATGGGGCTAATCAAGGTATATTTTGACTTAGTTTTATGGCATTATTGATTTTGTATAAAGGAAAGAAGGGAGGGAGGGAGGGAGGAAAGACAAGGGAGAGAGAGAGAAAGAAAAAAGAAAGAAAGAGAAAGAAGAAAAGAAGAAAAAGAAAGAGAAAGAAGAAAAGAAGAAAAAGAAAGAGAAAGAAGAAGGAAAAAAGAGAAAGAGATAGAGAAAGAAAAAGAAAGAAAGAAAAAGAAAGAAAAAAGAAAAAAGAAAGAAAGGAAGGAAGGAAAAGAAAGAAAGAAAGAAAGAAAGAAAGAAAGAAAGAAAGAAAGAAAGAAAGAAAGAAAAAGAAAGGAAGGAAGGAAGGAAGGAAGGAAGAAAGAAAAAGAAAGAAAGAAAGAAAGAAAGAAAGAAAGAAAGAAAGAAAAAGAAAGGAAGGAAGGAAGGAAGGAAGGAAGGAAGAAAGAAAGAAAGAAAGAAAGAAAGAAAGAAAGAAAGAAAGAAAAGAAAGAGAGAGAAAGAAAGAAAGAAAGAAAAGAAAGAAAGAGAGAAAGAAGGGAAAGAAAAGCTTACATGTATGCAGCCTGAGACTCTTGTAATCGGAAGTGTGGGATGTAAGAATGCTTCCTTGCCAAAAAAGAAACACTGTTGAAATGATACAGAGTGAATAAACCACAGCCCCCATTTAACAGCACTGTGGGACACTGTCAGGCCACACACACAGAAGGCAGACTCTCTGGACAATGCTAAAGGAAGTGGAGAATTGGAAATTCTCAGAAAATAGATAGAGACAGAATTGGGAAGGGTGGGAATTTGAGAAAGGATATTTCAAATAATCTTAACTCGTCTGAACCAGACGGAATAGTCTTACTTCTATAACACAGCAACTTGAGACAAAGCACATGTCTACACCACAACAAACATTTTGGTAGGGAATAAACCAGGGCACATGTCCCGGGAAGCATGTTAATGAAACCTGTGCTCTTGCATTGAGCATGCAGGACGCTCTTCCGTCAGCCATCCTCAAGCTGGTGGACAGGTTCAGTAACGGCACCCAAAGTCTTCTAGGTGTTTCTCAGGGCAGGAAAACCCCTGGCAAACTGTGTGATGCGATCCTATTTTAAACTAACTGGTTTGAGACAGTCTTTGGCAAACCCAACACTTCCTTAGCCAAGGTCCCAGTCTAGCAGATGGAGTCTGTTCCCCAGGCCGGCGACATGAACTTGGCCTAAGCCCTGTGGAGAGATGCTACAGACAGAGGCTGAAGGACATATTTTTATACCAAGGGCTGGATGTGATCAATTAAGAATCAAAGTGGCACATCGAGGCCTGGAGAAAGAAAAGCAAAGCTTTTTAGAGGGAACCACTTAGTTTTTACCAGTCTGTAGCTTTGTGAGCCCTGGGAGCCAACACCATGGGCCACGTTCTCATCAAAGGGTGTGCGGGCAGCAGGGACAGGGTTGGGGGGCTGCCCTCAGGTGGCTTCGTGGGCCCTACACATTGCCTTCAGGACCAGGGAGAAAACATCAGAAGTCTCCTGGTGAGGACATGGGAGATGCCCCTCAGATTCCTGGAAGCAACTAAGAGTGGGAGAGAAGAAATGACATGTCAGGGGACGGAGGGCAAAGGAGATGGAGTTATAATTCTGTGAGATTTTGTTATTAGAGTTCATATGACTTTGTCATAATTATAAACTGCAGAGGCCTAAAGGAATCTGGACCACACATGGATCTGGTAGAGCTGTGCAGTATGGTGAGTGAGAAGAGTGCAATAATTATCTTTTTGTGGATTATTACTATGTGTCAGATCTGATGCTAAGAGCATGTGAGCATGATTTTACTTGAACCTCATAGCAACTTGATGAGATAAGTACTATTAATTTCCATCCCCATTTTAAAATAAGATACAGAGAGGCGTGGAAATTTGTTCAAGGTCACACAGGTCACCTGGCTTCTCTTTTAGTGGTTAGACAAGGACCATCTTGCAAAGAGGTATAGCTGTGGGGCCCAGAGCCAGACTTTTTGCAAAGGAACCCTGGATTCACTCACTTGCTAGTTGTTTGTTTTGTTAATTTAATGCAATAAACCTAGAACAGAGCCTGGCACATGGCAAGTGATAAATAAATGTTGGCTATTGACTAGTTGTTGATTTATCACATCCATCACCAGAAGCCTCATAGGGAGGAGCTGGAGCTTGAAATTCAGTCTGCGTCCATAGCCTGAGTTGTTAACTCGAGCTCTTGATTTTGTTTTGCTTTGTTTTCCATTTATTATTTTTTTATTTATTTTTAATTTTTAATTTTACTATAAGTTCTGGGATACATGTGCCAAACGTGCAGGTTTGTTACACAGGTATACATGTGTCGTGGTGGTTTGCTGCACCTATCAACCCGTCATCTAGGTTTTAAGCCCCACATGCATTAGGTATTTCTCCTAATGCTCTCCCTCCCCTTCCCCCCAACCCCCCAACAGACCCTGGTGTGTGATGTTCCCTTCCCTATGTCCATGTGTTCTCATTGTTCAGCCCCCACTTATGAGAACATGCAGTGTTTGGTTTTCTGTTCCTGTGTTAGTTTGCTGAGAATGATGGCTTCCAGCTTCATCCATGTCCCTGCAAAGGACATGATCTCATTCTTTTTTGTGGCTGCATAGTATTCCATAGTGTATATGTGCTACATTTTCTTTATTCAGTCTATCATTTATGGGCATTTGAGTTGGTTCCAAGTGTTTGCTATTACAAATAGTGCTGCAATAAACATATATGTGCATATGTTTATAGTAGAATGCTTTATAATCCTTCGGGTATATACCCAGTAATGGGATCACAGGGTCAAATGGTATTTCTGGTTCTAGATCCTTGAGAAATTGCCACATTGTCTTCCACAATGGTTGAATTAATTTACACTCCCACCAACAGTGTAAAAGCATTCCTATTTCTCCATAGCCTCGCCAGCATCTATTGTTTCCTGACTTTTTAATGGTTTTTTTTTTAATTATACTTTAAGTTCTGGGATACATGTGCAGAATGTGCAGGTTTGTTGCATAGGTATACACATGCCATGGCGGTTTGCTGTACCAATCAACCCATCATCTACATTAGGTATTCCTCCTAATGCTATCCCTCCCCTAGCCCCCTACCCCGCAACAGGCCCCAGTGTGTGATGTTCCCCTCTCTGTGTCCATGTGTTCTCATTGTTCAATTCCCACTTATGAGTGAGAACATGCGGTGTTTGGTTTTCTGTTCCTGTGTGTGTTTGCTGAGAATGATGGTTTCCAGCTCTATCCATGTCCCTGCAAAAGACATGAACTCATCCTTTTTTGTGGCTCCATAGTATTCCATGGTGTATATGTGCCACATTTTCTTTTATTTATTTATTTATTTATTTTTGAGACAGAGTCTCACTCTGTCACCATGCTGGAGTGCAGTGGCTTGATCTCAGCTCACTACAGTCTCCGACTCCTGGGTTCAAGTGATTCTTCTGCCTCAGCCTCCTGAGTAGCTGGGATTACAGGTACCCACCACCACACCCAGCCAATTTTTGTTTTTTTAGTAGAGACAGGGTTTCACCATGTTGGTCAGGCTGGTCTCGAACTCCTGACCTCTTGATCTGCCCACGTCTGCTCCCAAAATTCTGAGATTACAGGAGTGAGCCACTGCACCTGTGCAGGCACCTTGCTACAATAAACATAAGTGTGCATGTGTCTTTATAGTAGAATGATTTATAATCCTTTGGGTATATACTCAGTAATAGGATTGCTGGGTCAAATGGTATTTCTAGTTCTAAATCCTTGAGGAATCATCACACTGTCTTCCATAATGGTTGAACTAATTTATACTCCCACCAACAGTGTAAAAGCGTTCCTATTTCTCCATATCCTCTCCAGCATCTGTTGTTTCCTGACTTTTTAATGATCGCCATTCTAACTGGCATGAGATGGTATCTCATTGTGGTTTTTATTTGCATTTCTCTAATGCCCAGTGATGCTTTTTTTCATAGGTTTCTTGGCCACATAAATGTCTTCTTTTGAGAAGTGTCTGTTCATGTCCTTTGCCCACTTTTTGATAGGGTTGTTTGTTTTTTTCTCATAAATTCGTTTAAGTTCCTTGTAGATTCTGGATATTAGCCCTTTGTCAGATGGATAGATTGCAAAAATGTTCTCCCATTCTGTAGGTTGCCTGTTCACTCTGATGATAATTTCTTTTGCTGTGCAGAAACTCTTTAGTTTAATTAGATCCCATTTGTCAGTTTTGGCTTTTGTTGCCATTGCTTTTGGTGTTTTAGTCATGAAGTCTTTGCCCAAGCCTATGTTCTGTATGGATTCCTGACTTTTTAATAATTGCCATTCTGACTGGTGTGAGACGGTATCTCATTGTGGTTTTGATTTGCATTTCTCTAATGATCAGTGATGATGAGCTTTTTTTCTTATGTTTGTGGGCCACATAAATGTCTTCTTTTGAGAACTGTCTGTTCATATCTTTTGCCCACTTTTTGATGGGATTGTTTTTTCCTTGTAAATTTGTTTAAGCTCCTTGCAGATTCTGGATATTAGAACTTTGTCAGATGGGTAGATTGCAAAAATGTTCTCCCATTCTGTAGGTTGCCTGTTCACTCTGATGATAGTTTCTTTTGCTGTGCGGAAGCTCTTTAGTTTAACTAGATCCCATTTGTCAATTTTGTAAGCCCTAATTTTGGTAGCCAGTGTCCACGCTGTGTCAACCCCTGGCTGTTCCAGCACAGGGTTTTCAAGCTAGACTAGTGATTTTATCAACAATTGGTATGTTTCCTTCCTACCTTTTTCTCTAGGAACTTTTTACAATCCCAATCTTAACGGTTAAATGGTAGACTGCAGAAATATTTAGTGGCTGGATAGTTTTTTTGTTGTTATTCCATATTTTAGGGCAGCTTTCTGGTCTCATAGCTGCCTGTCTTTTTGATTGTTTGTTTTGTTTTGTTTTGTCTTGTCTTGTTTCAGTTTTCTTTATAGAACTGCTCAAAATAGAAGTATTTTGATTTATTTCTTCAAGTTTCATGATATTAGAAGGGATCTCTGGAAATATCCCTCACTAAACTCTTCCATACAGAATTCTTTCTTTCTCTATTTTTTGAGACAGAGTCTCACTTTGGCACCCAGGCTGGAGTGCAGTGATGTGACCTCAGCTCACTAAAACCTCTGCCTCCTAGGCTCAAGCAATCCTCCTGCCTCAGCCTCCAGAGTGTCTGGGACTACAGGTGCATGCCACCATGCTCAGCTAATTTTTAAATTGTTGGTAGAGACAAGATCTCACTATAATGCCCAGGTGGGTCTTGAACTCCTGGGCTGAAGCAATCTTTCTACCTTGGGCTCCCAAAATGCTAAGATTGCAGGCATGAGCCACTGCACCTGGCCTCCAAACTCTTGATCTCATCTAGCCAGTTCTCAGTCATTTCCTAACACTTGACATGTAATCTACTTAAATATAAAGAGGCTGCTTTTTTGGCATTCAGATTTATCTGTAAGAATGGAATCTTCAGTTCTTTAGCATTTGACACAACACCATATGCCTTTTCTAGAATTTCCTAGCATTCAACTGCTGTTCAGTTGCTGTCTTTCCCATGAGCTAAGTGTTAGGCTTGAAATAATAGATTTGCTAATAATTCTGCTTCTTTTTTCTCGTATGAAAACAGTACCATTTTGCAGTAATTTTTCTGAGCTTGTGAGTATCTGAGATGAAAATGCTGGAATGTGATTTATATTTTCTGGGTAAAGTTAACACTAGCCACTTCCTGACCTCTCTTGAAAACAAGCTGCTACCAACAGTGGCTGTTTATAAGGAAAATTGGTGTCAACCATTATAATTTGAGACCTTTCTGGAATACTTGGTGTTTGTAATGAAATTTTCATGTGTTTCAGAGCTTGATTTGTCAACTTATTTCTTATCACTAGCTTTTAAAAATCTTTAACTCATACATAATATATTTTAGACACAAGTAATTAACCAAACTTATCTTTCATTTTCTTGTTTTTGGACTACTTCTTATGTTATGCATTTTCTAGATATGGCCAAGACTGAAAATATATATCTAAATTAACTTAAAAGAATTTTATTGGCCAGGCATGGTGGCTCATGCCTGTAATCCCAGCACTTTGGAAGGCCAAGGTGGGTGGATCACTTGGTCAAGAATTCAAGACCAGCCTGGCCAACATGGTGAAACCCTGTCTCTACTAAAAATATAAAAATTAGCCAGGTGTGGTGGCACTTGCCTGTAATCCCAGCTACTCAGGTGGCTGAGGCATGAGAATTGCTTTAACCTGGGAGGTTGCAGTGATTTGAGATCATGCCACCACACTTCAGCCTGGGTGACAGAGCAAGATTCTGTCTCAAAAACAAAAACAAAAACAAAAAACATACAATGTTTTGATTTCAATTTTTTTATATAAGTTCTAATGATATTGCCAACAGGAATGGTCCCTTTAATGACTAACATATTATAAAAAATTGCAGGTTTTATTGTGGCAAGCCTATACATTTTGCAACATCAATGATATTTCTAATGGTCTTAATTCAAATAAGGCCTTCACAGCTTAGGACAAACCAACAAAAATTTAGTATTTTCTGAGTGTCACCTTGTAAGAGGCACTTCCAGATGTACATAGACCCTACTTAAGCACATTTATTTCTACAAGGATGAAATCCCCAAGGTTTCACTGATGCTCCCATTATGGAATCAGAATAATTATTATAAATTTTGGTTAGGTTGGCATACCTCTTCGCCTTTCCCGAGCAAGGGGCTAGTAACTTGGAATTTAGACTAAAGTAAACAGAAACATACCATGGAATGAAATAAATACAATGAACACCAGAAAAAGCCTGTTCACCGACCCAGAGAAGCAACATGAAACCTCACCTCTCCCAAGCATAGTATCACCTGTGTGAGTGTGACTGTGGGTTGAATTGTGCTCCCCAAAATGATATGTTGAAGTTCTAGTGCTTGGTATGTGTGAATGTGACCTTATTTGGAAACAGAGTTGGTGCAGATGTAATCAAGTTGAGATGAGGTCATGCTGGATTAGTATGGACATCGAATCCAATGACCAGTGTCTTTGTAGAAGAGGAGGGACACACATAGACACAAGGGAAGAAAGCCACATGACAATGGAGGCAGAGGTTGCAATGAAGCAGCTACAGGCCAAAGAATGCCAAGGATTGCCACCAACCACCAGAAGCCATGCAGAGGCAAGTGTGGATTCTTCCCTAGAGCCCGCAGTGGGGGCATGACCCTACTTATCACTTGATTTCAGACCTCTCGCCTCCAGAACTGAGACAGAATACATTTCTGTTGCTGTAAGCCACCCAAATTGTGGTACGTTGTTATGGCAGCCCCAGGAAACCAATGCAGGGGTGAAATCCAAATGTTCATTTTCACTGTAATTTAGAAGAAATTGATATAAAAACCCATCCCAGATAAGTGTTACTGTTGCAATGCCTCGCTGTAAAAAACACAAATGTTTTCTGTAATGTTTCTGTTTTCTGTAACTGCACACACACACAAAATGAACTAATTTAAAAGTATTACAAACAATGCAGGGAAATAATCTGCCAGAGGAGGAGTGAGTGGACATGGCAGAGTGGAGCATTAGAACCTCAAGAATTTGAGATAAATGAAAGAGACCATTAAATAAGTAGGTTTTTAAATGATATAAGAAATATGAGGAAAAGATGTGACACTATGAGAAAAGAAAAGAGGGAAGAAAATAGAATTTCTATACCCTACAGAAAATAAAAAGCAAAATGAAAATAAAGCAGAATAAAAATTCTAATGACTGAAATAAAAAACTTAGAGGGCAAGTAAAATAGCAGATTAATTGTAGTTAAAGAGATATATGATCTGAGGAAATTATAATAGTGACTAATCATTGGGTGTTAAGAATATCTTTTTCTTTTTCTACATATCTTTAAAAGGTATCTTAAATATTTATTCCCTACAATAATTACATAATAATAAGAAAACGTATGTCATCTATATTGACCTTGCTTCTACTCCGTTTTAAAGTGGAAGGAATTCCTGGACAGAATTCCAGTTAATTTTGCTCTTGTGGGTTGAAGCTGATGGATCCTGGATGGTAAGCTCCTGCCCTAGATAACAGTGTGCCATGCTTCCTTTGACAGCTGCAAATGCATGAGTTTAAAGGCAACACAGAAGAAAACCTCCCTTTCTCAGTGCTAATATGAAGCTACAATATGAAAGCAATAGGCCTCAAAATTCAACAACACGTGATCCAATAAAACACTGATCAGACACCTAACATCCAATAAAACATTGATCAGACATCTAACACTATATAAAAGGTGTTATAATAATGGCCTATGGGCGGTGGCTCACGCCTGTAATCCCAGCACTTTGGGAGGCCGAGGCAGGCAGATCATGAGGTCAAGAAATCGAGACCATCCTGGCCAACATGGTGAAACCCTGTCTCTACTAAAAATACAAATACTAGCTGAGCATGGTGGTGCGTGCTTGTAGTCCCAGCTACTTGGGAGGCTGAGGCATGAGAATCACTTGAACCTGGAAGGCGGAGGTTGCAGTGAGCCAAGATCACACCACTGCACTCCAGCCTGGCAACAGAGTGAGACTCCATCTCAAAAAAAAAAAAAAAAAAAAAAAAAAAAAAAGGAAGGATTATGGCGAATTCTGGTTTCAGATGATCTAAACTGAAAGGCACCCAGGAGTCAGAGATGACCGCATTATGAGTTCTCTCTGGGCTCAACAACAGCAAGTCCACAGTGATAAATCATTCCAAGAAGTGTAAGAAGTTTTAAGTAAAGGGAAGAGACTAAGTTTGTCACCAGTGGAAAGATCAGGTGTGGAAGAGCTGGCTGTGCACTTAATACAGAAATTCTTTTCTTCCATTTTCTCTCTTATTCCTCTTTTAAGTCACACAATTCATTTACATGTATTATTAAAACATTAAGTAACTGTACAGTTTGGACATAGATTTGCCAAGAAGACAGTGATTTAATGACTAAAGTTAAAAAAACACTAATTTAATGCTATTCCTCAAAATTTACAGAGTATTATTTTAATGGAACTAAAATACTGGTAACTGTATTTGTAAGTATATACACCCATAAAATCATATAAATATGAGTGGCCAATTGAATCTAAAGTTAAACTTGAATAATAATAAAGCACAAATAACTTCTGTTGTTAGTTTTTAAGGAATAATGTGGTGAGGATTCCCTAGGAAGTATTATAATTGATGAAAAGGATATATATGCATATCTTGATCTTAGTATAAATTACAGGAAGGATCACCAATCAAAGAGAGAAAGGTGGATAATTTAATAATCATGTGAGCCAAAAGAGTGATTTTGGGAAGAAGCAGAAATAAGATTATCCTCTTACATATCAAGGCAAAATATATTCCAAATAGATTAACGGTTTAGTTTAACAATGACGAAAGCCTAGAAGAAAATATAGACTAATCTGAAAATACCATTTTTGATCATTAACGAAGCTCTTCGAATACAATTTCTTGTGCAGAGCAGGGATCGAGAAGATAAGAAGTATTGAAATCAAGAAAAGAGTTTAAGATAAAGAAATATAGCAAAGGGCTGAATGTGCAATACCTCAAATTTGATATTAATTTAATCTGATTCCAAAATTAAACTTCGGATGATTTTTGAAGTTACACATGGTATAGCAAAACAAAATAATTTAAAAGCCAAAGAAAGAGTAAAGAAAAAATAATGACAGTTTAAATTGGATTTGGTAGGGTTAACAGTGCAATAAATTAATGTTGTCTGCTTTGATACACTTTCTAAGAGTGTCAGTGTGACTATAAGGTTCTCAGAAGCAAGAAGAAAGGCTGAATATGGTCATCCATGGAATTTCCATGAATTTATTTTTATTATTCTTAAATCTAGAATTTTCCTATAGATCATAAATGACTGAAGGGTATAATGACCACAGTTTTAATAGCAGTCACAATTGTAATAGTAACAACAATTACCAAGCTAGCCATGTTATATTTGTAAAGAATCATAATATTCAAACACAATGGATACTCTAATAAGTGGATATTAAATTATCAAGGTGTACACAAATTCTGGAACAAATTTTGGTAGCCTGTAAGAACTTTGAATAAGTTCATATTGGGACCCAGAATTCCACTCCTAGGAAACAATCATAAGAAATAAATTATAGATATAAACAAAGATTTATGTTTGGGGTAAATTACAATGTTATTTATACTTGCAAGAAATTGCAAGAAAGTACATGTTCAATAAAGAAATAATGTCTTTTGTTGTTGTTATTTTGTTTTGTTTTTTGAGACAGAGTCTCACTGTGTTGCCCAGGCTGGAGTGCAGTGGTGCGATCTTGCTCACTGCAACCTCCACCTCCCAAATTCAAGCAATTCTCCTGCCTCAGAGTCCTGAGTAGCTAGGATTATGGGAGTGTGCCACCATGGCCAGCTAATTTTTGTATTTTTAGTAGAGACCAGGTTTCACCATGTTGGCCAGGCTGGTCTCAAACTCCTGACTTCAAGTGATCCACCCGCCCTGGTGAGCCACCACGCCCAGTCAAGGAAGAATTACTAAATGAAATTGTTATACACATTTCATAGACTTTTTCAGGCATTAAAATAATGTAGTTTTAAAAATATATGTTTTGATTAAAAATTATTAAAAACAATATGATCTCGGCCGGGCGCGGTGGCTCACGCCTGTAATCCCAGCACTTTGGGAGGCCGAGGCGGGTGGATCATGAGGTCAGGAGATCGAGACCATCCTGGCTAACAAGGTGAAACCCCGTCTCTACTAAAAATACAAAAAATTAGCCGGGCGCGGTGGCGGGCGCCTGTAGTCCCAGCTACTCGGGAGGCTGAGGCAGGAGAATGGCGTGAACCCGGGAAGCGGAGCTTGCAGTGAGCCGAGATTGCGCCACTGCAGTCCGCAATCCGGCCTGGGCGACAGAGCGAGACTCCGTCTCAAAAAAAAAAAAAAAACAATATGATCTCAAAATAAATACACAGGCAAAATAAAAGGCATTTGGGTTATGAATTTAGTGATTGTTTTTTCTTATTTAAATGTAAATTTCCTCGAATTTTTCCATTTTGTTTTCTATAAAGGGTTGTATAGGTCTTTATAAATATTTTCTTCTGTTTTAAAGAACTTTATTGTGAATGGGAGAAGAGACATGGACGAGGGGAGGTAGTTTTTGTTTGCTTGTTTTAGGGGGTGTGTGTGTGTGTTTGACATAGGGAAGATTGAGGATTGGGCTAATAGAGCAGCAAATTCTAAAAATATGACAAAGAATGGGATGAATCTAAGATAAAACCTGAAATCACAGCAGATGGAAGGGGATGGAATTAGGCTCAATGCTAGGGGGATTATCCTTGAAGCAGGACAGAAGTAGAGTTGTAAAGGCACATTTAAGTAAAGGAAAAAAATGTTTAGGGTGTAGATGTCGAATAGCCCAGAAATCCTCAGTGAGGCAGAAGATGGTATCAGAGACACCAGAGAGGTGAGAAGGATGAGCATAAGGCCTTGATATTAGTGGTTGAAATTTTGGAATAATCAATGTCCAGAATAAGGGATGGAGCTGATCAGCAATTGCAAAAGATGCAAAGGAACAAGCTGTGATTGGAGATCCTAACTTTGTCACACCAGCGCTGTAGCGGTGTCTGCTACTCTCCTGGAGTGGAGTGTTGGCTGGCACCTTCGTTGTAGAGCTGAGAAGGTTATCAGCCTTCAGTCAGTGTGGTGGCTTGCTGGTGTGGCATCGGAGGACAGTCTGCTGAAGGGGTTCTGGTTGAGAATGTGGACAGAGAAGTGAGGAAACCAATGCCCCCACGGGGTCAGGCTAGCTGGAAAGGAAGGGAAACCACAACAGGGAGATGATGGGTGGGCGGAAATTGGAGGAGGGGGTCTCAGATGGTAGGAACCACAGAATTCCCCAGGGAAGCTTACTAAAATGTAGATGAATAAGTCCCCTCCCAGGAAAGGTTAGTTCATGAGTGGATTCCAGCAAATTGCCTTTTTAATCCATGAGTCAGGTGGTCTGAGGGCCATACTTCAAGAAAACTTGGGGTAGACATTGTAAGAATCCAAGCTGAACAGCGGGAGTAGCAGAAGGAGAAGAAAAGAGGTGAGAAATGTGAAGGAATAAGAGCCTCTGCTCAGAAATTTAGGCATTACAGCTGAGGGTTTCAGAGGTGGCAAGGTCCAGCCCATGACTATGGTAGCCCCTTGTGGGAGCATGTCAGTCAGAACATCACGGAACTCTGATGTTTGGTCTGTGGCTGAGTCTTCAACATGTTTTGTCAACAAAAATTTTCTGTGTGCTAAGACAATGTTTCCCAAACTCATATTCCATGGAACAAGGCTCTTACCAGAAATAATAAGAAATTCTGAAGAACAACAATGACAAAAAAGTGTTCCATGACCAAGTCATTTGGAGAAATGTGGGCTTAAAAAAAGTCAGGAAGATTCATTTATTATATATTTCCCAGAGCCTTTGTGTTTTATGACTGCCGAATGAGGATAATTTAGCATGCTGCTCTTCCCAGGTGGAAAGGGCAGGGAAGGGAAGGGAGGGGAAAGGGAGAGAAAGAAAACAGAAAAGGGAACAGCAGGATGGGGATTCCTAAACTTCCAGTGGCTGGGGTAGTGCTGCCAGGGTCTTCCTCCTGGCTTGGTCTCCCTCCGTTTTCTCCCTTCTCCTGTCACTCACAGACACTGCTGATTTCTGGAGTAGCAACATGGGCCCTGGGCAATTGATAGGCAGCACCTCTCAGACACCTGTACACTTTCTCAATGTTCATCCTAAAGTCTAGTGAATAGGATTAATGTAGTCAATCCTATTTTCCTAAGAAAGGGGTTCTTCATAAATGGTTTCAAAGCCATGTAATAGAATCATCTGACACCTTCTTACTTACTGCAATTTTGAAATTCCAAAATTGTAAAAATGTTTATTATTTTGTAGCTTATTGCTAGTGGTTTTGGTATACACTATTTTTCAAAGTTTGCTTTTTTTAATGTTAAACATATACCGAACTTAAGAAATAAATGCTTTTGAACATTTATTAAGGTAACAATTTTGCCTTTAGTCTGTGAATTATAGTAGCAGATTTTCTATTATTTGACTTTCTCTGCATCCCTTAGTAAATTCTATTTGGTGATGGTACATTACTATTATTTTTAAAAATATGCCAATGGATTGGCTTGGCTAATTTGTCTTTTAGCAGTTTTTCATCTACATTCATAAGACTGGCTTATAGATTTACTTTCTTAGTTGTTTTTGTTCAGTTTTTCTTAGAGGCAAGCTAGTCATACAAAATTGAGAAGCGTGGCTTCTTATCATCTTTTATAATGTGAAATTTAAAAACATATATATTTTATAGGAATTGTGAGTCCCTGAAGGTTGATGTAGCTTATGCAAAACTATATGGGCCTGATGCCTTTCGATAGTAGTTTACTTTTTCCTAGATTGATGTATTGAGGCCTAATATTTCATCTTCTGTCAAATTTATAATTTTAATTTTCCTAGAAAATAAAGCTTCTAGTATTTTGTCAAATATGTTTAAATAAAACTATACATTATTTTGAAATTTCAAAAATGTTTATTTTGAAAAAATAACATACGCAGTTGGTAAAATTAAATTGTTAAAAAGGTAAGTAGATGGTTGACAGTAAGCCTTCCTTCCTACCGGTTTACAGTGCCCAACCCCCTACCACTTACAGATGGTCAATTTTACAGATTTCTTGTTTAATCCCCCTGCAGAGATATTTTATGTATACACATGTCAATACTTACAGAAGCACACTTTTATATGGAAACAAAGCATGGTATCCTCCTAATGTACCAAGCTTTATTCGACTCTCCTCTTTCTTGAAAATGTAGGTTTTTCCAATCTTTGATTCTGTAGTTCGTAGTAGAATCTCATATTCTCCATTTATACTAACTACTGGAGTTGTTACAAAATAAGGATAGATGAGAAATAATAGATTACGGCATTTCTTACACTAAAGAGGAAGCACATCTCCCCAAAGGTGCAGCCCAGGGCCATGGAGCTACATGAACATAGGGTAAAAGCTGACCACAGAGGCTCACTGGCATAGTCTAGAAACAGTAGCAACTAAACTACTATACTTGTAGAATGAATGAACTGACTATAATGTGGAATTCACTGGACAGACAGAACACAGTAAATTATACAGCAACCCCTGATATATTCAGCAAGGTCTCCAGTTTTGCTGCTCAAGACATGTTCATCCAGCATGCATTTCCTGTGTGCCAGGCATTGGACTGGGCACTGTGAACAGAAACAAGAATTTTGCATCAAAGAGATGAAATATGTTACATTATAAATGTTGTAGCCTCTCTAATTAGATTAGAAATTTCTTAAATTAAAAAAAAACTTCTATTAACACTCAGGGTGTTAATAGACAAGAACAAATATTCTACTCTTATGTACTTTGTTCTTCACTGTCCTAAAATTACTGACTATCAATCTGTATTCCCTACTGTGGGTCCCAGGAATAAAGAAGGAAAAAAAAAGAAAGGATGGATAGTATGAGAATGTCTGAGATGCATTTTATGATGTCAAGGGTAGGGACCTGGGGGACAGATTTGGGAGTGGCACTGAGGTGGTAAAACATTTTCCATTGTTTGACTCTTGAAACAATGGAAAAAACAATGGTTTAATTAAAACAGAGTTGATGTAATTGTCCTTCAATGCCTTTTATACTTTTACTGGAGTATCCACAGGGATTTGTTCTTAATTATCTTTCCTCTACCCGGTATTTGGTGTGCATGTGTATAGTTGGATGATATATGTGCATAATATTGCAGCAAAGTAGACCTTTGTAGGTGTGCTAATGAAGGTAGAATAGAAGCAATTCACCCAGCCATGACTTAGGTCCTTGGTGATGTGAAATCAGACTAAAAAGGATGGTGGCCAGGTGCAGTGGCTCACACCTGTATTCTCAGCACTTTGGGAGGCTGAGGTGGGTGGATCACTTGAGGTCAGGAGTTCAAGACCAGCCTGGCCAACATGGTGAAAACCTGTCTTTACTAAAAATACAAAAATAAATAAATAAATTAGCTGGGCATGGTGGTGCACACCTATAATCCCAGCTACTCGGGAGGCTGAGGCAGAATCATCTGAACTAGAAGACAGAGGTTTCAGTGAGCCACGATTGCGCTACTGCACTCCAGCCTGGGCGATGGAGTGAGACTCTGTCCCCCTCCCCCCGCAAAAAAAGAGGATGGTTATGTTTACCTGTCTCATCTTCTTTTCCATAAAGCAATACGTTTATGGTATTTACTATTTAAAATGCATCTGGATCTCTGTACTTTACACTTTGGTAGAGTTCACATTCTGAATCACTCCATGAATTATTTAATGTTCCATACGTCGTCTGACATCAAGTTTAGAATTGTTTGAATATTATCAATTATACTTATGCATGTTGCCCAGATAAATAAAATGTGTATTCTTTTGAACAGTATCTACCTTAATTTAAAAATTCGCTATTTGTTGTATGTTTCTAATTCATTTTCACTTCAGTTATCAAAATATATTCATGTAATAGCCATTTGATCTCAAAATACTTTTAAAATCTTAAAGTTTGGTCTTTAAAGACATAGGAAGCTGTATTTCATCATTGTCAAGAAAGCTAAAAAACCAAAGAATTTAAATTTGAACTACAACTAAAATTAGCCCAACAAGTTCTCCCATCCTTTCTGAAAGCATGCTTACTGTTCTTCTAAGTGAGGTTTTCCATTACTTTTAATTGAACAGTGCCCCAGTAATGTTTCCAAGTCCACAATGGGTAAACAAAGAGAAAGAGGCAGACTCCACCCTTTTAGAAAATGGTTTTGCCTCAGACTACAAAAGCTTCAAGCTTAAAGACCTTTGAACATCTGTTGACGAACCATAGGTTGCTAACAAATAAATAGTTAAGACTCAATTACTTTGGTATCTCCCCAGAAACAATAATAAGTACATCAGGTCTGTCTCCCACGACTGAGGCTCAGTCTAGATTGCCAAGAAAATCTCCATTGCCCTAGAGATTAAAGGAACACAGAAATGGCAAATAACAGTGTCACTAAATATATAACATTCCATTCCAAGCACAATAGGCAACTGGAACTTTTTTTTACTCTAATGGACCTGAAACACAAAGGAAATTTTTAGTTATTAAATACCATGATTTTACATTATCTCTAAGTGCAAAAGTACAAGTGGAGGCTGGAGAGAAAGAGAGAGAAAGAAGTAGGGAATGACTAAATTATATTTCCCATTAAGAATCCAGAAGTTATGACAGTGGTATAATCAACCTATGATTTATGTCCGGAAACCATTGTCACTGAGAATCTTCAATTACGATTATTGGAATCCAAAAATATGTGTTTGCACAAACTAAAATAAACATAATCTGACCTCCTCTCATGTAGGCTTATTGTGGCTCCTCCCAGGAAAGCAAAGGAGAATTGTGTTCTCTTGTGTTGTATACAGCTTTTATTACATGTCTTTTAATGTTTTTCTAGTTCCGTTTTATCTTTTAAAAGTTTAAGAAGGGGCCGGGTGCGGTGGCTCACGCCTGTAATCCCAGCACTTTGGGAGGCTGAGGCAGGCGGATCACGAGGTCAGGAGATCGAGACCATCATGGCTAACATGATGAAATCCCGTCTTTACTAAAAAAAAAAAAATTAGCCTGGTGTGGTGGTGGGCACCTGCAGTCCCAGCTACTCGGGAGGCTGAGGCAGGAGAATGGCGTGAACCCGGGAGGCGGAGCTTGCAGTGAGCTGAGATCGCGCCTCTGCCCACCAACCTGGCGACAGAGCAAGACTCCGTCTCAAAAAAATAAATAAACAAATAAATAAATAAATAAATAAATAAATAAATAAATAAATAAAGTGTAAGAAGGGCTGGTAGCAAAGAGGTATTTTCCAAGTTGTCACAATAGATAGGGTTCTCTAGAGATGCCTGAGAATCACAGTCCCCTGTTAGCCCCTAGCCTCAAAGTTAGTTTGGAAGTAATGTGAATGCATGCGTTTAATCAATTCCATGAATAGCCTTTACAGACAGACATAGCAATTGAGAGGTACAGATGAGACAAATGAACCTTTCTACAAGGATTTTCCTCAAAGCAGTTCACCATACTTGCAGTTAATTTTCTCACCTATTTCTCCTACTAGTCCTCTGTGAAAGACTTCTGTCCTTGGTCACAATACCATAACTTAAAATGGAAAAGGCTTTCAGCATCCAAAAAGCTTTGGGTCAAGTGGATGGATTTACTTTCTTGGCCTATAGACGACTGGTTTCCCAATTAAGAGAAAGTCAGGCCTTCGGCTCTTGTCCTCCGAACTAAGAGAGGGCTGAAATTGTCTCTGAGACACAGCGAAAACTCTCGGTCCATGAGACAGCAACTGAAAGTATAAAGAATGCTTCACAGTGTGGTCATGAGCCTATTTTATTCATTTCCCAGAGAAATGGTCAATTAGTAGGACCTACAAACAGTTTCTAGACTCCTCCAAGTGTTGCTGATGCAAAACCACAATTTTAGGATAAAATTGTAAATAGTCCATTAACATCACCAAATAGACAGGGAATTTGTATTAACTATAAGGGTGCTACTTTCAGTCTTGGGTCCTACTGTTGATTTTATTTTTGATATTTTACTTTTGTTTTATTTATGATAAGCTAAAGGTTTTTATTTTTGTTGCTCTCCTATGCCCTCCTCCACTCTCAACCTTTCTGGTAACATTTAAAACTTGATTGATTTACAGTACTTTTTTTTATTGTTTGTTTGTGTAGTTTTGTTGAGGTGTAGATAGTTGTCCTCTTTTATTGGTTTATTTAATTGGTTGTTCCCATAGTAACATTTTTAGTACATTTTTTTTCAGAAGGTTGAAGGATGCTTTGGGGCTTTTGTGTGGTGGTCTGTTAATCTTCAACAGACCCTAACAGGATTCCTTTGTGCCTTTTTCTACCCTATTTTTAAGTGACTTGACTTCTTTAACCCTTAGGAGGCTAAGTTCCGTTGCTTCTGGGCACCACATCTTCAGATAAGGTTTGTTTGATGGAATTTGTAGGGTGGGGTGGCCAGTCTGTGACCACAGAATCATTATCATGAGAGATTCAAAACACAGGCTGTAAAAAGGAATCTAAATTTGCATACTATAATTATGAAATTTATATAGCATAGTGTGGCTGTTTATATTTGGTTGTCAATCAAAGGAAGTGTAGCTTTTTTATTTTTGTAGATACTTTTTTGACTTAATTGCTGCTGAGTGGCTATTCTTGGTCAACTACTGTTTGTCTTTGACCTGCTTTCTGTGGGACTTAGTTGTGTCCTCTAAGTTTAATGGACGTTGTGAGACAGAAGAAATGAAATCATTCATGAAACATATTTGGATGTTTGTTCACTTAAACATTTCCACTCTGCAAAGAACTACTCTGAAATCTGGAAGTCAGTATAATAACTTGAAAATGTAAGTTTTAAGCCTTATTGTTACTCAGATATGAAGTTTGTTCTCATATGCATTTAACATTTACTGTGACATAGTGATATGGAAGAATTGTATTTCTGTGATTATTTTTAATAATAACCATAACCTAAAATGTATATCACATCCATCCTAGGTTCTAAAAGAACTTTTCTTGGATTATTTATTAATCCTGATAATAGGATTAATCAGGATTAATTAATTGTAAAACACTGAGTCAATGGGGGGGTACCAGTACTTTTAAGTGTTTATATATAATAGTAACACAAACTGTTATGTCATGAATGGGGGAAAATATGCTAAAAAAGTATCACAATTATTTTTCCTAGGTATTGTGAAATAGTCTAAACATACAAACAAAAGGAGACATTTTAAATTATGTAAAGTAATTTTCAGTAGTGGGATTCATTTTTCAGATATTTTTCCTTCCTGTTGGCCAATGTCTATTAGGATGGATTATTGCAGGGGTCCCCAACCTTTTTGGCACAAGGGACCAGTTTTGTGGAAGACAATTATTCCACGGACCAGGGTAGGGGGGTGGTTTTGGGATGATCAAAGCACATTATATTTATTGTGCACTTTATTGCTATTATTGTTACATTGTAATATATAACGAAATAATTGTACAACTCACCAGAATGTAGAATCAGTGAGGGCCCTGAGCTTGTTTTTTTGCAACCAGAAGGTCCCATCTGGGGGTGACAGGAGACAGTGACAGATCATCAGGCATTAGATTCTCATAAGGAGGGTGCCACCTAGATCCTTCACATGCACAGTTCACAACAGGGTTTGCGCTCCTGTGAGAATCTAAAGCCACCACTGCTGTGACAGGAGGCAGAGGTCAGGTGGTAATGCGAGCAGTGGGGAGCAGCTGTAAATACAGATGAAGCTTTGCTCGCTCGCCTGCCATTCACCTCCTCCTGTGCAGTCCGGTTCCTAACAGGCCACGGACCGGTACTGGTTTGTGGCCCTGGGGGTGGAGGATGCCTGGATTATTGGACCTCCACAAGGTGTTAACAGCAGTTGAATTTTATCCTAATAATTGTATTGCCAGAAACTATATAGCAAATTTATAGGACGTGGAAATGAAACAGAGCTGATGCTCTAGCTTGCATATTTAAGAAGTTACTGCAGATACCCTAAAAACTGAGAGGAGGATTCGTACTTCTCTCCTTTTTGTTCCTTAGGCATAATGCATTCCATTTGGCTGGGCGGATAAAAGGATACTGTGTGTGTATGTACCAGAGACTGTGCTAAGTATTTTCTTTGCATTGTCACTTTTCAAAAGAATAGGAGGCCAGCATATCAGCTAAGAACATGGACCCTGAATTTAGACAGCACTGAGGTTGAACCCTGCCTCTGCTAATTCCTATCTGTGGCCCACTGGTCAAATTCCCTGACTTTTGTGAATCTCAGTTTCTTCATCTGAAAGAAAAGAGTAATAACATAGTGTCCACCTCGTAGAATTTTTGTGAGGACTAAATGAGATAAGTGGGATTGGAGAAGGTTCATTGTGTTTAACTTTTTTTAGTGTGAGAGTTTAGGATTTTTCAGGTTCACAGTGGTGAGGCAAAATGAAAGGGCAGGAGATGGTAACTTGTTGGCAGGACAGAATGACAGTCCAAGTGGTGCCCACTAAGATGCTTTCTGCATGAAAAATGCTGTCATGAATGGGACTAATGGAATGATTTATCAACCAGACATTATTTAAGTTAGAATTATTTAAGTTAGAACACTGATTGCAATTATAATAAAATCTTGGGAAAATATCACTAGACCCAAAAATACAAGTATTCTATAGAGAACTCTATTAATTTATTGTTTGAAATTTTACCTGGTCACTAATTCACTGATCATACTAGGATTCTTGTGTGGTATGAAGGTCCTAGTGCTTACTTATACTATTAGAGAAATCTTGTATTATTAATAGGATTTTTATTAAAAACTCTAAGATAGTCCCAATAAATGGAAATATATGGCTTCTCAAGAGATGCTGTCTTCTGATGATAAGGCTTACTATTGTGTTCTTGGATCACAGATGAAATTATTATTATGTAGTTAATCCTCAGCAGAAGTTAGAAAAGGTGAAAGGTTAGCATTTGGTATAGAGATTAGGACAAGTTTATACGGTCACAAGGTGTTTGTAATTGACGCTCTTAGAAAAATGCATACATGCCCTAGATTAAGTGCTGGAAATCTTTTTCCATCCACTTTTTTCACTTCAGAAAGACATTGTAAAAAAAAAATTTTTTTGAAAAAGGGTCTCGCTTTGTTGCCCAGGCTAGAGTGCAGTGGCATGATCTCGGCTCACTACAACTTCCACCTCCCAGATTCAAGGAATTCTCATGCCTCAGCCTCCCAAGTAGCTGAGATTACAGGTGCGTACCACCATGCCCAGGTAATTTTTGTACTTTTAGTAGAGAAGAGGTTTTTCATGTTGGCTAGGCTGGTCTTGAACTTCGACCTCAAGTGATCTGCCTGCCTTGGCTTCCCAAAGTGCTGGGATTACAGAAGTGAGCCACCGCACCCGGCCAGTGTGTTTTAAATATAAATGTTACAAAAGTATATTACAAAAACTTTGCAGAAAATAGTTCCAGCCTTGGGAAACATGGTGAAACTTCCTCTCTACCAAAATACAAAAATTAGCAGGGCATGGTGGCATGCACCTGTGGTCCCAGCTACTTGGGAGGCAGACGTGGAAGGATTGCTGGAGCCCAGAAACTCAAGGCTGCAGTGAGCTGTGATTGTGCCACTGCACTCCAGCCTGGGCAACAGAATGAGACTCTGTTTCAAAAAAATAAATAAATACAATAATAAGTAAAATGTTTAGAATATATGCAATAAGAAAATTAAAATTATCCTTAATGTTTTAGTTTTAGCTATTATCCCTTATTTGGGCTCCACATAGAATCATGTGGTAACTCCCTTATAAAATTTACCATTTTACACTCAGTATATTGCAAGAAACTTCTATCACCGCATGTTCTCCTACAATCATATTACAAATGAATGCAATTTTGCTTTTTATGAACCAGTTTGCTTCATTGATTCAGTCCCCTAGTTATTTATATTGGGTAAGTTATCCATATTATTTCAAATATTTCACCATGAGAAACAAACTCTTGCAGGTAATTCTTGGTACTAATCTATCATTGCTCCCTTTGCATAAATTTCTGAAAGTTAAATTGGTAAGTTAAGGGGTATGCAGATTTCCTTGGCTTCTGCTATGTAGTATTATGTCAGGAATTATTTTATTTATAAATAACCCACAATTTGAGAACTAATTGTCCCATTAGTACTACTATTAATATTTCGCTTGCAAGTTTGGTTAGCATAAAATATTCATATGGAGGAAAACTATTCATTAACTTCTCAGTATCATAATGTAGTGCAAAGAGCAAATAGGCTCAAAATAAGATGCCCAAGATTAACATGGGAAGACACCAAAGAAAGCCTAGGCTGAAAGCCTCACATGCTGTTAGTGAACACTGAATGCCCGGTGTCTTCACATGAAGGCAAGGGTTGACACACATAACATTCCCCACAAAATTAATTCCCCCCAGAGCTTGGTTTTCTCAATATTTAAGGAAGTAATTCAGAGTCCCTGATAGCCTCCGTGATATTCTTCCCTCACAGGCCCAATTTCAGTGGTCTAGAGAAGCTCAGTGATGCTGAGTTGAGAACCCATATTCAAGTGTTGACTATGCAAAAAGAATGCTGAGAAACCTACAAATGACAATACTCGCTGGGGTGCTGGCAGGGAGGAGAGCAGGGCTGACCACATGACGTGTGGCGTGTGCCATGCGAAGTGTGTGTGCCAAGGGTTTGTCAATAGACTCTGCAGGGCATCATTTTTTTGGCAATAAGACTGCTAACAAAAACATTGTCATAGTTTTGTGGACTTATATGATAATGGAAAGGTATCACATTTAACTACCTGATGTCTGAATTTGGGGCATGAGACTGCACACACCCCAAGTTAGAAACAAATTGACCTGTGTGGCCTGAGGGTTTAACAGACCCTGTTCTTTGGGGTTAAAAATCATCTGCTCCCAGCAAAATTCAACTTTCTGGGTTTTTTTTTTCCTTTCTAAGTGAGGGGCAGGGTAGGAGGAAAAAGGAAGGGAGACCAGCTTTAAATTACTTATAAAAAGGACCCAGAAAAAACTTTTTGGACATCAAAAAGCTCTACAAAACAGGCTTTTAATGATTTAAGTGTAAATGAATCAAAAACATATGGATAACATTTTCTTTTAAAATACCCTTGGGTTCAAAAAATTAAGGAGAAAACTAAATGGCAGAGAACGTTTTAGATTTAGAGGCGTAAAAAATTTTTTTTAAGAAAATAGCTTGAAGAGTTTGAGACACTCCAGTTGCACTTGGGGTTACCCATGCTGATGGGAAGATGAGTGTTAGGAGGAGCAAGATCCCCTAAATGCAGGGGCCCTGGTCAACTGACCACATGCACAAGGCATGACACTGGAAGCCCCTTCCAAATACATGCTTTGATATAGGATCTGGGGAGCAGGCCTGAGGGACAGGTACTGAGAGAACATAACTTGCATTTTCAGACTCTTAGTGATTTAGAAATGCAACATGCAACCACGAACTACTACTAGAGACAGAAGTAAATGTGATATAACCCACCTGGGGGAGGAATGGAGTTGACATGAGGTCTTGTTCACATAAGCATGTCCCATCTTCCATGGGCCTTTTTGCTTTGCAAGAGCTTTGCAGCTTGAAGGTAAAATAATAAGACATTATTAAAATATGTAAATCATTTTATTTTCTGCTCCAGATAATTTCTTATTTGTTTTCCATAGTGCACGAAACAGCAATGAAATTCAATTTGCCATCTAAATTTTGAGTAATTCATGCATGGTACATACACATTGATGTTTACTTTTTATCTTCATAAAGAGTTAAAATCCCGAAGTCTGGAAAGCTGTGAAAGGAAGCCATGAGGGCTTTCCTATCATCACTGCTGGATTTTCTACTGCCACTCAAAGGACTTGAGCCACAGTAAAAAGCTGGAGTCTTTGAGGGTGTGGGAAGCAATGTCCCTTAGGATGAGCAATCTCTCAACTGGGTGGTCTGTATCGATTAGTCAAAATTTAATCCCTAGACTTTGATTACATTTCAAAAAGGAATCCCCCTCCCAAGGTTAAGTTTAATAAAACCATCTTCAGGGTGGTTATCAGAAAGAGACTTGTGCACACTCAGAGTAGCCTGCATATATAACTGGTCTTGTATTTTTATGATCAGGAGGACAATGGAATCCTTGTCCAATAAATCTACCTTAGACTAAGCCTTTGGCTAGCATAGTGTATCACCTGAAAATGCAGCACTCGCCCACCAGCATTAGACAATGGAAACATGGAATGATCAGCACAACCTTTTACTAATCCAGGAAACATCATAGGCTCTCAGTGGGTTTCCAACTCAGTTGATTTAGTTTTAGCAATATTTATGGAAACATATGAAATATCGGGACTAGAGTTTCTGTTTCCATTCATAGGCACGTCATTAATATTTGATGTTCTTTTTCTCCCACTATCTGACTCTGCATCTCACAGAGAACCTCAGTCAGTGTATTTCTCTGTTCTCATTGACTGTCCAACCTTTCAGTCTTTTTCCTGATTCAGCCGAGATGAAAGGGTGATGTCCAAGATTACTATTTTACCACCACCATGTTCAGTGTCAACCCCTGAGCCCCCCTTTCCCACCTCCCTGCAGTTGTTCCTTTCAGTCCCTCCCACTTCCTGATATACCATCCAGAAAAAGTCTCAGATCCACCATGTTTCATTTTCTCTTTTATATTCTGAAATTATTGCATTCTGCTGAAGAGAGAATCACACAGTAGGGTGGATTGCTGCCTCGCTTCATTCATAGTCTTCAGTCTCAGCCAGGCCACCTTCAGCTTTATCCACCAGTCTTTGAATTTGGCCTGAGCTGGCTCCTACTCTCCCCCTCTCCAGGGTCCCTTCTATACATTACCTCTCCTGAGGCTTTTATCTGATGCCACAGCCTCACTCCAAGGCTCCTCCTTTCATGTCACAGGTGTGGATTACCTGGACCTCTGGCCCCTCCTCACCACACTGAAATTCCCCTTCTCTGTCCCTCCCTACCTCTTGTCTCCATGGTCAAAGAATGAGACGCCCTGTCTCGTGTCCAATGCCAACATCTTCAGCGTTGCCCTTGGTCCCATCTGCTTTCCTTCAAGACCGTGATCAATCAAATACAATATTTACTGTTTTATCTTCAACCATCCCTTCTGTCTTGGCTTCTTTCCCTTGGCCTAAATAAATGTTTGAATCTTTGCACACTTAAAAAACAAAACAACAGCAGCAGAAAAACTCTCTGGGCTCTTGTGTCCTCTGTGAGTCGGCCCTCCGACATTCTTCCCTTAGGGATGAAAGTTCTTGCGGAAGTCGTGCCACCTCTCCACTCCCTCAAGTCTCATCCTCTCACTCCACGACCCGATCAGCCTGCATCAGCCTCCAGCCCTCACCACTTTTGGAAAGGCCATCTGAGACCATCTTCTTTCAGAATCTAGTGATACTGCACCAGTGCTTATCTTGCTGGGTGTCCTGGCTTCCTTTGATGTTACGGAACATTCTTTCTACTTGGAATCACTTTCCTGCCTTGACTGTCCTCTCTCTGGTCCTCAGTGACCATTCCCTCTCTGTGCCCTTCCTGGAACTCTCCTGTTTTGCCACACAGTTGTCTGTCTGCTATGCTTTTTAGATATATGCTCATTATGCTATCACCCATTTGGATTTAACCATCATCTGTTTGTTGACAACATCAATTCCATCTTTGCAGACCTGTCTCAATCCTTATTCACATCTTCACACTATTGGTCACTTTTCTGCCTCTGCTCATGCTATCCTCCCTTCTCCCATTTAACTCTGAATCATCCTTCAGATTGGGATCAGTCATCTTCACTTGCAGGAAGCTTTTCCTGAAACACCAGGTTGCTGGTGGCCCTTTTTGTTGCTTCTCAACTCTACTGGTTGGCTTGTCCCTCAGCAATCCTATGTCACTAGGGAATTATCTAGTCTGTGGCCCTGATTCTCACCACCCTGTGTGCCCTGAAGGACACATATACTGAGATTGGGACCTGGTAGCCACTCAATGTTTATTTGAAGAAATATCAGGTTATTTCCTTAATTGACAGGGATTAGTATCACATATAATTTTCAAGATCACAGAATATTAAAATATGAAAGGAATAAATGACTTAAAATTTGTCTTTTTGACTGTATTATCTGCCTATACTATACATATCCTTAAAGTTGTTACTTGCTACACTCTTCTATAAGAACTTTAATTTAATCTCTATAAAATGGTCTTATTGTCCAGTGTAATGCCTACCTGACATAGCTCAATGTCTACCCTGCCCTAACTCTGCTTATCTTTAAGAAACAGGATGCCTATGATTAAAAGTTCCCTTTGTAACCATACCAGCTGAGACTGGTTAGGACCAAGAGGGCTGAAACTTCAAAAATACCTCAGGTTTTCTTATAATCTCATTTCCATGCTAAATGACACTGCCATCAGCACCATGACAGTTGGCAATCACTGTGGCAATGGCTGGAAAAAGCCACAAAAGGACAAAAAGGAAGGTAGCACTCTGGTTCCAAGAAGTTCACCACCCATTTTCAGAAAAGACATGAATACTCCGTCTCTCACTTTTCTTTTCTTTTTCTTTTTCTTTTTTCTTTTCTTTTTTTTTTTTTTTTTGAGATGGAGTCTTCCTCTGTCACCCAGTCTGGAGTACAATGGTGCCATCTCAGCTCACTGCACCCTCTGCCTCCCGGGTTTAAGCAATTCTCCTCCCTCAGCCTCCCCAGTAGCTGGGACTACAGGCATGCAACATCACACCAGGCTAATTTTTGTATTTTTAGTAGAGACAGGGTTTCACCACATTGGCCAGGCTGGTCTCAAGCCCTCCTTTCACTTTGAGTGTCCAACCCCTTCATCAGAGAAACCCTATATCTTAAACCCCTTACCCTTCACTAGTTGAGAAGTTGATTTGTGAACCATGCTCCCTCTTCTCAATTTCATGGCCATGGAATAAAACCTGCACTGTTTGACACTCACTTTTGGTTTTGTATATTGGCTTCCAGTAATCAAACAGGGAAAGACCCCATTTTTGGAGGGACCAGCTTTGTCGGTAACAGTCTAATTTGGAGAGCTAGTTCCTGCCGTTGATTTCTTCCCTTTCCTCTTTCAAAATGTAATTCCCTCAGATAAACCTTCTAAGACCATCCTAACACAGTTCCTGCACATTCATCCCCTATCCTTACCCTAACCCTGCCCTTAGATGAACACATTCGGTATTATGTACTTACCCTGTAATATCAATTGCTATATAGTTCTCATAAATCAATTGCTGTATAGCTCATATCTGAACTTATGATCTTACATTTCTTATGTGATTAGTTTTGGTTTTTACTCTCCCCTAACTCAAGAAGGCAAGCACTTACCTATTTTGTTCTTCACTGTCTTCAATACCAGTCACTATGCCTGGCACATAGAAAGGGCTCAATCAATATTTATTGAGTGAATGAATGAGTGAAGGGAGGACAGATAAATTAGTGGGGGACTATAATTATTCAGAGGCAAAAATGAAGCCTAGTGAGAGAAGGTCATAAAAGTCTTGAGAGCTTGGAAACTGGCCTTACTGTAAAAAAGAAAAACAAAACACTTCCACACAGATGTACTCCTAGGCCAGTAAAGAGCTTAAGTAGGCTTTGTGTTGTTTACAAGAAATGTAGACTTGGTGGGGTGTGATGGTTCACACCTGTGATCCCAGTACTTTTGAAGGCTGGAGGCAGGAGAATCACTTGAGGCCAGGAGTTCAAGATCAGACTGGTGATCACATAGTGAGACCCTGTCTCTACAAAAAAATGAGCTAGCATGGTGGTGGCATTTGCCTATAGTTCTAGCTACTTGGAAGCCTAAAGTGGGAGGATCGCTTGAGCCAGGAGTTCAAGGCTGCAGTGAGCCATGATCGCACCATTGCCCTCCAGGTGGGTGACAGAGTAAGATCCTGTCTGAAAGATAGAAAGAGAGAAAGGAAAAAGAAGGAAGGAAGGAAAGAAAGAAAAGAGGGAGGGAGAGAAAAGAAAGAAAAAGAAAGGAAGGAAGGAAGGAAGGAAGGAAACAAGGAAGTCAAAATGAATCCCATCTTTTTTTTTTTTTTTTTTTTTTTTTTCAGTTTTCTAACTTTATCTTTCCTATTTGGAAAAAAGTGTCCCCATTGTACATGTTTGGCCCCAAATGGTGTCTAAAACAAGAAGAATCAAAGCCTTCCATATATCAGTGGTATGAAAACTCAAGAGAACTGTCAGTCATGGTGCATTTCCCAAGGATTTTGCCCACATAAGTCCTTTTCGTCCTTGTATCTATTGTGTGCCTTACATTTTGCCTGATATGGAAAAGCTGACTTGGCTGTAGTTGCAATATCAAACAGAAATCATACAACTGAAGAAACAGGTCAAAGTCACTTTGTGGAATGTTTCAATGCCAGGCTAAGATGTTTAGGTTTTATGTATTAGGAGGTAATTTTTAAAAACTATGTTAGAATTATACATAAATATGTATTTTAGGGAGAAAATGCTCTAATTTCAGATTGTAAATTGAATTGGTGTTTTCCAGAAATTAAAGATGAATAAACCAATTAGGAGATTGTAGCTTTAATCCTGGTTTTAGGTGATGGGAATTTTAATTACTCCATGTAACTCTATCATTCTCATTCCACAATGGATTATAAAATACAAAAAAAAAGTTAAATGGGGAAAAATAGAATCAGGGAATAGTGACAGAAAAATCACATGGGGGTTCAGAAGATGTAATTCTTACAAGATAGTTATAATTCAGTCATAAATTTGCTTTGGAGCTTCCTGGAGGCCAAAGTAAAACAAGAAACATAATCACATAATTTATATTGCACATATACTAATAATAGCTAATATTGATTGTTTCTAACCTTGTACCAGGTACTGGTTATATGTGTCCTTTTCATGTCACCACTTCCATATATATTTGAAGGCCTCATGTTCTTTATAAATAAGTCTATTAATTAAATCAGCTGATAAAAAGATATTTTACAATGAAGAAATGAAGATTTATGCCGAAAAGCATCCCCCTTTTTTTTCTTTAGAGAATAATCAACCTAAATTAAACTTTTAAATTTTTGGTTTAAGGCAGCCAGCCTGTTTCAACAAAGTTGCCAAATATTCTTAACCGAAAGGAAGCATTGCAAGATATGACAAACAGGAAAGCTAAACAAAAGTCAACAGTGTTGCAAATCATACATTTATGGGAGGAAACGCTCCAGTTCAGCAGCCAAGCCTGGAGCTTAAACCTGCAAGACAGACCATGCTAACATGAATGTGAGTGAACAGGGAAGGATGCTGTGTAATCCTACATCCTGAGGTGCCTGCAGAACTCAGGCCTCGGTGTGCAGGCAGCCAGTGAGGTTAGTGACCTGTAGTGGAAGGCCTTCAGAGAGCAAGTGAGAATACCAGCCCTTAGCTGTGTTGTCACATGTTATCAAAACTAGAAGACTGGACATGTCTTTGACATTAAACTCAAATAATGCACTATTCTGTTCCTCAGTTGACTCCCTGGAAATGAGTGATAAGGCGACAACATCCTCAACATCTTCGAAACAAATCAGTGGGGATTTTCCCTACCTCTTCCTTACAGCACTGTCTGTATGTACGTTAGTAACCTTTTTCCAGTGATAACACCTGGACTATTACCAGGGGTCACCAGTTCAAATGTTGGAGGAGCCAAACAAGAAACAAATGAAGTACATCATTGCAGTTTAGGAATATGGGCCCAGCAACAGGGGAACTATGTTTAAAAAATGAAATTCAAAATACACTTTTAGGCTGGACTCGGTGGCTCACACTTGTAATCCCAGCATTTTGGGAAGCCGAGGCAGGCGGATCCCCTGAGGTCAGGAGTTCAAGACCAGCCTGGCCAACATGGTGAAAAACCCGTCTCTACTAAAAATACAAAAATTAGCCAGCTATGGTGGCATGTACCTGTAGTCCTAGCTACTTGGGAGGTTGAGGCAGGAGAATCGTTTGAACCCAGGAGGCAGAGGGTGCAGTGAGCCGAGATGGCACCATTGCACTCCAGCCTGGGTGACAGAGTAAGACTCCGTCTTTTAAATGAAATCTCCCAAATTTTAAACATCAGCAACAAATTCAAATATTTTTAAAGCCTGCTTGAAGCAATTCTATATGAACTGAAAGCCTCAATTGAAAACTCTCTTAGGAGAAGGTTGAAGCCTTGTGAATTGAATTCCCTATTAATAGTGCGTTTAATAAAGTGGCAAAGTGAGCCGCTGATTGTGGTATTCTCTGGTAAAGATTTTAGGCTTCTGTCTCTAATTAAGGGCAGATACTTGATGACTCAAGCTGACAACAGAAGTGACATCCTTTTGTGAAGATCAAAGTGGTACTAGAACTTACC
The DNA here is from genome assembly GCF_000001405.40 of Homo sapiens. Taxonomy (NCBI): domain Eukaryota; kingdom Metazoa; phylum Chordata; class Mammalia; order Primates; family Hominidae; genus Homo; species Homo sapiens. Next base: position 41,339,372 of record NC_000007.14, on the reverse strand, counting down.
TGAACCAAGATCAAGCATCTTCCATGGAAGCTCAGAGAGATTATCTGTAGGCTGGGCCATGGCTTGCCTTTGGCCAACATTCATTTTGCCCCAGCAAATGAATAATTGAGCATATATATTAACAGGATTCCAGGCCTGGCATGTTGGCTCATGCCTGTAACCCCAGCACTTTGGGAGGGCAATGCGGGCAGATCACCTAAGGTCAGGAGTTCAAGACCAGCCTGGCCAACATGGTGAAACCCCACTCTACTAAAAATACAAAAGATTAGCCAGGCACAGTGGCATGTGCCTGTAATCCCAGCTACTTGGGAGGCTGAGGCAGGAGAATCGCTTGAACCTGGGAGGCGGAGACTGCAGTGGGCCAACATCATGCCACTGCACTCCAGCCTGGTCAACAGAACAAGACTGTCTCAAAAAAACAACAATAAAAAAGAATTCCATCAGGGTAGAAGAACCTGTGAAAAAGGAAGCGGGCCTTAAAGAATTGTGGGAGAATCTGGGCAAAGAAGGTCAGAAGGGGTAGTTGCAAGATCAGAGAGTTGCAAGTCCCTCCAAGCCCACTGAAAGCACTGGAGACAATTTGGATTTTGCAGGGAAATGTGGGAAGCCAAGCACATCTCTTCTCAAAGGGACTACCTGTGGAAAAGTCTAGGAAGCTACTATCTCTGTGTAACCACTGCCTCTGTGTGTCCATAGGCCAGCATCTTGGGATGGGTGATGACCTCTGTTGGTCAGCTCTGAAGTCAGAAAGTCCTGTCCAGCTGGTGCCATGGGCACCTCTGCATCTCCCTGTACCGTATCTGAGCACAGGAAGGTCTTCAGAGTCTAATGGGTCCTGCTTTATCTTTGCCTCCCAAATTTCACACCAGCTTCTCTTCTGGCCAGCTCTGGAATAACAGAGGTAAGGGGATTTTTGAGAAGCGTATTGTCCAGATTGGCTAGGTCAACCACAGAACAAACTAGCACACAGAGGACGCATACTTCACTTTTTACAAACCAGGTCATGATCAGTTTAGCTCGTGCAGTTCCAAAACCATTTTGATTTCTGTGTTATAGATGAAGTCATATGGGGAAGAAAAGAGGGAAGAGGTGGCTAAGAAGTAAGAGGGACTTGGACTTGGATTTGAATCTTGATTACTTCCTTGCTTTATGGCCTTGGAAAAGGCAGTCCATCTCTCTCATTTGTAGTTTCTCCATCCATAAAGTGGGGCTCCTAATACCATTATGATAGTGTTGTCTTAAGGATCAGACACAATGTTGGGAAAATACATAGTGTTGTCCACGGGGACAAATGCTACGTTTAGCTTATTCATTGTTGCAGTCTCTGTGACACCAGAGTAAGCAAGCAATATGTTTAAATCACTATAATTATTGCTTATAAAAGCAATAGAGGCTCTTAAACACACATGAAAGTTTAAAAGAATGGATGTACTGTGGGAATGAATAGCCAATGAGATTTTTTTCCTGATCTTTTTGGAGGGTGATGAAAATGAATTCTCTCAAAGGTTTGTTGTCTGCTAGGACACATTTAGAATGAGTTGGGTTTAATTTTCATAGTAAAAAAGACTGGGAGCCAGCATAATACAGATTCTGTAAGTAAGTATTCTTTCATTCTTTGTCCAAAAGAGTGTACAGTCATGTAATCTCCCTCAAGGTACATAATCATTTTCATTGTCATTCAGCATCCCATCTCTGAGCAGAGTCCAGCTCACATCCAATAAATGGAAGACCAGCACGCTGACCACACACACTGCATCTTTCTCCTTGAACACATGCACACACTGGCCTTTGGTAAGAGGCAGGGCAAGAATAGGGAAAAACAGAGATGCATTCCACAAAGACATTAGCTAAACAAAAGTCAAGTCCACCAGGCGAAGCCATCAGGAAATTGGTTAACATATTTTTCCCCCATTCAACAAAAGATAGCAGGCACTTGTCTCAATATCTCCTTTCATCCCTGAAAGCTTTAAAATTGATTCATGGTTTCATAACTACAACAAAGTAACCTTGGATAGATTAAAATCAAGGCTTTTTTTAATTTGGATATCAACAGCAAGAATCCCACCCAGGTCTTACTAAAAACGACTTTGGCTGACGTTATGAAATGCTTCCTCAAGCTCTTCTTCAGCCAAATGAGAAGTCGTCTGGAAAGGATTCATCCTTTTAGTGTACACAGAAGATCTTCTTCTTGGATCTATAAACTAAGTCTTTAAATTCCACTGTAATTACTCCAAAGACATAAATAGAGCCGATACTATTTCTGGTATCCCAGCTGGCCCTTTAGACAAGGTACACAGCATTTTCAAATAAAGCTTCCGCAAAGTGTGTAGGTATTCTAGCAACAGACAGATGCCTGGAAATTCTAAAACATAGTGTCTAAAAAGAATAGCTTCCAAAAATGCTAGTGTGTAAGACAGGCTCCTTTCTTCATTTTAATTCTTGTACCAGTTGTTAGGATTGAGTTTCTTAGTAAGGACTTAATCCTATTCTGTTTTCAACCACTAACTTGGCTCTCTTTGAAAGTATACTGAAACAATTCATTAAAATACTCATACATAAAGTTTTATTAAGAGGACATGTTATTGCTCTCAGACTCACTCTGTAGTTATTAACCAGTGCAATTTAAAAGCTTTATTTCAAAAGCCAGAGCCTCACAAACCATCCTGGTATTTGTGCTGATTAATACCAACATCATATCCATTTTAAAAATGAACACCACCCATATCTGGAGTATGTCTCAGATTTGGACATGAACGTTTTGCTTTTGTTCTTTGTGGACATGTTTGGCTTTCTTTTCAGAGAAGATTTGTAGAACCGTAAGTTTCCATGCATTTGTTTTCTCTCCATTGTTTCTGATCACTTTTTTATTTTCCCTCTGAAATTTGAATTCAGATTACAGGTGCCATTGGTACAAAAAATGAACATAATTTATTTCCAGAGCCTATAGTCATTTTCATTTCTTGACTTACTAACAAATATAACTGAGAATCAGCACTGTGTTCTTTGATTATTTATCAGTGGATATGTATCAGCTGTTCTGTGGGTTAGCTCCCTTGTAAGCCAGGATCCCTTTGGGCATGACACCAGGGCACAAGGAAGAAGCAAACCTAGAGCTTTAGCACACAACTATGTGAGCTAGTCCACAAGAGGGACAGCCCATTCTCAGTGCTGGCCCTGATGGAGTGAACTGGCACTAGAGAGAGCATTTCCGTCTAGATTTGTGAATAGTATGATGAGAGGATGGTGATATTTAAGACTGGATCAGACAATTTCACATTCTGCTATAGTGACTAAAAGGAGGGGTTTTGAAGTCAGCCAGGACTTGGCCAAATCAAAGTTCTCAGTGATCATGTTGTCTTCCATAACATAACCTGTTTGAGGCTAGATCGCATCTTTTGTATAAAGAAGATGCCATATTTTAATGTCTGGTGCACAGTGTGGGCTGTTATTATTGACTACTCTGTAGTCATTGGCAATATCTGCTCATAAATGAAACCTCTGCTTACAAAGAAAGCCAAACATAGCACACACACAAAAAAGTGGGCATTTTGTGGCAGAAAGACTCTAAGGTGGCCCCCATCGTACCCACCTCCCCATACTCCTCTCTGTTTCATTCCCTCTCCTTGAGGGTGGGCAGGACCTGCAACTTGCTTCTAACTAATAGGACATGGCAAAGGTGATTGGACATCAATCTCATCATTAGGGTATGCTATAACAGAATCTATCTTAACAGACCAAGCTAGAGACTTTCCTGTGGGCTTGATGCATTGAATGGCTGAGATGGCAAAACCCATGTGGCAAGAAACTGCGAGGAAGGCTCCAGGAACTGCCGTGGCTATTAGGATCTGAGGGCAGCCTACGAAAAGTCAGGGCTCTAACCACAAGGAAATGAATTCTACCAACAACCTGCATTAGTCTGGATGTAAATTCTAACCTAGTGGAGCTTCCTAAGGAGAACAAAGCATGGTCAACATCTTGGTTGAGCCTCGTGAGACTGAGCAACAGACTCAGCTCAGCCGTAGGCAGGCCCATAACTCTGACCTGTATAAACTCTGAGAAAATAAATGTGTGTTGTTTTACGCACCTAAGTTTGTGGTTATTTGTTACAATAAAACAGAAAACTATATATATGCTTAACTAGAGAACTTGGCTATTATGCCATGCAAATAAGATCATTTGAATTTTTATTTCAACAGTTATTAAATTCTCTTTCTTCTGGTATCTTTTTCTATGAATCAAAAAAAAAATTGTGATTCCAGGATTTTTCTCTACAATTGTAGAGTCATATGAGAAAGTGGCCCTTCAAGTTTAGCCTGGATATTGGTTGTCATTGAGACTTCATAAGGTAAAGAGCCCAGTTAAGAGAATATATTTTTAAGTACTTCTGCAGTGAAATTTTACAATAAAAAAATGCTTTGTTGTGGAAAGGGCTTGAGAACAGTTTCTACTAAGAAGGAAAGTAAACAGTCATTTGTTCACTTGCCCAATCCTGCTCATCATTAAATATTCAGCAGAATGTCACCCAGTTTTGAATGCACTTTTCATGTCTCTCCCAGGCATGGGAGAACTGCTTCTCTCCTTTCAGGTTCACAGAGCACCTTCACTATGAGCATCTTACTCTGTGTTGTAATTGCCTACTCCATGGTTGTCTCTGCCCCTAGCCCAGCACTAGCAAATTACAGCTCAGGGGCCAAATCCTGCTTACTGCTTGTTTTGTTAATAAAGTTTTATTGAAACATAGCCATGCCTTTTTGCTTGCGCATCATCCATAGTTGCTTATGTATGGTACAATGCAGGGCCTAATGATTGCAACAGAGACTTGTGGCCCAAAGTCTCAACTATTTGCTATCTGGTCCTTACAGGAGAAATCCTGGCCCTAGAGGTAGACCATGAACTTCACGAGGTGGTAGACTGGGTCATGTTCATCTCTGTGGCCTCAGAAGCTAGCCCATAGCAGACCCTGAATTTGTAATTTAGTGAATACAAAGATGCATCAAACACCTGAAATTCAAGCTAACATTAGCATTTATCTTCTAAATCAGACCTTCCCTAGAGAAGCCCGCAGAATTTCATCAAGACTCTGTCACAGGGAAAGAGTCTGTCCGCATACTTTGTATGATCCTGAAAGTTGAAAACAGAATGAAGACAGCTGGCTATTAAAGCACATTCCTATCCTTCATTAGGTCACATTTAGACCAAATTGTCATTTATTAAACAATTTTCACATTAGTTACCAAGTCCATGTGCCTTTCAGGGGACAGTTATCCTTTTTTCAGATTCACTTAGAACCAATTTCCAAAATACTGCTGGTGTATTTGCTGTCCAAGAAACCTTTTAATTTTCATTTGTAAACCTTTTTTGATGTTGCTCCCTTGACAAAAACAGGAAACTATTATTTTCTAGTGGTAAACAAGTTCAAATTCAAGTTAGCCACTCAATTCCCCAATTCAAGACTGTGTTTTGTATACATTTTTAAAAAATCATCTTTCTAATCTTCATCAAATGTATCAAAATTCTCAAGGAAAAGCCAAGTGCCTTAAAATTTTGTGGGAATCAAAGAATTTAAAGATCCCCCCACCACTCCAGATTTGGCTTTTCTCCAAAACCAGTGAAACCTTTCAAATCTCTTGTGATTCACTCCTTCACTATTTCAGTCCCCTGAGATTAGTCTGAGTGCTTTCCCCTTCATTCATCCACCCACAATCTCTTTTACTCCCATATGGGATGTATACAGTAACACTAACCACCAAGAACAAAGCAGAACAAGATGTTTGCCATGGATATCAAGTCTCAAAAGAGACAATTAAATTGATACAAATCATCATTGCTTTCTGAATCACCATAGACTCCAGTATTTTAGAATGCCAATTACTATAAAGTGTTACCTAAAGATTTTATAAACAAATGTATTAAACTCGTAGGGGAAACTTAATGAGTAGGACGATGTTTCCTTGTTTCATCATGATGTTTAGAAAATTCTTCCAAGTCGTTTGATGAATGCCTCAAGGAGAAAGAGACCTCAATTTCCTACTGGGGTTAGTAAACAATGATGCTTATCCCTTCCTGGCCTTTGACTCTTTTCGCTGAGATTGGACTCCCTCCCTTAACACCACCTTCACCTTCTAATCACCCACTCATCCTCAGAAAGGACTGTATTCCCCTTGGTCTGTAGAAATTTACAAAAAAAAAAAAAAACAAAACTGTAATCAATATATAAGGAGCTTTATCTACATTTACCTATTTATCTTTATATTGAATACAATGTTAGCTGTCCTATTTTAGAATGTTTTCCCTACTTAATTGGGTGGACAAAATGTTCATTATTTGATAAAATATTAATGTCACTGATTTCAGTTTTTATATCCTTATTGAACAAAAGATAAATTGTCACTCTTTTATCACCTCCTCCAGTTTTAAAACAAATTTAATAATATATTTAATTCAACCCATTAGATGCAAAATATATCATGTCATTATGTAACCAACATAAAAATCATTAATATATTTTACCTTTCTTCTTAAAGTACTATATCTATGAAATCTGGTGTGTATTTTACACTTACAGTCACATTTGTGACTAATTTGAATTAGTCACAAATCATGTTCTCAATTTTCACATGTGCCTAATTAGCTATCATATTATATAGCAAAGGAAAATGTCTTGATTAAATTGAAACTGACCACTCTGGATGATAATAGTCCATAGGTGAGGTTGTATTCTTCATATTCAATTCTTCCAGGAGACCCACGATGTCCAATTCTTTCACTATTCATGACATGAAGTATGGTCATTTTATTAAGGAATACCTGCAATCCCTTTTCATTGTAGAAGATTTTTCCTCCTTTCAAGTAGTAAATGATCTGTTGGATGATACATTGGCTCTGTGTGAATTTTCTACTACTTAAGAAACCAGCACCAAATGATTCTTACATTCACTGATGATCTCCACTTGAATCCCTAAATCAATAATTGCATTATGTGTTGTAAAATAGTTTTTGTATCATCTTTTCTCTTATTAGATGTCATTCTTCGGTAGAGAAAAGCTTTTCTTTTCCTTTCTCTTTTACTATTACTTTTCAAAAATTTCAAAATAATCATGTTTTTAAATTTAAAATGCTCCTTCACATTTCCTGAGGGTTCTTTTTCTATTGTATCTTGTTCTTGTTCCTTGGATGTAAATTTCTCTCAACTTACTCTGAATGAACTAGATGGTTCTTGGTTTGGTTTAATTTTGAATCCACTTTATTAAGATAGCCATGACCCAGGATAAAAGTAGTCAGGGTCCAAAACTCATTCCTCCAATATTTAAACTGATCTATGAAGTCACAAAGACTCTAAGGACTTAGAGCACTGAGGAGTCATTAAAATAGAGAAGAGGAGGGGATGTTGGGAGTGTTTATGACTCACAGAAGGCCAATGACTTATCTAAGTTCTCTCAGCTGGTTAGTGGCAGTGAAATAAAGTGAATTATAACCTAGATCACTAACTCCTGGACAAGTGCACTGCTTAACATTCTGGGCTGCTCTCTGCAGAGCTAGTGTAGCCAGCTCCTTCAAGAGCAGTCAAATCTCATTTGTCATTAAACCTGAAACTTTTCAGATGAGCCCTATTCTTTTTTTTTTTTTTTTTTTTTTTTTTTTTTTGAGACAGAGTCTCGCTTTGTCACTCAGGCTGGAGTGCAGTGGTGTGATCTTGGTTCACTGCAACCTCCACCTCCTGATTTCCAGCAATCCTCGTGCATCAGCCTCCCGAGTAGCTGGGACTACAGACGTATGTCACCACGCCTAGCTAATTTTTGTATTTTTAATAGAGACGGGGTTTCACCATATTGGCCAGGCTTGTCTTGAACTCCTCACCTCAGGTGATCCACCTGCCTCGGCCTCTCAAAGGGCTGGGATTACAGGCGTGAGCCACTGCGCCCAGCTGCCCTATCCCTTTTTAATTGTTTCATTTTATATCTTCAGCAAATTTGCCGATGTAGGCATTTCTAAAATCCTCCGAAAATTGTTTTGAAATTAATTTTATCTTGCTCTATACTTGTGTCATCTCATGAACTACTTCCCCAATGGGGGCAATTGTCATGTAAATACCAAGGGCAGAGATACGTAGCAGAAACTCGTGATACCCAACATGTCCCAAAGTGTTGTTGAAAGAACAATCATCTCACAAAACATCCTGGAAAAAAGAGGGATGGTTAGAGAGCAAAAAAGTCTGAACCACAGTTTATTTTTACCACAAATACTGCAGATTTCCACAAAACAATTCAGCACATGCCTTCTCTAACGCTTCCCTGGTCCATGGCAGTTCTAATGTTAATATGATGTTTTAAGTCTTCATAAGTATATAAAGATAGCTTTTCAGGGTTAAATAACCGACAGAACAACGAGATATTTGTAAATACCCTTGTATTCTTCAATGGTAAGTACCAATGTATATGCATATATTTCTCATAAATGACTAAGGCGCTGAAGTATATGTGGGGCTTGCAGGCACCAAATGAGAATCACAGGGGTTGGGTCCAGTGCTTTGGAACTTTCCGATAAGCATCTCAGATGTTTGCTGGATTTGTAGGTTTGAGACCCACCGATCTATTGGGATAATGGCCGAGGCAAATGTGCATAAAGAACTGGTCAGGGCCGGTGTGCTCAGTGGTATCTCTCACACCACAGAGATGCTGTCAACCAGTGCAGAGGGTGCCATCAGCTTCCCGCTCCCACTCACTTGAGTCTGCCTTTCCCTCCATTCCCAGTGGATGAGGTTCTGGGGATCACCTTATGGTGCCTGGCATTCTACCTTGCCTCTGACTGCACACCCCAGTTCCTCGCCCCCAGTACCTTTTCACCACTTAGATACACCTTTGCCCTTTTTGTTTCTGTGTAATCAGGCACCACTCCTGCCCTCACAGAGCAGGATTTATCAGGATCCTTTCCTCATGTCTCACCGCCACTGCTGCTGGGGGCGCCCATCACAGGTTCTCATCTCTTGCTCAGGATGAGCATCTAGGCAGTGAGGAGGGCCCTTCCACCCTCACTCATGGACCAGCGGCCTCTGGGAACTTCACTCCCAGTCACGTGAGTTCTCAGGCCTGGGTTTGGCAGACTTGAGATAGACAGAAAAGGAAAGACAGCTAATTGGATGTGAAATAGGAATTTTAATTGAGATGCAACGTAGTGTATATAACCTTTTGATATCTAAATGATGACGGAAAATAACCAGAAAGTGGGGATCCGTTTGAGATCACCGAGCAGCCAGGATGGAAGACAACAGTTCAGTGAGTCTAAAGGCAGAGATGGGAAAGAAATGCAGCTTTTTCCTGATGGGATTCTACCAAGTTTATCCCATTCAGTAACCTAATATAGGTCCAGTAGTCTAGATGTGTGGTGTATTGGCACCATAGGCAACATCACGCCTTTTATTTACTGCTCTGACATTTACAGTGTGTCTGAATATCTGGTAAAAGACAGCATAGACCTTATCCTTCTGCAAACAATTTTAAATGAGCTTGTCAAGCCTCCTTCCTCCATCCCACCAATATCCTGCTGGAATTATGTATGAGATGTCATTGAATTTACAGATTAATTTGGTGGTTTTCAATTGAATCTTACCAATGTTAAGGCCTCCTATTCATAAATATGTATCCAAGTTTTCTTTTAAATCTGCTAAGAGATTTATGGAAATTTCTCCATAAAGGACTTGAGTAAATCTTTATAGGTTAATTCCTAGATATTTTATAGATATTTATCTCATTTTAAATGATTTTTCGTTATATATTCTAGTTAGCTATGCTAACATCTCTGTCTCTCTTCCCCTAGACTGAGTGAGGTTAGGTATCTATGCTCATATTTTTTCCTTTACAAAACTCCACTGTAAAATGATCACATGGTACAGAATGTGACTATTGTTTAAGGACTACTTACTCTACTGCACTGTGAACCCCTTGAGGGCAGGAATGATCTCCTATTCACTGTTGTATCCTCAGCAACAAGCTCAGGTATACTTGTCTTTCAGGGTTTACTGAATGTACATAAAAACACATACCACAATTACATTATAATAATATGGTTAAAAATATCTGGAAATAAAGAAGATAACCACTTTGACTGAAGGCTCATATCAGCTAAATAATTTATCTGCTAGGTAGGCAGTTATGAGGTCATCCTTATAATCCAACTCCTTTTCCTCCCTCCTTCCCTCTTCTTGCTTTCTCTCTCTTTCTTTCTTCATTTCTACTTCCTTTTCTTTTCTTTCTTTTCTTTCTCTTTCTTTCTTTCTTTCTTTCTTTCTTTCTTTCTTTCTTTCTTTCAATTGAGCTTCTTGGAAATGGATAAATCAAAGGCAACTTATTATAATATAAATGCCTAAGATTCTAGTTCTTCCAGTTCTAAATAATGACATGAAAAGTCATATTGCTATATTCTCTGCTTCTATGTCTCCCCACCCCTCCCAAGTTAGTCTCTCAGTTGCCTAAATTCAAGTACAACTATTTCCCCAGCAGTAAACCCAGACCAAGAAGTCGGGCCACAGGAAGCCATTGGTTGAAAACCCATTTTGTAGATTGCAACTGATGTTGCTAATTGCACAGTCATCTGCTTATCTGTTTCTCATCACATTCTAGCTTTCTGTGTCCTAACTTCAAATTTGATAATGGTCCAGGATTCCGTGTGTAATCCATTGGGAATTTAGAGTGAGGTGGCAAGAAGCAAATGAGCAAAGTGGGAAAGAAAGGGCATGAGCGTAGTTACAGAGCCCCTGCCACTGATTTAATAAGGCCTGGCTTCAAATCTCAGGTATCCCAGGAATCATTTCAGCTGTCATAATTATTAGGCCATCATCATCCTTTAGGATAAAATAGACTGAGATATTCAGTAAAAAACATTTTTAAAAAAGCCTACAGAACAACAATAAGAACAAAGCATAAACAAACGACAACAACAAAACAGTTCCTTGGGAAAAAGCATTGCAAGCAAGAATCGGAGGAAACTATCCCTGTCTACTCACCCCCCCACCACCAGAAGGAGCCTCCCATAATTACCTCTCCCTTTGGCCACTGTCTCTGATCCTTCCGTCCCTGGTAGAGAAACATGCAAATAGAAAAGAATTCAGACATCTGGAAATGTTTTAGTTATCACAAGTTTTAGTAACTTTTCAAAGAGAAACATAAAATTGAGTGAAAAGTCAAACAAAGATTTTGGTTCACTAGAGGGGTAACAACCTTCCTTTTATCCTGTTCATCTCTCATTTGATGGGATTACTCAGGAAATGTATTCCTATTTTGATTTTAAATTGCTCTAAAATATGTGACTACATAAATGTAATCCAGAGTGAATCTGCCGGAAAAAAAAATTTGGGGAAGAATCACTATTTTATTGCATTTATTACATTCCCTTTTTGTTCCTTGTATATGTCATGAGAATCCATCGATCTGTATTATCATTTTGGGAAAACATCCCTGAAAATGCTATTTGAAGTATCCAGCAAGCCTGGGGTAATCTGGCTATCAGATGTTGGCTCAGTGATTGAGGATGTATAAAAACAAACTGAGTACTAATGTCATCCACCAGTCTAATTTCTGCTGAAATTACCAAAATGGATGAAAGAGTATTTACACTGTGTTCTTGTTTTTTGTAACTTAAGATGCAATTTAGTACACTTTTTGGGTTTTAAGCTCATTTTCCTAACCACCAACATACTAACACACTACCTTGCACACAGAGCACATGGAAACTTCTTGCGTACACAGGCTTCTGGGTCTGACTCCATCCCCTAACTAAATGGCTGATCCTTGTTGATTTCCTTAACTTGCCTGAGCTCGTTTTCTGTTCTCAAAAAATAGAATTAATAGAAAAACACAGTGGTACTTAGTTGCTAGATTTATTGTGAACAGTAAATGAGATAAAACAAGAAAAGTAATGAACACAGTATCTAACATCTTATGTGACAAACGTTGTCAGAACTGAAAGGGATTTTCAGGAACATCTCATACAAAGACTGCTGTATGCATTTTTAGGGAGAGGGTCCTAAATGATCCTCAAAGGAGTCTATGACTCAAAAAATTTAGAATCATCTGTCAGTCTTATTGACTTGTAATTAATCTATTTGCTAAAAAGGAAACCTAGGCCCAGAGAGGGTAAATTAGTGTCCAAGGTAACACAGCTCCTTAGCAGTACAATAAAAACTTAGATGCCTCATCTCTCAGTACTATTATCCTGTGTCCAATACTGTATTCTATTATACTAATGTTGTTTTTAAAAGCATCAATATGAGAGAATATAATGAGAAAAGAGCATCTAGAGAGAGACCATGGGGAACAGCACAGAGTAAATGACCTTAGCCTGGTCTCAAGGATTATTTGAACCAATTCCAATAACAGAAGTAACAACACAACATTAAAAAAAAAATACCCAAATAGTAAAAGTCATTGTCCTATAATAATACACTCTATTATCAATCCCAACGAATCCATCAAAATTAACATCATCTGACTCTGCAAAAAGAGTAAAACAAAGTCCCTACCCTCCAGAAATTTCCTGTCCAGGCAGCACTAATACAAGTCTGAACAACTTTGCTATTACAGAGGCACAAAGAGGCAAGAGAAAGTAGAAGAGGGAGATACTCATTCCTATTGCAGACATGGCCTTTTTTCATGGAGTTGGATGGCAAGGAGAGAGAAATATCTTTAGATGTATCAGCCTGGTCCCTGGATCTTTTGTGATGATGATTTTCTGGTGCCAGAAAAGTGTCCAATATAGGTTAAGGGAAAAAAATCTCAAAGTATAATATCCTCATAGTTGTATTGACTCCCTAGCATGTTCTTCTCCATTAGCATAGAAAAACTAAGTGTACTTATGTATGCCCACATGAGCAAATGAGCAAAGTGGGAAGCAAATGAGCCTCAACTTCTCTAATTCCTGTTGGCCTTGGATTTGCTCTTCAGAGAAACCTACGCGACACTGGTAAGTATATATCTTTTTCAGCTCCTAAATTTTGTTCAGATATAGAGCCTTTGAGAAATGTTCCGGTGCATGCTGCGTTATAAGATCGCATACCGGTTGTGATTATGATCAATAAACTTGACCATTAAAAGATGTGACAATAAATGGCTATAAAGTTTACATTTATGTCCCAAGTAATTATCATAGTAAATATAAGAAAAATGCTAAGAAAAGAAATACCACAAGCCAGAGATACGTACACTAGCCATTAACTTGTATTAGCTTCACTGAGTGTTTGCAAACAGGACATTATATCTTTCTCCCAGGAGAGCAAACTTGGCTGTGTTATCAAACTACATGATAGTTATGGCCTTCAAAGAACCAGTGGCATAGGCCGGGCGCAGTGGCTCACACCTGTAATCCCAGCACTTTGGGAGACCGAGGCGGGTGAATCACAAAGTCAGGAGTTCGAGACCAGCCTGGCCAAGATGGTGAAACCCCTTCTCTACTAAAAATACAAAAATTAGCTGGGCACGGTGGTAGGCACCTGTAATCCCAGCTACTCAGGAGGCTGAGGCAGGAGAATCGCTGGAACCCAGGAGGCGGAGGTTGCAGTGAGCCAAGATCATGCCACTGCACTCTAGCCTGGGCTACAGAGCAAGACTCTGTCCCCAAAAAAATAAAAATAAAAAAAAAAACATAAACAATCCCAAGGAAAGTGGGAGATTTAAACAGAGATACGTGTTCATCTATTTACGGCAAATTTAAAACCACGATGTATGATTTGTGTGTGAATGTTTTAATGACTTTTCTGATAATGTAAGTGATTAAATGATTTCCTGGCAGAAACTTTATAGGTAATTTTTCTAGTTTCTCCATTTCAGAACAATACATTGGAAAGCCCAGTCTTTGTTTCTCAACAGGTCTCTTGGCCTTTTCTGGGATGCAGATGAGGGGTCTTTTGTTGAACTCTAAGAATGAGTGCAGTGGACAGGAAGCCGGCTAGAAGCTGGAAGTCTGGGGTTCAAGTGCCACACAGCTACCACCTGCCCGTGTAATCTCAGACAGTGGATTTCCTCTGCTGGACCTCAGGATCCTCGTCTGTATACCAAGAGTGGCCTGTACAGTCTCTTCCAGCTCTAAAATGCTATGATTTACTAGACGTTGGTCTAATAATTAATGTATTACCTCTTTTTATTTCTTTAAAGTGCTGTTGAGTTCCAGAGAGTTTTATTACAATGTGGAAACCAGGTGTGGTAGGCAGAATAACGGCCCCCCAAAGATGTCCAGGCCCTAATTCCCGGAACCTGTGAATATGTTACCTTATCTGGAAAAAGAGCCTTTGCAGATGTGATTAAGTTAATGATCTGAGATGGGGAGATTGTTCTGGATTATGCAGGCGGGCTCCGTGTAATCACAAGGGTCCTTATAATGGAAAGAGGGAGGTGGGAGAGTCAGTCAGGGAAGGAGATGCGATGACAGAAACGGATGTTGGGGTGTTGATGGCTGGCTGGGGGCCATGAGGCACAGAATGGGGCAGACAGCAGATGCTGGGAAACCAGGGAATTCACTTAAATATCCTGCTTGTTGTTTTTTAAATTTAATATTTTAAATCTTTTTTTTTTTTTTGAGATGGAGTCTCACTCTGTTGCCCAGGCTGGAGTGCAATGGCAATCTTGACTCACTGCAACCTCTGCCTCCTGAGTTCAAGCAATTCTCCTGCCTCAGCCTCCTGAGTATCTGGGACTACAGGTGTGCACCACCACATCCAGCTAATTTTTGTATTTTTTTTTTTTCAGTTGAGACAGAGTTTCACCATGTTGGCCAGGCTGGTCTTGAACTCCTGACCTCAGGTGATCCACCCACCTTGGCTTCCCAAAGTGTTGGGATTACAGGCCACCGTGCCTGGCCTAATATTTTCAATCTTTTGTTGACACTATTTTGTGAAATTAGCATCCTCAGGAAGAAAATTATTCTTAAAATGCACGACCCAAAGTATTGTGTGTACCTGCATGTGTCAGGATAGTCTTGGGAAATCAGTTTTCTAACCTTATCTGTGAAATGAGAATGCTACCTTAGGTTTAGCTCAGGACTTGGCAAATTAATCACTCAAACCATAGTCATTGTGAATGATCACAAGGATGTGGGTGAAGACGATGTAAGAGGTGAGGAAGTTGGTCACCAAATTGGAGGAAACAGAACCCCTCTCTCCTCCCTTGTCTTTCTGTCTTGAAGGAAAAGCAAAACCTTTTGAGCTTTTTCCCAAAGGGAACCCAAGTGTGACTGTGGCCACGGTTCTAGCATCTGCCAGGGCATTTCAGTTTTCTTAAAGCACAAGGTATCTTTCTGTTGTGCTTCCTGACTTGCATTTAAAGCAGACATCCTCGGGGTGATTCCACCACATCCTCCTTCATCATTCCCTCTGTAAGAAGGACTTAGGACTGGAATGCTTTTAAAGAAAGACCACGAAAAAGAAAGAGCCTCAGGCCTCTGAGTAATGATATTGTGGCCCCTCCTTCTTTGCCCCCCACTATGCCAGGCAAGACCAGAGTAATCATTAAAACATTTTATAATGAAAACAAGTCCCTTATTAAAAGGAGTGAAAGTGATCTAAGTCATTTGCTTTGTCCTAACACTTGGTAAAAAGTGAACAAGCTTCGCCTACAAAGAAGACAGTATTGTGGTTTTTCTCTCCATTTCAGCTGCTAAGAGTGTTAGGGACCTCTCCTAAGAACAGAACTGTGCCTGACAACTGTCTTCCAACATGGCTGATGCTCATGTGAAGATTCTGAGTGCCTCGATCCAGTGATGCAGGAATGGTTTCCTTGTTTGTTTGTTTTTCTTTACAACTGTTATTGCAGAAAGCATGCTATAAACTGAGACCAGCTATAAAATAGGAATAAGTAATAAAAACAATTGTAAAACACATTGCAAACATGAAGTGCCATGCAAATGCTTTAAATAATAAGTACCCCCTGGCTAGTCTACAGCATGGTTTATAAATCCAGTGGTAAGAGACAGGCACCAGGCAAGATTAAAGAATGCATGTAATGGCCAGTAAGACCTGGGTTCAAATCCTGGCTTGCCCCGCCTGTGATTAGCCATTTAATCTTGACCTCGATTAACATTGTTTAACTTCTCCATGCTTCAGTTTTTTTATGTGTAAAATGGGGCTGTAAAATATCTATATTATAGGGTTGCTGTGAATCTTAAATTCTTTGCTAGGTACTTGACATAGAGGCTGGCACATTGAAAATCACTCAAACTTACATTTCAAGGCAGAAGTTTTCTCTCCCACAATCAAAGTCACTAGACAACAAAAGTCACTCCCCAAGAATCTTAAGAAGGGAATTTAAGGCCAAAAAAATGCTCAAGAAAAATCAAACAGAATGGCAATAATAATAAAGAAATTGATTTTAAAAGGCCATGGTCATGCTGGGATATTAAAGGGTGAGATGGCTCTTCAGACCTTAACTTTATCCCAAGGAACATTTAGGCTGGAAGATCTGCTAGATACAACTTTCTTTGCTTGTAAATATGCTCTAAGCTGTGCTCTCTGGCCACTATCTCAAAGGTATTTTCTTTCTTTTGTCTCCAAATTTTTAATTAAAAAACAATAAAACTCTTTGAAGTACCCCTACTCCTGCCCAACCCATTCTCCTTTTCACCTTAGAAAATGCTATCACCCTAAAGTTGGCAGGTACCCCTCTCTCTGGGATGTTGCAATTGTATTCCACAATCTGCACTCGTACCAATATATAACATGATGTGATTTTTTTGAAAAAAAAAAAAAAAAACAAACTATATAAATAGTATACTGTGAGTAGCCTATCCCAACTTTTTGTTCATGTAACATATTTTCAAGATTTACTTGGGTAGGTATATGTAGATTTAGTTTTTCATTTTAAATAGTATAGATCAGCCTTTAGAATACAATTTATTTTTCTCACACCTTTATGGGTGAATATTTAATGTTTCTGATTTTTCCTGTTACATACATCATTGTGTGAAATTGTCCTTGGTTGCGTCCTTTGTGCATATGTGCCAGAGCTTCCCGGGAAATGGAACTGCTGAGCAGTAGAATCTGCACATCTGTAACTTTACCAGACAGTGCCAAATGACCATCTGAAAAGGTTACAGCAACTCAGACTTCCACATAGCAGAGCATGGGGGTGTCTTTGCCCCACATCCTCATCCACACGTTGTAATACCAAACTCTTAGATGTTTGCAAATCAGATAGGTAAGAACTGATATATTGTTATTGTTTTACTTTGCAGTTACCTAATTTACTTTTTCCATCTGGATTGCTAATTATCACACTATCATTTACTAAATCTCTCATTCTTCCCACAATGATTTGTAATGTCACTACTCTCAAAAACCAAGTTTCCATATATTGGGAGGCCTATTTCCTAGCTTTCTATTCTTTCAATTAGTCTGTTTATTACCACACAATCTTAATAAAGGTCTTGTTTTCTGCATAGTGAGTCCTCTATTATTGTTATTATTTTTAAAAATCTTCTAAAGTATTCTTGGCCCTCTATCCTTCAATATAAATTTGAGATTAAGCTTGTCAAAGCTATTTTAAATGCTTATCTGAATTTTTATTATAATGGAGTCTACTGTCTATTAATTTAGAGACAAATTTATGACATTGAGTCTTCTTATTCATGAACATGGTGTATTACTCAATTTATACTCTTTTGTTAGTTTCATAACAAAGTATCTACTATGTATCTATTCCATATTTGTCTTGCGTATCTTTTGTTAGTATTCTTTAGTTAGTCTTGTTAGTATTTAGTTAGGTATTTCTGCATACCTTATACATTTTGTGGCTATTTTCAAATAGCAACTTTTATAAATAACCATTTCTAGTTGGTTGTTATTGGCATCTGTGAAAGCTATTGATTTTTGTATTCTAATAATATACACCAAAAGCTTACTGAAGTTTCTTATGAGTTTTAATAATATATTTGTAGGGCCGGGTGCAGTGGCTCACACCTGTAATCCCAGCAATTTGGGAGGCCACGGCAAGTGGACCACGAGGTCAGGAGTTTGAGACCAGCCTGGCCAACACGGTGAAACCCCATCTCTACTAAAGATACAAAAAGTTAGCCAGGCGTGGTGGCGTATGCCTGTAATCCCAGCTACTTGGGAGGCTGAGGCAGGAGAATCACTTGAAACCAGGAGGCGGAGGTTGCAGTGAGCCGAGATCACACCACCGCACTCCAGCCTGGGCAACAGGGTGAGACTCTGTCTCTCTCTCTCTCTCTCTCTGTCTCTCTGTCTCTCTCTCTCTCTCTCTCTCTCTCTCTCTCTCTCTATATATATATATATATATATATATATATATATAAAATATATAAACATATATATATGTAGATTATTCTTTCCATCTTGAATGATTTTCTTAGTGAAGTAATTTACAATGCAATTACAGAATGCAGAATGCAGAGAGAGAGAGAACCAGACAACAGGAAAGGGCTTGGAGCACAAAAGTCAGACAGACCTGAATTCAAATCCTGGCCAGGCCTACATCTGATTAGCCATGCATCTTTAAATACATTGATTGACCTCTCTGCAGCTCAGTTTTCTTACGCATAAAATGGGGCTAAACTATGTTTATATTATAACATAGTTTAACTGTCATCTTTTATAAGATAAACCTTATCTTATAAGGTTTCTGTGACTCTTAAATTAACTATTAATAATAATATTAACATTAATAACACCAAAAATACTTACTCTGTGCCAAGGTCTCTGCCAAATAGTATAGAGGCTGGCACATTGAAGGTGCTCTACCTAACATCTCTCTCTCTCTCTTTCTTCATACACACAAACACAAACACACACCCCTTGTGCTAGGGAAATGTGCTAGAGGAAAATACAAATATCAAATATCACCTCTCAGGGTTTGGTGGCTGCTGGGATGGCGAATACTCAGAAAATTATTCACACTTAAAATTTCTAATCTTATCTTAACTTTGCCTGGCTCCAGTTATAATGTGAGAGCTCTGAAAATTTCCAGCAAAAACTCACCAAATTTTTAATCCATCTCCACCCCCAGCTTACCAAGAGCAGCCTCAAGACCCTCTTTTGTACTTGTAGGGGCCGTTCAGCCATCACACCCTATTGAACACATCTGAACTGCATCTTAAGATTTTTATTAAGCGTATGTAGGAATACACAAAATGCAAAAATTAGCTGGGCATGGTGGCATGTGCCTGTAGTCCCAGCTACTCGGGAGGCTGAGGCAGGAGAATCGCTTGAACCAGGGAGGTGGAGATTGCAGTGAGCTGAGACTGCGCCACTGCACTACAGCCTGGGTGACTGAGTGAGACTTGGTCTCAAAAAAAAAAAAAAAGAAAAGGACCAATAGAAAGAATAGAAAGCCAGGAAATAGGCCTCCTTATATATAGAAACTTCGTTTTTGAGAAATGTGAGATTACAAATCAAATCTCTGGGTATAAGATGAAAACTGTTCAGTGGAACTAAGTCTCAGCATTGACCTAAGCAGCTTGCAGTTCAGCTGTGGAGGGGCCCCTAACTTCACATCAAGTATTGGGTGAGTAAGGAGTTACAAATGAGACAGGGGAAAGGTTAATAAGAAAACAAATTTCTTAATTTCAGAAGGAATGTCAAACATCTAAGTTTGGAAGAGGACAAATAATTGCAAAATGCCAATAGTGTATTCATAGGACATTACAGTAATAATGACCATGCAGAGAGTAAAACCAACCAACTATGACTTCCACTTCCATCTGGGTGGATGTTTTAGGAGCGTGGTGAACATTTGTTGTTTTTCTCCCAAGTATCATTCTTTTAGCAGGCAACAGCTCTGGTCTTGGCTTGGGGATTCCTCTTCCTCACTCTGCCCATGTTGCCTGCTGAAGGCTTCAGTTGGGGTGAAAGGCAGAACTCATAACTGGAATGACCCTGGCCAAAGAGACTATTAGGATGAGCACAAAACTAGCTTAACACCTTCGAAGTGAGTCTTACAACTTTGTTGTAAAGACCCAGAAGGTTGTCTCTCTTCTTTTTAACTCAAAGTTATGAGAACGTGAGCTCTGGGTGACTGCAATACTATGCCACTGGATTTGTTTCTTGAGGCCGCTATTTAAAAAAAATCCTAAAAACTTGGTAACTTGAAACAATAGAAATCTACTCTCTCACAGTTCTGGAGGCCAGAAATCCCTTATCAGGGTGTCAGTAAGCTCCCACCAGAGGATCTAGGGAAAGTGCTTTCCTTGCCTCATTCAACTTCCTGGCTGGTGACTGCATCACTCACATCCCTGCCTCCATCTTCACAAGGTCTTCTCTTCTTCCATCTGTGTCCTCTCCCTTCCTGTCTCTCTTTATTTTTTTTTTTCCTGAGATGGAGTCTCGCTCTGTCACTGAGGCTGGAGTGCAGTGGTGCTGAGAGGTGAAGACAGCTGGGCTTCTGGGTAGGGTGGGGACTTGGAGAACTTTTCTGTCTAGCTAGAGGATTATAAACACACCAATCAGCACTCTGTGTCTAGCTAAAGGATTGTAAATACACCAATCAGCACTGTGTAAAAACACACCAATCAGCACCCTGTGTCTACCTAAAGGATTGTAAATGCACCAATCAGCACTCTGTAACAACGTACCAATCAGCACTCTGTGTCTAGCTAAAGGATTGTTTATACCAATCAGCACTCTGAAAATGGACCAATCAGCACTCTGGAAAATGGACCTATCAGCACTCTGTAAAATGGACCAATCAGCACTCTGTAAAATGGACCAATCAGCAGAATGTGGGCTGGCCAAATAAGGGAATAAACGCTGGCCACGGGAGTCAACAGCAGCAACCTGCTTGGGTCCCCTTCCATGCTGTGGTAGCTTTGTTCTTTCGCTCTTCACAATAAATCTTGCTGCTGCTCACTCTTTGGGTCTGCATTACCTTTATGAGCTTTAACACTTCACTGCAAAGGTCTGTGGCTTCACTCCTGAAGTCAGTGAGACCACGAACCTACCTGGAGGAACAAACAACTCTGGATGCGCTGCCTTTAAGAGCTGTAACACTCACTGTGAAGGTCTGGTGGCTTCTCTCCTGAAGTCACCGGAAGGAAGAAACTCTGGACACATCTGAACATCTGAAGGAACAAACTCCAGACACACCATCTTTAAGAACTGTAACACTCACCACGAGGGTCCACGGCTTCATTATTGAAGTCAGCGAGACCAAGAACCCACCGGGAGGAACCAATCCCTGACACAGTGTGATCTCAGCTCACTGCAAGCTCCACCTCCCGGGTTCCCGGTATTCTCCTGCCTCAGTCTCCCGAGTAGCGGGGACTACAGGCACCCACCACCATGCCCAGCTACTTTTTTGTATTTTTAGTAGAGACAGAGTTTCACCGTAGGCAGGATGGGCTCCATCTCCTGACCTCATGATCCGCCCGCCTCGGGCTACCAAAGTGCTGGGATTACAGGCGTGAGCCACCATGCTTGGCCTCCTGTCTTTGCTATCTCCTATAAGAATGAACCGTCACTGGATTTAGGGCCCACCTGGGTAATATAGAATAATTCCATGTCAAGGCCGGGTGTGATGGTTCACGTCTGTAATCCCAGCACTTTGGGTGGCCGAGGCAGGCGGATGACCTGAGGTCAGCAAGACACCGTCTCAAAAAAAAAAAAAAATTCCATGTTAAGATCCTTCACTTAATTACGTCTTTTCCAAATAATATACCATTCACAAATCCCAGGGATTTGGATGTGATATATCTTTCTGGGTGCCACCATTCCATCCGCCACAAAGGGAGAGTTTGTTCTGAAAATGCAGCCAACCCAGAGGAAGCAGGGCCAAGAGATGGAGAGAGAAATCTTGGGGCTGGTTACTCCCATGAGGCCCTGCACCAAGCTGTGCCTAAAATCAGCCCTAGCCCTGGGGTGTCCTGTATGTGAGCCAGAGGGTTTTATCACTGTTTCCTTAAGCTGGCTTGAATTGGGTTTTCTGTTATTCACACCCCAAAGAGTCCTCACAAAGATGCCTGGGCAAAAAGAATACTTTCCATCAGGAGACTCGTCCTTGATCTTTCAAGCAGAAGGAATAGCTGCAGGATTCTATGCAATTTGAGAGAATTCAGGAATTTTCCCTTCGATGACACAGTCTGAAGGTGCCCCCTTCTTCTCTTGTACTGTAGGCTGTGTGGATGTGCACACCCCAAGAATGAGCCACTCTCTCTCCTACTGAGGAGGGCCACAGGGGCTTCCGTGGGGTTGACCTGGGGTAGGATGGAAAGTTACAACTGGGTATTGAAAAAAGAGATTTTCTGATCTCAAGAAGAGGCAATATGGGATAGTGAGAAGGCAACGGTTTTGGAGTCAAACAAACGTGAAATGGAATCCAGCCCTGTTGGCTGCTAGCTGGGTGGTGTAGCAAAGCAGAAGTTACTTAACCTTTCTGAGCCTCAGATTCCAGAAGCTCAAAATGCACCCTAACTGCATCTTACCTGCATTATATGGTGATTGCATCCTATAGTGATGCATCACTAACACTCTTCACTGCCTCAGATGGCAATTGTGAGGATGAAAAACACAAGTATAGCAGAAAGAGGATGTCCCATATATTCTCCAGGCCATGTGACTGCTGACCCAATGTGTCCTGAGGGAGAAGCAGCACAGGTGAAGATGGAGATACAGATACTGAATGGGGACTAGTGTTTCTTGAGTACTCTCGAGGCACCAGGCTGTGTGGGTCTCTTTCCTTTAATGCTCTGAAGTAGGAGGTAATCGCTGCATGGCACAGATCAGAATCCTGAAGCTGCCAGGATTATGTAACTTCCCCAGTTCACACGGGTAGTGAGTGTCCGGGCTGGAATTTGAACTCAGGTTGGTCTGACTTCAAAGACCACGCTGTTTATGCTACTCCACCCTCTCATATAACGAGGGAGGAGGATAGTGAGGGCAGGAAAAATAATCCTAACACCAAACAGAGAAACAAAACACTTACAATGCTTACTGTGAGCCAGGAGCTCTGCTGAATGCTTTTGTGAAATTGCCTTTAAATATTTATAAAAATAGTCAATGTTTATTGAATGCATACTGTATGTCAGGCTGTGATGAAAGGGCTTCATATGCAATATTTTGTTTAAACCTCACACCAATCCTTTGAAGAGTATCGTGGTGTTATTATCACTGCTGTTTTTATTATTAGTAATAGTAGTTCCATGTTACAGGTGAAGAAAAGGTGGCCCAGAAGGGGTTAAATGGCTTGCAGAAGCTAGCAAGGAGGATATGGACCCAGGTGGGCAGCTTCAGAACTGTACCTTGTAGGTGCAGGACACTTTGTAGATGTTGAGGGTCCCTGGACCCCACACATTCTAGCAACGTCCACACTACGGGGCAGGCATCATGCACAGATTGAGGGATTAGTATGATCATACCACCCCCTCCCCAGCCTGCCCCATGCAGCACCTTCCAGGCAGCCTGCCCAGGAGCTCTGCACAGCGCCCTCAGCTGGCCAGGGGCATCTGCACACAGAGCAGCTCTGAAGGTGGGGTTGTGGGGGACAGGTCTTCTCTTCTGAGGTTTGTCGGGAGGGATGGACCATCTTTACCCCTTAAAGAGTTAAGAATGTAAGAAGGGAGGTAAAACAACCTCATCTGTAAGGACTGGGGTGGTTTTTGTTGTTGTTGTTCTAACACTGGCACATACAAAATGTTCAGCCAGTAAGTCCATTTCAAAACACAGGGGTCCTGTGTGATTTTCAGGAAAAAAAAAAAAAAAAGGCTATTAACACCTTTGAAGTTGCCAAGCTTCCAGACCCCACACTGTATCTTTCTTGAATATTATTTTAAACCATTCAAACAAAACATTTATTCAGAATTTACAAAAATAATTCGAGCAAGACAGCTGAGCTTAAAAAAAAAAGACGCCAACAGTGATTTCCCTCAGCCTCAGTTTCCCCCCATTTATACAGCAGGCAAATACTACTGACTTCAGCCAGCTGTTGTGAGGAATAATGGAGAAGATACTTACAAAAAATTTAGAGATGTCCCCGGCACAGTGACTCAGTCGTTGTTACTGTTAGTTTTATTATGCTTATCTAGATAATGATCATAATTTTGATATTAGGACAAATCATGCACTGGACAAAATGTTATCCCAATATGAGGGCTGATCTTGTTCATTTGTCCTGCTGAATCCATGCTTTATCGGTGTCCACCTCATCTGACTTAATGGTCACCACGCAGGGATGGCGACTGGAACTTAAGAGACTCACCCTCTGTGGCACGAGCACCATGTGTCACATGGTTTGCTGGCAGGGTGAGGTTTGCACAACGGCTTTTGACAGGCGGCTTTCGTTCTTCTCCTTTAAGCTCTATACTTGATGCTATTGGACTTGTAAATAAATCACATTTTATTGAGATCCTTTTTAGAGAGTCTTAGAAAGGCTCTCAAAACAAATCTCATGGCCGGGCACGGTGGCTCCTACCTGTAATCCCAGCACTTTGGAAGGCGAGGTGGGCAGATCACAAAGTCAAGAGTTCAAGACCAGCCTGGCCAACATGGTGAAACTCCGTCTCTACTAAAAATACGAAACATTAGCCGGGTGTAGTGGCGTGGTTGTAATCCCCGCTACTCGGGAGGGTGAGACAGGAGAATTGTTTGAACCCAGAAGGCGGAGGTTGCAGTTAGCTGAGATTGTGCCACTGCACTCCAGCCTGAGCGACAAATGAATAACGTCTTATAGGATAAGGATATGATTTAAACTGACATAAAGAGTATCATTTTTTTGGCCAGGCATGGTGGTTCATGCCTGTAATCACAGCACTTTGGGAGGCCGAGGCAGGAGGATCACTGGAGCCCAGGAGTTCCAGACCAACCTGGGAAACATGGCAAGACCCTGCCTTTACAAAAATACAACAACAACAAAAAAGACTAGGCAGGTATGGTGGTGCACATCTGTAGTCCCAGCTACTTAGGAGGCTGAGGTGGGAGGATTGCTTGAGTCCAGGAGGTAGAGGTTGTGGTGAGTTGCAATTGCACCACTGCACTCCAGCCTGGATGACAGAGCAAGACCCTGTCTCAAAAAAAAAGTGTCATTTTTCCATCTTGCTTAAATGAAGTCTAAATTTCTAAAATAACAATAATAGAAATAATAAGGATTTAAAAGTTATCAAACTCTTATTATTTCTAATGTGTACATGTAGATCATAATTTTCCAAAGCTATATAAATGTTTTGGTCAAATGGTATGCTGAGTAACTAGTTATCAAGTGAGACATTTTAGTTTACGTTGATAAACACAAATATTAGAGATAATCTGAATCAGACTGATGGTCCAGTTCTTAAAACAATCCAGTTTCAGTTTTTAAAATGATTAATAGTTGGATTTGATGACTCAAGGGCTGTTTGTAAATTGGCCTAAGAGAAGCCTCCTTTTGGTGGAAGGGGAGAAATGGGTGCAGGCCCCTGTGAACTCATGATATGACCTTGGGCATATCACTACTACACTTTTCCAATCTTAGGAGCCTGAGACATGTCATCATGCAAGTGAACCACTGATGTCAACCTTTAGGATCTAATTTGATTCTCAGATTGTAGATGTGATTCCTCAGAATGACTTGACCATCAACCTACAAGCAGCCTGTGAAATAGAGGAAGACTTTCTTTCTATGTGTCTGTGCTATTCGCAGTTGTGTACTTTATACTATCCTTTCATTAAGAACTGCAATTTTAAGAATTCAAGAGGAGAATCCTCTTTTGTGGGGAGAGAGATTTGTCATCATTCTTTCCTATAAAGTCTTCACAGGACAGTGTTCAGTGTTTCGCCAAATAAACGTTAGAGTCTGGTAATGGTGATCACTTTGTGATACACCTTATCTGCGAAAACTTCTCCCTTACTCACACAGCTTGTTCTCATGAATATGTACACTTCCTGATGTTCCTTTTCAAGTCACAGCACATCATATTTCTATTTCTAGAAAGCTCTACCTAAGACACCATCATTTCTTGTTTAATTGGCTACTTTTAAATTTCCAATGTGGTCTTGCCTTATATATAGCCTCTTTCACAATTATTTCTAGGGTGAGTCAGGATTCCATAATAGATTGCTGGAAACATCTGGGCCTTCACAGAGGAAAGATTTCTAGAATGGGAAGGGAGAAGTATGGTGGCATAGCTCTCAAGCATCAGTATCATGTATGTAAAAGGCCAGTTTGGAAAACATGGCTAAGGTGATAAATGTAGCTTTTCCCTGAGAGGTAAAGAAATGCAGATGGCATTCAAAGGCGATGGTAGAGGAAATACATGGAGATCGGTCAAGTCTCTATAATTGTATGTGCCACCAGGGAGTCACATAGCAGGCAGGAGACAGCAGGGAGAAAATCCATATAGCAATATTTTTAAGCCAACTTAGTCTTATTTTAGATCAAATTTGGATACTTCAGTTAAAAAGACAATGTTTCTGGTGGGATATGCCTTCTTCCCTTACCATAAAATTCCTTTATTATTCTCTGTTGCCTTGCCTCTTCCCCAATGCACACATTTAAATTTCCTGCCTGGCCCCATTAGGATTTGGGTTTGCAGACCCCTTGAACTGATTCCTGAAATTAGATGAGAAAATGACCTTACAAAATAATTCCACTTATTCTCTTCAACCATAGAATGTTAATCAGATTTTTTTTTTAAAACGAATGACTATTCAAGAACTGACTTTCATGCTATGCCTCAAATCTATGGCTCAGAATCCATAAGAAAGCTTTGGAAATACTGCAGAGAGTAATGTTGAGCTGTGTACGTCCCTTTTCTTATGGGGCCAGAGACCGAGGACTTTAAAACAGCTTCAGTGATTTAGCTTGTCCCAGCAAGACACAGTTGGAGGTGCTGCAAAGATGTTTGAAAATGTTGTCTCCCTGGCAGAAGCAGCAGCGGAGGCTGAGGGATGATGCTGGTCCTCCTAAGGGTTCCCTCCTGGAACTCACAGGGTGGGAAGAGGCTATAAAGCGTTGTTTGATCTGGCACTGGGCATTATGTTATCATCACAGGTTGAGCTTGCCAAGACCGTCACAGGCTCTGCATTGAAATACTGGCCTATACATAAGGCCTTATGCCTGGGTTTGTGCTGCCCTAGATCCCGGCCCTTTTCATGCAAAACCATTTGCAAATTCACCTAGCTGCATGGCGTCACAAGCTAGACAGACGTGCTTGGAATAACTGCAGAAGTCATTCCAGGTAACACCATCGGACACAATCCAGGTCTTCATTGCACCCTTCTTCACCTTTGGAGTCTCTCAAATATTTATAATTTATGGTGGCTGATTTCTCTAAGTCAGAATATACCTGCAAGACCAATGGAAGAAAGCAGCAGGCGGCCCAAGCCACCCCAGGGAGGGGTTAAATCCATGCTCTATGCTGTGCCATGCTGAGCACTCTGTGAGCAGATTCCCTGCCTGTCCTCACACTCTCTTCTTTTACTGCTCTCTCTGACGGACTTGTTAGGTTCTAGCCACACTACAATGTAGGAGGTCGCCACATGAGTTATGCTTTGCCTTTGTATATACCGTCCTCTTTTACTAGTCCTGTAGGACCAAACACAGGTCCACCTCTTCCAGGAAGGCTTCCTGATTTCCCCCATCCTACGCTGAATTTCACACTCCTCATCTCTGCTCCTTACTGGTACCCTCTCTGCTCCTTACTGGTACCCTGTGTAATTTCTATCACTTCTACTTATATCATAGTTACCAGTGTGTGTCTATCTTTTTCACAATTATGACCCCATTTAGTATAGGAGTTGTCTTGTTCATTTTTCTGCCTCAGTGCCTTGTGCAGGGTACATAGTTAGCACTGAATGAATGAATGAGGGGGAAAAGAGTGAGAAGAGGATTTGAGAACAAACATGTAGCCATCATCTGGCACGTGCGAGAAACTGTCAGATGTGTTATGTCATTTAATCCTCAGGAAAATATGCAAAGTGGGCATAATTATCCAAATTCATCAAGTGAGAAAAATGAGGCTCACAGAGGAGAAATACCTTTATATCTGAGAAATATCTTCAGGTCCTATAATTGATAAATGACAGCAGCAATTTTTGAACCCTAGCCTTCATGACTTTGAAGGCTGTGCTCTCTTCATTGTATCCTGACCGGCTCCCTAATGGCCACCATCTGAAGTGCCCAGGCCAAGGGTGCCACGGTTGGGTTGGGGAGGCCAGTGCTGCAGGCTGACCTGGTACATAATAAGACCCTTTTTGGATAGTGTCTTTTGACTACCTGTGTTTGACCATGCGTGAATGCTGCTGTGAGAAATAGCATACTCAATCGCCATTCTCCCTGGAAGAATTGCCCAGGAAGGAGTCAAGGTTTCCTCTTAACCCTTGTATGACCTCAGGGTTATTGCCTCACAATTTTTTTATAACTCTGCTTCCTACAGATAGCATTTAGCTTTTATAAAACCCACCCAATTCGTTATCTGCTCACATTTCTCCAGATGTTTCACCTCCCACTCCTGTCTTTCTTAATGACTCTAGGGGTTGATTACCAGCAGGGTTTAAGCTGTCAAATTATTCTTGGCTCTATTCCATTTAAAAACATTTTTTAAAAAATCCATCTTCAAAGTTCAATTCTAAATCCTCACCAATGGATCAATAATCTAATTTTGAATTTTAATCAAATCACTGTCCTAGAGCTGGACACATAGAGAATATTTTATTTTTCTGTGATTCACACTCACCCTGAAGATTTTGTGTTGACTTTGCTTCTGGGTTCATACTCCTCCTCCCTGCTTCTCATACAGAACCAGAGATCTGGAAAAGCAAGAGGAGGCTGTGACCGCCTAAGGACTCCGCACCAGGGAGGGTCTTCCTCTGTCAGCTTAGACCTTTTTAATGGGGGAGAGAAAAGGATATCTCTGGGATTCTGGAGTTTCAGCAAACGTATTCCTGCTGATCTTTGGAGAGTAGAGCATGAAGGCCAATATCTTTATTCATGCAACAGATTTAATGGGGCTGGCAGTCTTCTTTTTCTAGATGCCACCATGTATTTACATAGCACACAGAAACATGCAGGGGGAACACAGCCTTGGAGCTCCCAGAATCCTCACAATGACCCCACTGAGTCCTGGAGGCTGCTGCGCACCCCCAGTTGGTCCCTACCTGAAACTTTCCCTTCAGCTGGGGCAAGATGAGATCATCTGGGGGCGAATCCTGACTTTAATTCCAACATCCACTTTTCCTAGCACAGAACTGATTGTGGGAAATAAAAGGTCCTCCTTTCTCTCAACTTGGATTTTGATTATCTCTGAGGTTCTGGGTCTTTTTTGAGAGGGAGTGGGTTTCTTGATTCGGAGTAGCAGTAAGGGGGCATAAGGGGACACTGAAGCAAATTTCACTTCTGAGGCCTCAAGAAAGTGCTCTAATTGGTCCTTTGTTAAATACTATGGGGGATATGCAATTTCTTCCTCCATTCTGGGACTCAGAGTCTTGGAATTACACCTACCGTACCCCAACACAGCATTACTTAAAGTATTTTTTAAAAAGCGATAATCAAATATTTATATTGCACTTAACATTTTGCAAAGGATATTTTCATTTAATATTTCTTGTGTGCAACTGGAAAATCTCTGCACTGAGTGAGAGGGAGGGCTGTAACGTATGATGAAGCTGTATGATGATGCTGTGCCTTATGTTTCCTTTCGAATATTGTTACACATTTTCACGGAAGACCATCATAGGAACCATGTATTCATAGAGCAAGAAGTGGTTTTCAGAAATCCAACTAAACGACTTTTTTTTTAAGACCTTGCAACTTCATCTCATACTTGAAGTCTTGCCATCCACACACTCCACTGGAAGGTTGAAATGATCCAAATGATATCAATTATTTTATTTTTAACCTACAGTCAACAATTATTAATGCTTTTCATACACAGCAGCTGCATATACACAGGCACACACATTGCGATAATATGCTTCTTAGACTTAGTTTTATGAGATTGAAATCTTTCTATTTTTGATAAAGGAGATAGAATAAGTATATACACACATGAGATGAGATTTAAAAAACATTTTAAAATTGTTTTTCAGCAAAGGATTGTAATGAAAGCTTTCTAAGGACAACTTCACTGTATATAAGACAGTTTTAGGCTCATGTTTTAAAATATACTACAGTGCTTTGGCAGAACAGCCATGTTTGTCAAAAAGGTATTTTTTATGTCAACAGTGCCTCATAGGCTGATAGGTTTTTTATACATTAATTTTTTAATCCAAATATTCAAATCCAAATATTGAATATACTTAATTGGGTTTGACTATATCTGTTTATTTGGCCAGAATGTTATCAGAGTAGATGAAACCAGATAAAACTGCTAGTCTAGGAGCACAGCTTGTCACCCCTGCTCACTTTCTTTAGTCTCTATCCAATAAGCTAGAGCACACCAGCATTTCTTGCTTGGTTAAATTATACATTTCACGAATACCCCTAGTCAAATGTTATTCTCACGTTCTCAATAGAAACATTCAATATTAAAAATCATGTATGTATACAAACTACAGACTGGGTGACTTAAACAACAGACCTTTATTTGTTCACAGTTCTAGAGGCCAAGAGTCTTAGATCAAGGTATCAGGAGAGGTGGTTTCTTCTGAAGCCTCTCTCCTTGGCTTGTGCATGGCCGTCTTCTCTCTGTGTCTTTACATGGTCTTCTCTTTGTGTATATATGTGTCCAAATTTTCTTTTCCTATAAGCACGACAGTCATACTGGATCAGGTCCCTCCCTACAGAACTCATTTTAGTTTAATTATCTCTTTAAAGATCCTGTCTCTAAATACAGTCACATTCTGAGTACCAGCGTTTGGAGCTTCAACATACAAATTATTAGGTGTCCCTTTGCACAGAGACGCGTTTTTATTCCAAGTTGCCTATGCATTCTCCAAATACCCAGGTTATTAATTACTTGGCCAAAAGGCCCCAGTTAAGTAGGGTGGTATAAAATCAATGGTCACATTGGCTATTTGGTGTCTTACAGACTACACTGTGGAGTCTTATGCCCCCAACCCCACCACCTGCCAAAGCATTCCATCCAAGAGGGAAGAGTTTAGGTTCATTTAATCATGCCTATGGCAAAGAGAGACAAGCTCTTGAAAGTCAAAATAAACTTGGCCTTTCATCTCTCAAGGGTGGGCCCCTGGCTCCCAGCTTCCCTGATAGAAATGTAATCTTAAGATGACCCTCTCTTGCCAAACCCAACAGCTTGCTAATTCCCACAGCCTTTAGGGAACTTTTCATGGTGGTAAGATAGCAACTAAGTTCCAAGCAAGAGTGAAAATAATTAACTGAATTGTGTAACTCAGTCCTAGTAGAAAGAGTTTGGGGTACTTCTAAATAAGTCTTTGAAAATTCTCTTTTGGGGCATTAATACCGTGAAAACAATCTACTTGTTGCCTTCTCCACTATATCAAGTTTCTGAAGGGTGGGAATTTTGGCCTTTTTTTGTTTTTCTTTTATGCTTTTGTTTTTTTAGTAAATATAGGGTCACACTCTTTCGTGTTCATACTAAATACACTAAAGAGAGTGTTTTTTTTACACTTACGATCTATGCCACATACTAAACAGACACATTCCTTTTGCTAATACTTATCTTTTTTGTATCCACCTTACCTAGCATAGGCATTATCTTAGATTTATTTAACTCTAATTATCTCATTCATTTCCCACATATGATAGATGCCAATCTTATTTGTTTATTGCCCATTGACTTAAAAATGTCATATTATGAATCTCAAGATTAAAAAATCTTTTTTATGGCACTATGATGATGACGGTTGAAGCTGCATCATGGCACAAGGGGTTCATTATACCATTCTCTCTATTTTTGTGTACATTTGGAAATTTGAACGATAAAATGTTTACTAAATAATACAATAGCAAAGTATATCTTTGAGCACAGTCTAATTTGTTTTAATTTTTTAAATATCCAGTTTATGTTGAACATTTCTAATTTTCCCTCAGGCTTCATTATTAAATTTTGGAGTGAAACGTAATTCAAATTACTTATTTAGTACCAGCAGACTTCCTTTTTTTATAAGAAGTTTATAAATTTATTTTACTTTATTGTTGAGACAGGGTCTCACTCCCTCATCCAGGCTGGAGTGCAATGGCACAATCTCTGCTCACTGCAACCTCTGCCTCCTGGGGTCAAGTGATCCTCCTGCCTCAGCCTCCTAAGTAGCTGGGATTACAGGTGCATACCTCCAAGCCTGGCTAATTTTTATATTTTTAGTAGAGACAGAGTTTCCCCATGTTGGCAAGGCTGGTCTCAAACTCCCGGCCTCAAGTGATCTGCCCACCTTGGCCTCCCAAAGTGCTGGGATTACAGGCATGAGCCACTGTGCAAGGCTTTAAAAGAAGTTTTGATAGACTAACAGTGTTAGTGGACATGGAGGTATGCTTTCCCACAAAGTTTTGCTAAGTAACTTTAGGGAATAAACTATTATCCCTGATTTCTAAGCAACCATGTTCAGTAGGGACAGTGAGGGTGTGAAAAGAGACACATATCTGGACCCATGTTAAGATGCAAGCAGTAGAAAACAAAGACAGACTGCAACAAGCATGTGCCACAACTCCCCACCCTCTCTCCAACCCCCTAGGACTGGAGAAGCCAGCCAGAAGGAATAAAATATCTAGATCTGCTCTTGAAGGGATGGGAGAACCCAGCGATGTTTTCAGTGGTCTGGTGAAACATCTTGAACTGCTTCTTAAATCTTTAGGACTTGGCAAAATACAAAACACATTTTGCCAGGCACTTTTTCTCTTAATTTTTAAGCCCCTGTGTATTTCAAGGGAAATTAAATCCTTATGTTTCTGATTCATTTACACTTAACTCATCAAAAATGCTATTTTATAAGAGTTATTTGATGTCTAAAATGCGGTATGAGTATTTTGTATGTCTTTTTTTTTTTTCAAACCATGAAGTTGCTTTTTGCCAGCAGTAAATAGAACTTCAACCACTGAAGACTTAATCTCAGTTTTTAACTAAGGACCCACCAAATTCAAATGTCTTTCAACTTCCTCAAGCATTTTCTCTTGCTGCTACATGAGCGTACATGGTTTGTCAAAGAGGGCTATAACCATCCGTTCAAGAACCACACAAGGAATAAGACAGCCTTCCTTGAAATGGCAATGTTATTTTTTAGTTAAAGGTCATCTCTTCCACAAGATCTTTCACAACCTTCTTCCAACAAGTCAGTATTATTTTCGTATTCTTAGAACTTTTGGTATCCGCATTTGCTGTAGCACTAATTGAACACTTGATTGCAGTGATTTATGTGTGGACTTGTCTTCTCTCACATACCATTTGTTATGATATTTTGTGGCAAAAACCAAAAACCAACTTTCACAAATAAAATGAAATAGGGATTTATTGAAGGTATTTTGGGTGGCAACAGAATGAATGGAAGGTTAGAGAACCAGGACCAGAACCTGGGCAATTCCAGGCATCCAGACACTACCATAAGAAATGATTGGCTCCAACTGTTCTTTTCCATTCTTATACTGTTGGCCTCAAGATATAGAAAAAGGAGGGTCTGATTGGCTTAATTTGCTTCATGTGCATACTCCCTTGCTAGAGGGAGGCAGAGTATTTAATTTTCTGTCCCAGCCAAAATCCCGTATGGGGGAAAGTTGGTTCCCCAGAAGGAACAGGGAAGGGAAACTGAATGCTGTGAGCTCCTTCAGGGCAGGGACTGTTTCTCATTTTTTAATCCCTGGAGTCCAGAATAGGGTTTGGCATGCAGTCCATCTTTGAAAGCCTACACTCAACCATTAAGGAGCTATTCCTTTAAAAAGAGACAGTGGTAGAGGAGTTTGATAAACTTGCATGACTGGCCAATGCATTAAAATAGAACCAGAGCATTTCTTGTTTCAGGTAAGATGGAGTAAACCTATTTCATCCTCTCCACTTTCTGGACAGAATATATAAAGTAGCAATTTCAGAACTCTCACGAGTAAATAGCAGCAGGTAGATTGGGAAGAAAGCCCTAATTCATAATACCATGAAACCAATGATGAGTTTACAATTTTCATTTCTGCCAGTATCTTCTGGCTTGAACTTAATGCTGAATGATGAATTCAGGGTGCTGATGAATACTAGGGTGCAGACAGAGTTTCAGAGAAACCTTCTAGTTTTGGCTCAAAGAGAGGAAAAGGGAAATTCCAGCACTAACATGCAGAAATTCACCAATTTCTTTCTTTCTCTCTCTGTTCCTCTTCTCTCTCCTCCTATGCCCTAGACCCCAAGCAATCCTGTGGGGGTGGCAGCAGCCTACAGTAATGTGAGTAAGTAGGAGAAAAAACTCTGTGGGAGCAGTATCTTCCTCTACATTTAGTGGAGCAGTGTTTCCAGGAATGTGGGGCAAACCCTCACTGCTTTTACTCTCTCTGTCCTCCTGCCACTTGTCCCAGACGTAGGCACAACTACAGAAGTATATGGCAGAACACGGTAAGTAAAACCCTCACTTTCTGGCTGCAGGAGCAAAAGGAGGGAACCGAGAGTACAAGGGAGATTGCAAAGAGGGAAGAACTCAGTAGGGTAACATTAAAAAGGTGCTTATTAACTCCTGGGCTCACCACTGCAGCTGCACATACACAGATCTGATTTGACCTAGTATACCAAAGCCTTTGAGAACTGAACTGACATCTAGGCCATAGGCCACATCCTCAAGTGGCTACTGGGGGGCACACACAAAAGACAGATATGATATTGCAAACGCTTTGACTCCTGAACTGACATTGGAACTATGGTCCACAGAATGTATGTTGGAACTTGTTACCTGAGCCTACAACATTTTCCACAGGATATAAAGACGACTCATAGTTTCATAATATTCAAAATGTCCTGGATATAATACAAAATTTCACTGCAGGCCGGGCATGGTGGCTCATGCCTGTAATCCCAGCACTTTGGGAGGCCGAGGCGGGTGGATCACCTGAGGTCAGGCGTTCGAGACCAGTCTGGCAAACATAGTGAAATCCCGTTTCTACTAAAAATACAAGAATTAGCTGGACATGGTGGCACATGCCTGTAATCCCAGCTACTTGGGCGACTGAGGTGGGAGAATCGCTTGAACCTGGGAGGCAGAGGTTGCAGTGAGCCAAGACCACGCCACTGCACTCCAGGATAGGTGACACAGAGATACTCCATCTCAAAAAATAAGTAAATAAATAAATAATAAATTTCACTGCACATAAAAAATCAGGAAAATCTCAACTCGCATGAGAAAAGATAATCATCAGATGCCAGTGTCATAATGGCACAGATATTGGAATTATCTATTGAAAGTTTTAAAGCAGCAATTATACAAATGCTCCAAAAAACAATTGCAAGCCTTCTCAAAATAAATAGAAAAATAAAAATCTCAACAAAGAAAAGGAGACAGAAAGAGCAAAATGAAAAAAAAAATAGAGCTGGAAAACATAATAATTGAAACTTAAAAATTCACTAGATGACCTCAAACCACAAGCGCAAGAGGAAATAACTGGTTAACTTAAAGCTATCACATTGGTGCAAAAATAATTGCGGTTTTTCCCATTAAAATAATGGTGAACCGCAATTACTTGTGCACCAACCTAATAGGTCAAGAGAAACTGTCCAATCTGAACGACAGAGAAGAAAAGATTGAAACAAAATAAATTGAAGAGCTTCAGGGACCTGTGGGTCAATAACAAAAGATCTAACATTTGTGTCATTCATAGGAAAGACAGGAAAAATTCAGTAACAAAAAATATTTGCAGAAATAATGGCTGAAAACTTCCCACATTTGGCAAAGACATAAAGTTATAGACACAAGAAGCTGTGTGATCCCAAAAAGGATAAACCCAATGAATTCCATGCCAAGAAACATCAGAATCAAGCTGCCAAACAAACACTAAAGACAAAAAACATATTGAAAACAGCCAGAGAAAAAAATGATGCATTACCAATAGGAGAACATTGATTTCTAATTATTGTAATTTTCTCTCATTGGAAATCAAGGGTTCCAGGAGGAAGTGTCATATTTTTTTAAGTGTTGCAAGAAAAGAACTGTCATACCAGATCTATATCCGGCAAAAATATTCTTCAGGGATGAAAGTGAAATAAAGACATTCTATGATGAAAGAAAACTAAAAGAATTCATTGCTGGCAGATCTGCTTAAAGAATTGCTAAAGAAAGTTCTTCAGACAGAAGGGAAATGATGAGAAGGAAGCTTACTACATCAGGGAGGAGTAAAAACAATAAAAATGATAAATATTGGGCTAATTATAGCAGACTATTCTTCTCTTCTTCACTTCTTTAAAAAATGTTTGACTGTGAAAGCAAAAAATATAACATTGCCTGATGGGGTTTTCAATGTATATAGATATACTACATGACAACAATAACATAAGGAGGAGAGTAAATTCATCATTATCATGGCAAGGTTTCTACATTTCATGTGATGTGGTAAAATATTGATTCTAAGCAGACTGTGGAAAGTTAAGTATGTATATTGTAATTTTTAGAACAACCACTAAAAATATATATGAAGGTATATAATAAAAAACACAATAGATAAGTCAAACTAAATACTAAAAAATGTTCAACTCAAAAGAGTCAGAAAATTGGAAATACAAAAATATAAAAAGAAATGAGGGAAAAACAGAAAACAAAAAATGATAGAACTAAATTTAAATATAATAATTATATTAAATGCAAATGTACTAAATGTGTCTGTTAAAACGGAGAGATTTGAAGAATGGAATTGAAAAAAGGTTGTCTTAAAGAGACACATTTCAAATATAGTGATATAGGTAGGTTAAAAGTAAATGGACGTTTAATTAAGTCTCAGCTATTTATCTTTGTTTTTACTACATTTGATTTTGGGTTCTTGGTCATGAAGCCCTTGCCAAAGCCAAAGTCTAGAACAGTTTTTCCAATGGTATCTTCCAGAATTTTTATTGTTTCAGGTCTTAGATTTAAGTCCTTGATCCATCTTGAGTTGATTTTTGTATAAGGTGAGAGATGAGGATCCAGTCTCATTCTCCTACATGTGGCTTGCCAATTATCCCAGCAACATTTGTTGAAAAAGGTGTGCTTTCCCCACTTTATGTTGTTGTTCCATTGGTCTATGTGCCTATTTTTAAAGAGCTTTGCAAGGCAAAAGCAATAGTCAGCAGAGTAAACAGACAACCTACAGAGTGGGAGAAAATCTTCACAATCTATACATCTGATCAAGGACTAATATCCAGAATCTACAATTAACTCAAACAAATTAGCAAGGAAAAAAACAAACAGTCCCATCAAAAAGTGGGCTAAGGACATGAATACACAATTCTCAAAAGAAAATATACAAATGGCCAACAAACATATGAAAAAATGCTCAACATCACTAATGATCAGGGAAATGCAAATCAAAACCACAATGCGATATCACCTTAGTCCTGCGAGAACAGCCATAATCAAAAAGTCAAAAATAATAGATTTTGGCATGGATGTGGTGAACAGGGAACACTTCTACACTGCTGGTGGGAATGTAAACTAATACAACCACTATGGAAAATGGTGTGGAGTCCTTAAAGAACTAGAAGTAGAACTACCATTTGATCCAGCAATCCTGCTACTGAGTAACTACGCAGAGGAATAGAAGTCATTATTCGAAAAAGATACTTGCACATGCATGTTTATAGCAACACAATTCACAATTGCAAAAACGTGGAACCAACCCAAATGCCCATCAATCAATGAGTGGATAAAGAAACTGTGATATATATATGTGTGTGTGTGTGTGTGTGTGTGTGTGTGTGTGTGATGGAATAGTACTCAGCCATAAAAAAGAATGAATTAATGGCATTTGTAGTGACCTGGATGAGATTGGAGACTAGTATTCTAAGTGAAGTAACTCAGGAATGGAAAACCAAAATTGTATGTTCTCACTCATGAGTTAAGCTATGATGATGCAAAGGCATAAGAATAACACAATGGACTTTGTAGACTCAGAGGGAAAAGGTGGTAAGGGGGTGAGGAATAAAAGACTACATATTGGGTGCAGTGTATAGCACTTGGGTAATGGGTGCACCAAAATCTCACAAATCACCACTAAAGAACTTACTCATGTAACCAAACACCACCTGTTCCCCGATAACCTATGGAAATAAAAAAATAAATTAATAAATGGATGAAAAAAGATACCATGAGCTATTCCAAATACTAATTAATAAAGTCACGTGGCTAGATGATTTCAGACATAGTTTACTTCAGAAAAGAGAAGACTGCCAAGAATAAAAAGGAATGTCACATAAACATAAAAAATCTTAATTCACCAAGTGGACTTAACAATTATAAATGTGAAGGCACCTAACAACGGAGCTTCAAACCTAATGGAGCAAGAACTGACAGATGGAAAAGAGAGGTAGACAAATTCACAGTCATTGTTAGAGACCTTAACACTCTTGCCAGGGGCGGTGGCTCATGGCTGTAATACCAGCACTTTGGATCACCTGAGGTCGGGAGTTCGAGACCAGCCTGACCAACCTGGAGAAACCCTGTCTCTACTAAAAGTACAAAATTAGTCAGGTGTCGTGGCGCGTACCTGTAATTCCAGCTACTCGAGAGGCTGAGGCAGGAGAATCGCTTGAACCCGGGAGGCAGAGGTTGTGGTGAGCCGAGATCGCGCCATTGCACTCCAGCCTGGGCAACAAGAGTGAAACTCCGTCTCAAAAAAAAAAAAAAAAAACAACAAAAAAAACCCACACTCTTCCTCTAGATAGAAGTCTCATGGGAAATTAGAAAATATTTTGAACTAAAAAAAATAATAAGGGAGAAAATATTTGAGACACAGAGTTAGAGAAAGAGTTCTTAAGCACAGCATCAAAAGCATGGTTCATAAGAGAAAATAAAAGATAAACTAAGCTTTTAAAAATTAAATACTTTTGCTCAGTGAAAGATATCACTAAGAGGAGGGAAAACAAGTTACAGGCTGAGAGAAAACATTTGTAAATCAAATATTTGGCAAAGG
This sequence comes from Homo sapiens, assembly GCF_000001405.40. Classification (NCBI taxonomy): domain Eukaryota; kingdom Metazoa; phylum Chordata; class Mammalia; order Primates; family Hominidae; genus Homo; species Homo sapiens. The sequence continues at coordinate 41,300,445 of NC_000007.14, read as the reverse complement.
ACTTTTATTTAATGTATATTTTAAAACTCAAAACTTAATAAGAAAACAAACATCCAATTAAAAATGCACAAAAGACGAGAACAGACGCCTCGCCAAGTATGGTGGCAAATAAATATATGAAAAGATGTTTAGGATCATTAGCCATTAGCAAAATTTAAATTAAAACTATAATGGTATTCCAATACACATCTATTAGAAGCCGTAAAATTAAAAAGACCAGGTATTGGACTAATGACAGAAAAAACTGAATGGATTCATCTGACGACCTAAGAATCCTAAAGGAAATGGGATTTTACTTTAACTGGTCAGAGTAGCAGTAGCACTGTCATCAACAGATCTCAATAGGCACTCAGCAAAAAATTGAAATGGGTCAGAGTTTTCTCTCCCTTGGACCATTGAATGAAGTACTAATGCTTATTGAAGGTGAGCAGGGATTTAAAAACCACTCATAAAAATGAATCTACCCAAATATTTAAAACATAAAAGCTTACCGCATTCTACATTTCAGTCACGGAATGCATGCCTGAATTCAGGTCGGTACCTTATAATCAGGTTGTAGCGGTTATCTTCACATATAAAGCCTATGTGTTTCAATTAGTTTCATGAATATAAATGTGATAGTCTAGTTTCAAATCAGTGTGCTTAGATAGGGGCAGTAGAGAAATGCGGGCCATCAGAGAGAGAACTGCCCCAAGGATCGTTATCAAGGCATCCATCCATAAAAAGGAACTAGTATATGAGCCCTCCTATTTTAATCATGCCCAAGTTTGGCAATAAACAAAGGAATACTAAACACACAAAAAAGCAAATACAATAGTTTTGGGTATTACTTAGGAAACAAACATCAATACATAAAATGAATTTTTTACATGAAAATATTTCATCTACAGCAAAGAAGTCAAAATATGCTGGCAGAAACTGACAAATTAACTGACATAAAAGCTAAAAACATCCAATGTGGTTAAAGACAATGCAATATAGGGACCAAATCACAGATACTGGAGTTCATTGTACCTGTTTTATGCCCTGGCTCCAACCACTGGGCAAATTATTTAATCACTCTAAGCAATCAGTTTCAGGATCTGTAAAATGAAAATTCAAAAGTACTTAATTTAGTTGTTAGGGTTAAATGAGAAAATGCATGCAAAGCACTTAACTCCTAGCACACAGCAATGACTAAAAAGATACTAGCCATTATTATTTTATCATCATCATTGCAGAAAAGACATGTTGATATCCTTCCAAAATCCAAGCATTAGGAAAGGTACACTGCAAAACCCCCAAACTTTCTCCAAGAGATTACTCATTCATATCGGGGCTGGCTGTCAAAGGGAAAGGATGTCTTTTTGTGTGACATTGTGCACACAAAATACAACTCAGGCTTTAGAGGCTCTGGATCTTTATCCTGGCTTTGCCATCAGTTTTCTGGGTGACCTTGAAGTAGTCACCTCACATTTTAAGACCTCAGTTGATGCCTGCAAGTGGTTGAATTTAGCCTGGCCTTCTCTCATATCCTTTCCTGCATCCACATTTTATGAGATTTGCCAGGATCTGCCATGGGATTTGTGTGGTCATGCCACCAAATACTAACCCATCCACTCATTGTTGTAGTGCAACCACACAAATCAACTAAAAAAGGGTGGGTTCTGCTGTTCAGACAGACTCTGACTTTGTCTTCCTCAGGAAGCTAACAGAAGAAATCTGACATCTTGTGTCCCCAGATTAATGACACTCCAGGCACTGTCTCAGCAAGTCCTCCAGGTGCTCTGCTGACTGGTCTTTTGTACTGGTAAAGCTTTCAGTACGACAATGTCTTTACTTTTGCTTCTGGCAAGAATTAATAAGTTACTTATGATATTTAATAAGAAACAGATGCTCCCAATGAGAATGGGGCCCAGTTGCCCATTAATTCTGGTTGGATTTTTCTTGCCATGGTGAATGGAAGCAGACAAAGTAGGTGATCCATACGATATGTTGCAAGACCAAAGGCATCTGCAGACAGTAGAGCTGAGGACAATTGCTCTGTATAATTCAAAATGGGTGAGACAATGATATGATGTTTAAAATTAGGAAAGCATTTGGTGTGTATAGTTAAAATAAGTGCTATGGTCCTGAAACTGTTCCATATGCTAGGAAGTGACTGTACATTACAGAGGTGGGATAGCTAATGAGTCAATAGTTCTAGAACATCCACTACTAACAAAATATTATTTTCGGGTTATGGATGGTACAATGTGAAAGAGCAACATTTATTAGGCACCAACATTGTGTCAAGCACACATTCAAAACCATAAATCTATGGAGCTTGATACATTAGGTATCAAGTAATTTTTCATCAAGTAATTTTTCAATTGTCACACACTTGGTTCAGTTTTATTCTGGTGTTTGAATTTTTTTTTTTTTTTTTTTTTTTTGAGATGGAGTTTCGGTCTTGTTGCCCAGGCTGGAGTGCAATGGTGTGATCTCAGCTCACTGCACTCTCTGCCTCCTGGGTTCAAGTGATTTTCCTGACTCAGCCTCCCAAGTAGCTGGGATTACAGGTGTGTGCCACCATGCCTGGCTAATAATTTTTGTATTTTTAATAGAGACGGAGTTTCACCATGTTGGTCAGCCTGGTCTCGAACTCCTGACCTCAGGTGATCCACCTGCCTCAGCCTTCCAAAGTGCTGGGATTCTTATATGTGCTCAGTAGCCTGAGTGTGTGTGTGTGTGTGCGTGTGTGTGTGTATTTTTTTGTTTTGTTCTATCAACCCGTAACCTTCAGGGACATTATTATAATCTACTTAAACAAATAAAACAAGGTACAAATTTAAAGTTGAATCTAAAAACGTTCAAATAGCAGATGGTATATGTAAGACACCATGGTAGCTTAGATTAGTATTTTTGAACATGACAGGGGGATGCCTGCCTGTCCCATTGACATTCAGCCACACGACACACTTTGGCCTTGTGGAAGGTGCAGGGCACTTCACTGAACCTTGCGTTTGGGTCTAGCCATATGATTTGGCTGCTGGAGCTTTAGCAGATGTGTTACAAGCAGAACTGGAATGCGTTTGCGTGGTTGGGCTTGTCCTCTTGTGCCTTTGTTGTTGCCACAAGAAGAGCTCCCCTGAGAGTTTCATCCCTTCAGCCTGATCACCAGAATGGGCACCCTGAAGCCGACAGAAGCCCAGCCCTAGCCTACAACAGGGGACAATCCCAGCTGGCCCCTCAGCTTGAAACAGAGACCTCCAGCCTCACATGAGTCAAAATAAAGGACGGCTATTACTTTTAGGGGTGGCTTATTTTATTGCTTTATTTTAAAACAATAGACTTGAGAGTTGCCATGAGGGAAAACAAATAATAGTGAATAAGGTTTTTCTCTGCTCCAACTGTAAACTCAATTCCAATTGAATTAGAGCAGAAATGTGTGAAGTTACTGTAATGGAAAGAATGGCTTTCAGACCAGACCAGTACTTGACAAATGGAACTGAACTTCTAGGGGAATCAGCAGAGGCTAAGTATGAAAGCCCTAAGAAAATCATTCAGAGAGGCGTGAGTTGTCAGCATTACCCTAACACAGTTAAGGGTAGAGAGATCCACCCCATGGACTCCAATTTCTAAAGGGACTGCGTCTCTGTTGGAGATGAATGCACAAGGAAATCAAGAAAATTGCAACCTAGAGTGATTTGACAATTGAAATGTAATACCAACACCCCTCGCCTTGGTTCAGGGCTCACCAAACACTCTTCATGCTCCCGATGATGTTATGGCTTCCCTTCAGTATCAGGGAGAAAATGGGCTGGTCGTGTCAACTTGAGGATTTAGGACCAAGTGATAGTTATAGTTGTCAGTGTATGGTTACATACTGGCATTTGGGGTTACATGCCCATCTGTGAATATGGTCAGTGTGACTCTGATGTGACATCTGCCTTCAGTGTGCTGACAAGTTCAACTTTCAGAAAGAGAAGAGCTGGTGACCAGACTAAGGTAAAATCCACCTGGGGAGACCTATTGGTCCACACCCTGGTAGCTTCTTCTTGTGATACTCCAACCATTTTGGCTCCTTTCCCATTTAAAATGCTAAAATGATGTTATACCTAGCCAGAAAAAAATGCTCATTGAAATTTAGTCTAATTTTAAAATTTCCTTATTCTTGAATAATCACAAAATAAGTTGTATAGTTAATAAGGGCCAAACAAATTTAGAATATGGAGGATTATAATGTCTTGAGAAATCAAGGGAAGGCCATTTCACAGTAAATGAGAAGTGTTACCTGTAAAATGGATTTAACATCATGCACAAAGATGTGAACATGGAACCTAGTTTCTTGGTATGTACTAATGGCAAAGGAATCCTAATATTTGGAAATGGTAGGAAATATCTATGGGAAGACAGAAAATGCCATAGGGATTTATAGTGAAATGTAAAGCTATAAAATGGATAAAATGTGTGTAATATACAGAGCACAGGTGAGAACAAGAGTGAATAAATACTCTAAGGAAAAACAACTGTGGGTGTTCTGAGGATATATAAACGTGGTTAACAAGAAGTCAATGCTTACATTTTTTAGAACTACTTTTTTCAAACGTGTCCCTCTGTGAGGAGAGGAAAATCATAGTTTTGGCCTAAATTGGTGAATAAATGGACAAATGTCTACACAACTTTTGAGATGCAAGCCCCACCGTGAACCAAAGATGCACTTGATCCTACAACCCTTCTCTGACAACCAGTGATGTAATTTTCACATCTATTATCTCATCTTGCACTCATACACACACAAAATTAAAACAAAGGAGGCACAGATACAATTATCTTCATTTTAGAGATGTGAAACCCAAATATCTAAGAAGGTATGACTTACTAGGCATTTCTCAGCTAAATAGTAAGTGGTGAGTCAAAGCAAGCTCTAAGAGTTGACTTTCCACAGTTCTGCATTCAGTGACATTATGTTTGTGCCTCAAGATTGGCAATGGGAGTATTTGCACATGGAAATTGGCAAACAAACACTGCAAATCAAGAATTCGTGCCCCCCACCCCAAGAGCTGGTTATAAAACATTTGCCACCATGTCACTGACTAGAACACAGGTCCTATAGACAGGGCTTCCATCCACTGGGCCACTCTGCTCAAGATTCAAAAAGTTCAATTCATCAACCCCAGGTGCATTGACAGGAGTCCACGAGTGCCAGAGCAGACGCCTCTAGGCTCATCTCTAACTCTTTACAGAAATTTAGTGTTAATGCCCTTCTGTTAATGATGTGAAGACAGGCTTTTGTGGGGAGAGAAAAAGGCATGTGGACTTCAATAATTGAATGAAAATCAAATAATTTGTGTAACTATAACTTTAAATCTTTGTTTGGCCTACACTGTATAATGAACCTTAACATATTTGGATCCTGGAGTGGATTACCAAATAGTCCACTTAGGTAAATAGACAAGCGTAGCATGCTTAGATATTGATTAACTATCATTTTACTCACTTATCCTTGTAGAACTTATAGGGAAGTCATTTTATTTAAAATTTTAAGATGAGTTGAATATAAACTAATGTTTCTCAAATACTTTTAAGTATTTTACTTTTGTTTGTATTATTTTAAAAATTATAGAATGAATATATTTTTCAAGGTACTTGCCAGAAATGCTACATGGCTTAGTGATGGTCTAAAGAGGAACCAGTGATTTTCAGCTTATTATATTCTTCTAATCTCCTATTACCCAATCTTTAATTGACCATGCCTCTTCCTTCTACAAAGAACTTATGTAACAAAGAAGAGTCCATGAAAACACCAGCAGTACCAAAAAGCATGAAAGGAAGCCAGTAAGAAAAGCAGATTGCAATAGGAATAGGATGATTTGGAAGTCACAATAATTACATTTTCACTTTAACTTAGTTGGTGCTGAAGAAAACAACTTTGCCTGGCCTGGCTGTGAAGCTTACTGTATTTTACACTGAAGTTGGAAGATAGAACATTTCCTTTTTAAGCATTTATCCAAAGATTATGCCATCATGACAAGGCCTGATTTACTCCTAAAGAAGTTATGAGAAAAGGCTCATCAATTATGAGAGTGGCTGGGCACCGTGGTTCACGCAGCACACTGGGAGGCTGAGGCTGGAGGATCACTTGAGCCTAGGAGGTCAAGAAGAGCCTGGGCAATATTGCAAGACCCTATATCTACAGAAAATAAAAAACTAGCTGTGTGTAGTGGTGTATGCCAGTAGTCCCAGATACTCTGGAGGCTGAGGCAGGAGGATGGCTTAAGCCCAGGATCTCAAGGTTACAGTGAGCTATGATTATGCCATAGCACTCCAGCCTGGGTGACAGAGGGAGACCCACCTCTAAACAAAATAATAGTAATACATAAATAAGTAACTGTTCCTAAAGGTAAACTGATTCTGTACAAAAGGAAAGCGGGTAATGCGTATGCAATTGTTACGTGAAAGCTCTCCGAAGGCCTCAAATGATGCATTATTTCTCACAGTCTTATCCTTACCTTTCTTGCAAGTGATCATGACCTCTAGGGGCCCCAAGTTACCTGTAGGTGGCCTCCCATTCTGGAGTGCCATATTTCAAACCATGAAACGTGTGTCAAGCACACCTATGTACAAATGAGAGTAAACTAAAGCATTGCTCTGCCATGTAGAGGGCATCGTACAAAAGGCCAAGGAGTGTTTAATAAGCCTCCTAGGTGAGTTGGAATTAAAGCTAGTCTTGGGTAGAAGCGGTTCAGATGGCTAGTCACTGGTGCTGATTGCATTTCTTCATGGAATGAGAGATGGGGCATAATAACTTCTTAGACATTTTGATCTCTAAAATTACCATCATTCTATGAGCAGTTTGCCATTTTGATAATCAGGAACCCTAGGAACCCTAGCAGTACCTTATCTTTTCCCCAAGGGGAAAGGGCTAGTGGAGAAGGAAGAGGAGAGAAAAAGCTAAGGCGGGGTAGCAGGAGGGAATAAAAGAAAAGATGAGAGAAAGAAGGGAAGTTGTATTATGCTTTTCACTGTGCCAAACAACTAACCCATTTACCCTCACAAGGAGGAACCACATCTGGGGGTTTTCTTCTTTTTCTAAGACCTAACCTCAGCCCCTTAACCATGGCTGTCAATACCTTTCTGGACAATTGGCATTACCAGCAAGTAACTTTTACTGGCAAGCATTGTCGCATTATTTGGGGGATTATGAGGGTGGGTGATGGAGGAGTCCCAGTAGAACCATTATTTAAATTTTGTGTAATAAGTGACCTTAATGGTTGAGATATAATCTGGCTATGGTACAAAGTAAAAACTGGAGACTCTTAATGCTCAAGCCAGAATCCTCTTCAACTGAGAAGAAATAAGACATTCTTTGACACTAGTTTACAGTTCCAAGGTGGGGAGAAAACAAAAAAGAATTTGGTTGAGCTCAAATGGAAAATTTGGTCCAGGGTCCATGAACAAAAGCAAAAGAGAGAGAGAAAAACTTCTTTTGACGAAATAACTTTGGTTAATTTTACTGTGTTAAATGATCTGTTTTCCTATAAATTAGCTTGCTCTTTTAGCTGAAGCTCACTAAAAAAAAATGCAAGTTAATAAAATGCACAACATTTATTGTGCATGCAGCATATCCTGGATTCATGACTTGGAACTCCAAATCAGAACGAGGAATTTGGAACACAAAATATAGAACGAGAATGTACAGAAACCAAGTACAGTTGGCACTTTATAATTACAAGTGGCACAACATTTCGGCAGGGATCCAGGTTTTTTTTTTAATGCATATGACTCAATATGGAATGTTTTTGTTCATGATGTGTAACTACTGCCATTGACAACTGTCCAGGTGCTATAATGTGTACTGAACTAACACAGGCTGGTGACAAATTTTCCTGAGCAATATACAGATACACCTCACATGGCCAAGAAAGGCAAAATACTATGATTAGGATTTGGGTTTGTCTACAAGTATGCACATACTCATACTGTATTTTATAAAGACAGATATATATATGTGTATATGTATTACATATATTACATGTACACACATACATGTTAATCCTAACAAATGCAGTTTATATATTATATATTATATTTTTACATTTATACATATATTACATATATATTAAGCACTGTTTTTGTTAGGATTAATATTTGATGCAGCAAACAGGTCTTAATTGGAAACTTATTTATAGAACTATAAAGAATTAGGTAATTGAATAAAGAAACAACAATTATTTGATCTTCTGACTTCTTTTCTTCCAACCTCCTCTCTTTAGTCCAAGGTTCTTGTGAAACAAGTAACCAGACAAATGTTTGGGTTATGTAGGCATTTCTTACCTAGTTATCTTAAAGTCAATTTAACCAGTATGGTGGGACACCTAATTACTCTGTATTTGTATTTCTGCAATTTTGAGAATTCACAGGTGTCAATCGTGAGGACAGAAAGAATCAATCTAGGAAAAGACATTTGGACTCTTGTTTATTATAGTAGTCCCCTCTTGCTGTGGTTTTGCTTTCTACGGCGTTAGTTACCTGAAGATTTATTAGCATTGTCAGCATTGATCCTATTTTGTCTGCTTCAATTTTGACTTTTAGTGGAATTAATTCACTTCGCTAAATATTGAGTTCCACTAAATATTAATTTAGTGGAGTTAATTTGGACATATTAGTGGAATTTGTGAACATGTATACATTTATACATGTATGTTACTTACATATGGGTGTGTGTGTATATACACACATACAAATATACATATATATTTGACCTGTGGGCATATGTATTTGTATGTATTTAGAGAGATATATGCATATGCATGCAGACAACAGTTTTGATTTGATTTTTATTTAATCAAAGATAATATTTGGAATCATGTCAATCTCCTTATTTTGGAGGCAACAAAACTGGACCCCAGGAACATGTGGAAACTAAGCTGAATTTGCAAAATGTGTGTGTATGGTTTTACAATATAAGTATGTATCCATTTATCTACGTATGTATGTATATATGTATCTACCACTTGATATAGACTTATCTCTATACATATGTATATATACACACAAAATATATAAAATCAAAAAACAAAAAAGTATGAGATAAAATAATTCCACTATACAGATATAGCTACTGTTAATTATGCCAACATATAATTATGTTTAAATTAATAGAACTCTCAAGAATATTGACTATAACTTTTTTTTTTTTTTTTTTTTTTGGAGACAGAGTCTTGCTCTCTCACCCAGGCTGAAGTGCAGTGGATGATCAGGGATCACAACAGCCTTGACATCATGGGGACTACAGGTGTGCACCAACCACACCCGGCTAATTTTTTTTTAATTTTAGTAGAGACAAGGTCTTACTATGTTGCCCAGGCTGGTCTCAAACTCCTGAGCTCGAGGGATCCTCCCATCTCAGCTTCCCAAAATGCTGGGATTACAGGCATGAGCCACCACGCCCAGACAACTTCATTTTTTAAACCATTAATTTGGTACAAAAAAAGATTAACCTTTTTAAATTTTGTATTTCTTTATCTAATATAAAGTTTAAAAGATTAAAAAATCTTTATTAAAAAATTTTATCACTTGTTCATGGCTTTTGCATTATTTTCTATATGGGTTATAAATACTTTTCTCATAATAATTTTTTATGTGATAAGGATAGGCACAAGGGCTTTAATGTTTTTAGTGAAATGTATGACCTTTCTTAATTATTTCTTCCATTAATTTTTACTTTAGAAATATCTTGCTCATTCTTCAGCCATTTACATATTCTCCTATGGTTTCTTCAAAATGTATATGTTAAGGGTTAAATTTTAACCATTAATTCTCTAGGAATTTATGTTGGCATGAGACATTATGTGAGCTCTACCTTAAATTTTTTTCTTTTAATTTTTCTCAACACCATTTTTTATCTAATCCATTATTATCTCCTCATTAAATTTTGGTGTGTTTTTTAGTACATATTGAACTTTTCATTTCTTCTAGAGCTTATTAGTGAATTCTAAATTCTGTGTCATACATTTATTATTGATTCTTGTTTAATATTTTGGTGATTGGGCTGGTGTCTAATACATTTTAGTATCTGCAAGCACAATTCCCAATTCTCTATTTCAATATTTCTATAGTCATCATTCTTATTTATTTATTCTTTCATGTAAATTTGAGGATCACTGTGTCAAGCAAAAATAGTGAAACTGTCATTAAGCATGAGTTAAACCTGTAAGTTAATTTTGGAAACAATATTTTGAGAATATTGACGTTTCTACAAATTAACACTGTATATCTTTCCCACAAAGATTTTATAAGTTTGTGTATTTAAGTACTTCACATTTCTTTTTAAAATTGTTACTACTCTTGCATCATTATAGTTTTACTACTGAGAATGAATATTTCTTTCCTCTAATCTATGGTCCACTCAGTTACTGTTGGTCTGCAAGAAAAAAAGTAGGTCTTTTTTCTTTCATTTTTTTTCTTAAACCCAGTTGCAGTCATAAAAATTTGAAAATTTTACAGTAAAACTTCTTTGATTTTTAGTTGTATTATTTGAAATGCTGTCTTTTCTTTTTCTCCTTATAATGCTACATGTCTTCATGGCTAGAATTCAGAACAATGTTAAGTAATAATTGGGATAAAACACATCCTTATCTCATTCTTTCTTATTAAAGGAAGTGTTTCTAATATTTCACCGCAAGTACTGCAAATATGATGTTGACTTTAATATAGATGTTCTCTATCATGTTAGGCAAGTATATTTCTGAGCCTAGACATTTTTTTTAACCTGCGATAGGTGTTGTGTTACACTGTTCTTGCATTTCTACAAATAAGTGCCTGAAACTGGGTAATTTATATGGAAAAGAGGTTTAATTGGTTCACGGTTCTGCAGACTGAACAGGAAGCATGACACTGGCATCTGCTCAGCTTCTGGGGAGGCCTCAGGGAGCCTTTACTCATGACAGAAGGTGAAGTGGGAGCAGGTATGTCATGTGGCAAAAGCAGGAGCAAGAGAGAGAGTGGGGGGATGTGTCACACACTTTAAACAACCAGATGTCATGTGAACTCAGAGCAAGAGCTCACTTGTCACCAAGGGGATGGCCCAAGCCATTCATGGGGGATCTATCCCTATGATCCAAACACCTCCCACTAGGCCCCACCTCCAACACTGTGCATTACATTTTAACATGAGATTTGGGTGAGGACAAGTAACCAAACTATCAAACTATATCATTGTACCTCTGCCCTCCCAAATTATCATGTCCTTCTCACATTGCAAAATACAGTCATGCCTTCCCAATGGTTTCCCAAAGTCTTAACTTGTTCCAGCATCATCTCGAAAGTCCAAAGTCCAAAATCTTATCTGAGAAAAGACAAGTCCTTCCACCTATTAGCCTGTAAAATAAAAAACAAGTTATTTACGTCCAAGATACAATGTGGGTGCAAGCACTGGGTAAACATTCCCTTCCTAAAAGGGAGAAATCATCCACAAGAAAGGGGCTATAGGTCCCATGCAAGTCTGAAACTCAGCAAGGCAGTCATTGAATCTTCAAGCTCCAAAATAGTCTCTTTTGACTCTATGTCCTTCATCCAGGCCACACTGATACAAGGGTTGGACAACCAAGGCCTTGGGTAGCTTGAGTAGCTCTGCCCCTTTGGCTTTGCAGGGTAAAGTCCCCAAGGCTGCTGTCATGGGCTGGAATTGAGTGTCTGTGGCTTTTCCATGCTAATAGTGCAAGCTGTTGGTGGATCTACCATTCTGGGGTCTGGAGGATGGTGGCCCTCTTCTCACAGCTCCACTAGTCAGTGCTGCAGTGGGGACTCTGTGTGGGGCCTCCAATCCCACATTTTACCTCTGCACTGCACTAGTATAGGTTCTATATGAGGGCTCAGCCCCTGCAGCAGGCTTCTGCCTGGACACCAGTCTTTTCCATACATTCTCTGAAATCTAGGTGAAGGCTTAGCAGCCTTCCACCTGAAAATGTGGAAGCAGCTTTGGAGCTGGTTAATGGGCAGAACCTGGAAGAGTTTGGAAGGCTCAGAAGAAGACAGGAAGATGAGGAAAAGTTTGAAACTTCTTAGAGGGTGGTTAAATGGTTGTGACCAAAACGGCTTGGCAGCCTTCATCACTCTTGCATTCTGTGTGCCTACAGGCTTAACACCACATGTAGGAGGCCAAGGGTAACAGCTTGCATTCTCCACAGGAGCAGCTGTAACTAGGCCCCTTTGAAGCATGGCTGGAACTGAAGTGGTCAGGATGTGGGGAGCGGCATCCCTGAGGCCTCATTGAAGCCTTGAGTCTGGCCCATGAAACCATTCTTCCCTCCTAAGCATCAGGGCTTGTGATGGGAGGGGCTGCTGGGAAGGTCTCTAAAATGCCTTTGAGGCCTTTTCCCCATTGTTTTGGATATTAGCACTTGGCTCCCTTTTAGTTATGCAACTATCTTTACCAAGTGATTGCTCCACAGCCTGTTTGAATTCCTCTCCCACAAAAAGCTTTTTCTTTCTTTACCCTATGGTCAGTTTTCAAAATTTCCAAACTTCTACTCTCTGCTTACTGTTTAAATATAAGTTTCAACTTTAAGTCATTTTTTCAATCTCACATCTGAGCATAGGTTGTTAGAAGCAGCCAGACTACATCTTGAATGCTTTGCTGCTTAGAAATTTCCTCTGTCAGATACCCTAGCTTGTCATTCTGAAGTTCAAACTTCCACAGATCCCTACGCCAGGAACAGAATGCAGCCAAACTCTTTGCTAAGGCATAACACAGGTGGCCTTTGCTCTAGTTCCCAATAAGTACCTCATTTCCATCTGAAACCTCAACAGCCTGGACTTCACTGTCCATATCACTATCAGCATTTTGGTCACAACTATCCAACCAGTCTCTAAGAAGTTTCAAACTTTTCCTCATCTTCCTGTCTTGTCCTGAGCCTTCCAAATTCTTCCAATCTCTGCTTATTACCCAGTTCCAAAGCTGCTTTCACATTTTCAGGTATCTTTATAGCAATGCCCCACTCCTGGGTACCAATTTTCTGTATTAGACCATTATTGCATTGCTACAAAGAAATACTTGAAACTGGATAATTTATATGGAAAAGACATTTAATTGGCTCACGGTGCTGCAGACTGTACAGGAAGCATGGCATGGTCATCTGCTTGGCTTCCAGGGAGGACTGAGGGAGCTTTTACTCATAGCAGAAGGTGAGTGGGGTCAGGCATGTCACATGATGAAAGCAGGAGCAAGAAAGAGTCAGGGAGGTGCCACACACTTTAAACAACCAGATCTCATGTGAACTCAGTGCAAGAGCTCACTTATCATCAAGGCGATGGCCGAAGCCATTCATGAGGGATCTTCCCCCATGATCCAAACACCTCCCACAAGGCCCCACCTCCAATATTGGGGATTATATTTCAACGTGAGATTTTAGTGGGAACAATTGTACAAAGTCTATCAGGTATTCAGTTCCACTAAATGCCTTTAAACCACCTGCTGAGAAGGTAACTGTATTTTGTTATAAATGGACCTTCTAATACGTGTCATTTTAGAAAGAGATATTCTAATATTTAGCTTCCTACCCATTTCTTGTATTAACACTGTTAATGGAGGTAGATTTCTCTATTACCAAATATAGTTGAATTCAATTTGCAAATATTGTATTGGTCTATAATTTTTGTGCTATTTATATTAGCTTTTTTTTATTTTCTAAAATAATCTGGATAGCTTTCAAACTCTTTCTATGTTCTGGAATAATTTATTAAACCTGCTACTAGAAAGCTTGATCAACACACCTTATAATCTTTTGTGGAAATAATTCTTTGAAACTTTTATTTTCTCATTTTGTCAATGGATATTCCACATATTCTGGTTTCTAGTTACTTATAAGTCAATTTTCCCCACTTAAGATCTTTAAAATAAAATTTCCTTTCCACTGAAATTCTCAGATTTGTAGGAATAAACTTAGATAATAGCATATTTTTCTCTGTATTTTTAAAAATATCATCTGTCTTATATAACTTAGTTCCAATTTTTTTCTTCATATTTTCTCTCTGTTTTTAAAATTAAAATTACTAGAGCCTTGTCACTTTTTTCCTTCATCTCACAGATACATTGATTTTTGCTTTTGTTATTATTTCACCCTTATTTCCTTATTTAATATCTTGTCATTCCTCCAACTCTGGGACTGAGTGCTTAGTTCATTTATTTAAATTATTTCATGTTTAAGTAAGCATAATTAAGACTATAAATTTGAGCCACTATGTTGCTAGACAGGATTTTAATTTCTATTATGCTTTTTAAATAGTCATCATTCATTAATTAAATGACTATTCATTTAACACCTTCCATGTGCCAAGCATTGTCTTAGAAGAAAAACTAAAATTATAATTACAATTTTAATTTTCTCTTGGGACAATAGATTTTAAGACACTCTTTATCCTTTTAAATTTGTTAGATTTTTGTGGGTTTTGACTTTTTGCTTAAACTTATATTATTAATGGTTAGTCATTGAATTATACTCAGAGGAATCTGTCTACAAATATTCTAGAGTTGGAAACCTTTTGAGTTTTTCCCTTGCAGCTTCATGTATGATGAACTTTTGTAAATATTTCACAAGTGACTGAAAAGAGGGAAAAGTCTCTCTGTGATGTTTGTTAAAATTTATTAATTATAATATTCAGACTCTGTTGATTTTCAAAGTCTGAGAGATCTGTGTTAGAACGTAATGAATGTTAGTTAATGAGTGCAAGGTTCTAGTTAGGAAGAATAAGTTCAGGTGTCCTATTGCACAGCATGGTGACTATAATTAATAATAATGTAGTGCATATTTCAAAGTAGTTGAAAAAGGATTTTAAATGTTCTCACCACAAAGAAATGATTACTTATTTAAGATGATGAATATGTTAATTAGCCTGATTTATTTCATAATGTATGCACATATTAAAACATTACATTGTACTCCATAAATGTATACAATAACCATTAGTCAATTAAAAAAAATTTTTTTTTTGAGACAACATCTCGCCTTGTCTCCAGGCTGCAGGGCAGTGGCGTGATCTCGGCTCACTGCAACCTCTGCCTCCCAGGTTCAAGTGATTCTCCTGCCTCAGCCTCCCGAGTAGCTGGGACTACAGGCATGTGCCACCATGCCCAGCTAATTTTTGTATTTTTAATAGAGATGGGGTTTCACCATGTTGGCCAGGATAGTCTCGATCTCTTGACCTCATTATCCACCCACCTCGGCCTCCCAAACTGCTGGGATTACAGGTGTGAGCCACCACTTTTTTTTTTTTTTTTTTTAAGACAGGGTCTTGCTCTATCACCCAGGCTGAAGTGCAGTCGCATGATCTCCACTCACTGCAACCTCTAACTCTCAGCTTCAAGTGATTCTCGTGCCTCAGCCTCCTGAGTAGTTGGGATTACAGGTGCATACCACTACACTGGCTAGTTTTTGTATTTTTAGTAGATATGGGTTTTCTCCCTGTTGGCCAGCTGGTCTTGAACTCCTGACCTCAAGTGATCTGCCTGCCTCGGCCTCTCAAAGTGCTGGGATTTACAGTCATGAGCCACTGTGCCAGGCAAAAACTTAAATTTAAAAAAACAGTTATGAGCCTGAAAAATGTGTTATCTGAAATATGTATTGCTATGTTTCAATGCACACATCTGACTGTTACATTGTAATTCTAAATTATAATTGGCATGATAGAACAAAAGTCTTCCATCCATATTTTTTGGCCTAAAACAATTTTTCCTAAAATTAATATTGTCACATATTTTTCTTTCTGTATTTTCTGGAAAACTCATGCCTATCAAATTATTTTTTAAACATGAATAACTAATAGTAGATAAGTGAGAGATTTAGAGATAGATGCAGGATATGACCTCAATAAGGAGCTCGCTGAAATTGCCCTCATTTCTGGCCCTTAATGAGCTTGGGGCCTCTGAGTTAGTGGGTGATAGATAAAATATTTACATCATCGTGAAAGGCACACCTGTTTTGTTTCAATGCATAAAATCATAGGCAATCCACTGATTTTTTAATTCCCCAACCCGGTTTCTTCAACCTTATTTGTAGGGGAAGTATGCCTAGATTCTGGCATGAAGTTGTTGGTCATTCATAGTTTTCAGTCTGGTGATTTTTCATGGGCATACTGGGAGAAATTGTACCTGGGAGTATTAGTCTGGTGCTATTTTAAAGCTAGGGATTAGGCTCTGGTCTTGACATGAAAATTGCCTAAATGATATGCAAAATAAATAGAACATCATCTGGTTATATTTTGATAATGTGATTTCTCATGCTCTTGAAACACTGAATTATAATTTAAAAGGTGATGAAGTCGTTAGGAAGTATTACCTGAAAAAATCCTCTACTGTATGTGCTCTTTTCAGTTGCAGACAACTTATTAGAAATAATGAATATAAGGGTTTTTACAGGTTCCCAAGAGAAATAATCAGCTCATCACTTCAGTATTTTTAAATATGTAGGAGGTAAGCAGGAAGAGATTTCAGGAATAACAGTTTGTAGCCTGTCCAACAAAACCAGAATTCTGACACATGGCTCAGAATGACACTGGTATTCTGGCCATTTGGTCCTCCCTTGTGACTGCTAACTGCTACATGTAGTCAACTAAGCCAGACTCTGGTCCAATTTCAGCAGAATAAGATGAAACTTAACAACATACTGAAATGCCTTTTAGTGATTTACCTACACTTTAAATAGTCCTAAGTGGATCTTTTATTTAATTTCTATAAGGGTATTAGAAAGACTTCGAGAAATGTTAGAGTAACTCTTAGCAGCTGCAAGGAGCATGGGCTCTATTTTTCCCACAATGGTGCAGGGAACTCTGTAACTGAATCTTTACGTGATAACCTAAAAATGCAGCAAAATCCAGACCTCACCGAATCCCCTTAGTAGTGGTGCAGAATTGTTCAGATCTCTCCATTTTCCAAGGGACTTGAATTTAAAAATTAGTTAATTTGTACGTAAGCAAAATCACAAGCCAGTTAACTAGGCTGGACTGTTGCTATGTGTATGTGTGGTAGGCTGGCAGATCATGTGCATGAGACTGATCTCCTCCCCTCCCTGCTTCCTGATCCGGCACATGGTGGTCAGGAGAAGGGGAGAAGATGCAGGAGGAAGAGTGGGGAAAAGAAACAAGGAATGCAAATTGGAGCAACTCCTGACCTCAGCTGAAGAATCGTGGTCTGGACAGCATCCTCCCCAGGGCAGAGCTCCTCATGCAGAAACAGAGCAAGACAAAAGTTGCAGTCCTCCAGCCCAACAGAACCACTGCCCTCTCCCACTGTTCCCTCTTGAGATGCTCAGACCAACAGAACCACTGCCCTCTCCCTGTTCCCCCTTGAGATACCCAGACCACAGAACCACTGCCCTCTACCACTGCTCCCCCTTGAGATACTCAGACCACAGAACCACTGCCCTCTCCCTGTTGCCTCTTGAGATGCTCAGACCAACAGAATCACAGCTCTTTCCCTGTTCCCTCTTGAGATGCTCAGACCAGCAGAATCACTGCTCTCTCCCTGTTCCCTCTTGAGATGCTCAGACCAACAGAACCACTGCTCTCTCCCCGTTCCCTCTTGAGATATTCAGACCACAGAACCACTGCCCTCTCCCCGTTGCCTCTTTAGATGCTCAAATCAACAGAATCACCGCTCTCTCACTGTTCCCTCTTGAGATGCTCAGACCAACAAAACCGCTGACTTCTCCCTGTTCCCTCTTGAGATACTCAGACCAACAGAACCACCGCTCTCTCCCTGTTCCCTCTTGAGATACTCAGACCAAGAGAATCACTGCCTTCTCCCTGTTCCCTTTTGAGATGCTCAGACCAACAGAACCACTGCCTTCTCCTTGTTCCCTCGAGATACTCAGACCAACAGAATCACTGCTCTCTCCCTGTTCCCTCTTGAGGTGCTCAGACCAGTAGAACTACTGCTCTCTCACTATTCTCTCTTGAGATAATCAGACTGACCTCACAAGGTTTTTGTGAAGATTCATTAAGAAACTTCCAGAAATCTTCCCTTAATAATGTATGTATATTACCAAGAGTAAATAACTTGCTTCCAAGTTCCCAAAGTGACTTTGAATCACAGATAACTATAACAATCTATATTCCCATGAGTGCTGAATGACCTTAAAGTATTTTTTCTTACTGTTTTACTACTTACAAAGATAAAATGACAGTTTTTAGAAAATTAAAAAAAAATACAAGAGAGAAAAAAATAAGTCCCAAGACTAACTACTAAGTCAGCTACTGTCAAGGATTTGATGGACACCCTTCCAAAGCTGGCCGTATAATATATGGATATATATGTATGACCATATATGTATATAATCTGCACATAAATGGGATCAAAATATACATGCTGTTTTACAAGCTGTTTTTTTCAACAATATGCCAAAAAGATTTTTTAAGACAGTGTACAGACAGATACACACACACACACACACACACACACACACACACACACACACACATAATCTTGTTTAAGAGCCATGTAGTAATCTATTGTGTGGGATTTTTCACAATATCTTTAACTAGTTTCCTATTGATAAGCAACAAGATTTCTTCTACTGTTTACTGTTATAAACATGGGTGCGATGCCATGTCCTTGTGTTTACATCTTTTCTTACTTATCTGAGTACCCCCTTTGGAAAGATTTCTTAGAAATGGGATTGTTAAAGGCAACACATGCAAAATTTTGATGTTGCCAAATTTCCCACCAAAAAGGCGCTACCAATCTATATTCCCATGAGTGGTGTATGTCCTTTCCTAAAGCAGAAAGAATTGCATGGTTAAAAACAAAAAGCATGAGCCCATGATGACAATCAAGGCTGTAGGGAAAGAAGTTAGTGAGGATCTGATGGCAGCATCCAGAGAAGAGATTGCCATGGGGAATCTGAATTCATGCATTGGCAATAAGCAGCAACACGGAAAAAGAGAGCAGAGTATTCCAAGTATTGTTAATAGCTTCTGATACTATCATCAGCTTTGGTTAAAATAAGTTATAAGCTGCTGCTTACAGTCATGTTTAAGAATAAGAATTAATGAACATGTAAGTAGCAGCCTTGTGTATGTCACCATATAATATGCTCTAAATGATGCACTCAAATTACCATATATCAGCACCCACTCCATTTAAAGACAAAGTGTTGAGGATACTGAAAGCTCTAAAACATGAGTTGCCAGGCTGAAGTAAAGAATTCCAGTTCTCTGTATATCTATTATCTATCTATCAATCATTTACTTGTCTATCTATCTATGTATCCATCTATGTATCTATCTAGCATCTATCATGTATCTATATGTCTATGTATATATTTATGTATGTATCTATCAACCAACCATCTAATAAACAATGCCCAACTTGTATATCAGTTAACCTTCAATTCTACAGACATTGAAAAATAACATTCCCTGGTATAGTTTAATGAAAAGGATGCTGAATCTAAGAAGATACTTAAATTAAGGCAAATGATGTTTTGCAAAGACTTTGACTCTTCAGACTGGGGTAAAAAATTACAATTACTAAAGCTAACTTTAATACAATTTGCAGCTCAAACTAAGACATGCATTAACCAATAGTTGACTGTGTTGGCTAAAGAGAAAAATCCTAAGTGGGAAACTACTCAAGCAAGTGTTTGTCTGAGTGAGCTTCCCTAGAAGTGGCGCCTAAGATGATGATTCTTGAACAAGTGTTCTATTCAGAAAACAGCTATGAGGAAGTAAGGAAAGCGGGACGGGACAAAAGAAGCCAGGCAGACATGTGGTTTCAGCTGAAGACTAATATTAGCTTGATTCCACAGGGAGCTCAACAGCTTGAGTAATATCACAAACACGTCTTACCTTGAGGCAAGGAGGGTGGGATTTTCCATCCCTGTATCAGTTACTCATTGGCTGTAAAGTGCCTCATGAACATCCACCAGGGCATTTCTGGATGAGGCATTCAGTGCTCCAGAGAAAGATGCCTCGGTGAGCTGTTGTTGGCCAACACTCATGGCAGCTGGGGATGGTTATGTGGGCTGGTGGAGGGGGATCAGGATGAGACACCACAAACACTTAATACTACCCACCCCTTGCAACTCTCAGACCCACTTGCTTTTCACATTAATGTCATTTTCTTTGGGCATGCCTTTGCCAGGATTGTGGTTAGTCAAAATTTCTGAGCACACTTACAAGGAAAGAGTCAATTAGACAAACTGGTAGCCCCTACTGCTGATTAATTAACAGTACTGAATTAGATGAAGAGAAGGCAACAGCATTCCAGAAGTACAGCCTGTCATGAGGCCATCACTGATATTTATCATCTCCCTCCACTATAACCGCTTTGGATACACCTTCAGCTCAACCAGCACTTCCTAGTAAAGGTGGCTCACCTGGTGAGAGTGGGAGAATCATTTCCTCAGCCCTTAGTTACCATTCCCTTATTCGGCTTTGGATGCTGTACTTGAATATGCAGAATCTGAAGTCAACATAGGGGTTCCAAGATATGCTCCAGAGGATCACCTGGATGCCAGACTGTTTCCTTCTGCCCCCATTTATAGCAGCTGTCCTACATGCCCCTGACACTCAGGTTTGTTTACTCTGCTAGATGGTAAATTTATTCTTTGACTATAGTCTACAGACAACAGCTACAGCTGTAAGTTTAGTGGAACTCTCACTGCATCCTCTAGTAGAAGCAACTATGCCCAGAGGACCAAAACCTCTAGACTCACAGAGTATAAAGGTACAGGCATGAGAAGCACAAATTTTCTGTCCCTGGGAGTGATGGTGAGAGGCACCACTCCAACTTCCACTCCTTGGTTACTGGGCCAAATGTATTCTGCCAAGTGAGGAGCAGCACCCTGCAATGGACACGTCGGTTGCCTCCTAAAGTACCTGATAGGATGGTGCATGAAGGATATATAGCAGTAATACTCATAGTAACTGGAGAATGGAAATACTATCTTTCCAGGTAAAGGAATTCTGCATGAGTCACCAAAAGCACATACTACATGATTTTAGACATTGCTCAAGATTTTATATAGATTCTTAGTATCAATGAACAGTTGGTTCCGCTCTTAACAATAAAACTTCAAAACTAACACCAGCATATTATTTAGTTTTCACTCGTTTATTCAGCATTTGTTGAATATCTCCTATTGAGCAGGCACCTATTCTAAGCACTAGAGATTCAGTAATAAGTAAATACCCTCTTGACAAATAGTTGACAAAGAAGTAAAGAGATAATTAGCATGCAATGTGATAATAGTCACAACAGGAGCGTGAACCCACATTTGAACTTGAATGTGATGATTGAATAGGCATTTTCCAGGTGGAGAAGGAAGGGCAAAGAAACAGCAAGAAACACCAAGTGGCAAATGTTAAGGTTCTTAGAGAAGAATAACATGTCAATGGTGGAGCACAGGTTGTCTATATGTCTGCATTTCCAAAAATGTATATCATGGTACAAACCCCTAGAGAGATGCTCTTGGGAGAAAAGCTTCCAAGTCAAATATGTTTGGGAAAGTCAGCATATTACTGGCTCACAGCCCCTTATAATCAATTCCAAAATCCAAACATCTCAGAAAAACAATTTGTGTAATTCTTCAGGCTGCAAAACCTTACCTGAACTGACGTGAGACTATTTTTGGTCTTTATTTATCTCAGTATGATGGTCATATGTTTCAAAACAGAAATAACAATGTGTTTGATTGCTAGGAAGTATCATTTGATAGTGGTATATATACCAACCATTTACCTTTCTAAACATCTAAAACTTTCTGAATTCCAAACACATCCAGTAAAGATTTTTGGATAAAGGACTGTGGACCTGCACGATCTCCTCTTAGAGAGTTACAATGCAAATTACCAGTTTCTAAGTTCTTCAGTAAATTAACTAAATTTATTTCACCTAGCATTTTCAACATCGATTAACTTTTAAACATTTAACTTCCCCCTTTTACTTACAAAACACCTACTAACATCCCAAGAAAAAGTATAATTAATATCCCAAGGAATGAGTTTAGGAAATACTATTTAGTATAAGCACTGAGCAGACAACTGAAGTCTCAGTAAAAGGGAAAAAAATTGCATTGTTTTCCAGGATGGTAAGTCTATTTTCAGTAAAGATAGCAGACTGATGCACACTTCTGGTTAGGAGACTTTTGCATAGTGCAGGCAAGAAAGAATATAAGCTTGAACCAAGACATTCCAAATGGCACATATTTAAGTGGAGAGATCCAAATATGGGGACAATTTCAGGGTGAATTGATAGCTTTTGGAATTTGATAAGGTATAGAGGGAAAAGAAAAATGGAGAGTTCATTGTAATTCCGGGTTTTCTAAATTGAGAGAATAGATGAATGGCAATGCTATCCACTGGGCTAGGGAATCAGTCAGTGCTTAAGAGAGATGACAAATAAGGTATAAAGTTTCAGGTGTCTGGCAAAGTATAGGTGCTGAAGCATAAGGAAATTAGGCAGTGCTTCTCAGAGAAGCAATTAGTCTGCTGATATGGAGCTGGGATTCATCTATTAATATAATGGTATGAGAGAGTATAAGAGTTGAAAAAGCCATCACCGGCAGAATAATAAAGCCAAGAATGCAGAATAATAAAGCCAAGACCAGAAAACTTGTAATACATTGGCATGGGTAAAAGGAGAAGAATTGGAGGAAGTGTTACTTAAGGAGAAGTAAGAGTGCTGAGAGAGGCGGTAGCAGAAGCACAAAGAGCTTCAAGGATTTGGTTGTGGGTGTTCCCCACTGCATGAGTCAAGGGTGAAGAGGCCTGAAAATAGATCATGGCATTGGACAACTATCAGGTCACTGATGTTGCCCTGTCCTGACAGGGCAGGAGCTGCCTCTGTGTTTGTGTTTCACACAAAAACTAGATCCAAGTGGGTTGAGGAGTGCTTTAGTGAGCTTTGGCTTCCATAACAAATACCATCAACTAGATGGTGTAAATAACAAAAATTTATTTTTTCACAGTTCTGGAGAATGCAAAGCTCAAGATCAATGTCTAGACTTGACCTTGGACTTGGTCTGGGAGAAGAAGGAAGAAGGTGAATTTGGGGCTTGTTCTGGTTTGCTCTGGAGATGAGGTAGACAAAAATTGAGTTAATTGTATCTTCAGTGGTGTCAGTTTCCTTGAAATTGATGTTGAATTAGACCTGAAATTTAATTGAACAAGACAACAGATGATAATGATATTTCCTTTCCGTGTTTTGAAGTAGATGCCTTGTAAAAAACAAAGAGGGCATGTCTCCAGTATGTGGCAGCAGTTCAGTTGGACTACATATCCATGAAGGATATGTATTGCTTAAATATTTAAACAGACTTCTTATCAACCTATGAAATAGATACAGAATTATGTAAGATTAAAAGCTTACCCCCATTGCCACCACTTTTCAGATGAGAGATAACACAATGAAATTTCCTGTCCTCAAACCCACCAATAATCCTAAGCTTATTTCATATCTCAAAGGTTGGTGCCATCTGAATGGACAGGGCACCATTTGTCCCATCCTCACCCTCACAGAATGGAGAGGTTGGCAATAACCGGTTCATCAGCAGGAACAAGTCTTAGCTTAATTCTGCTATATATGAATGGAGAAACACCTGCACAG
Source organism: Homo sapiens (assembly GCF_000001405.40). Lineage (NCBI taxonomy): Eukaryota > Metazoa > Chordata > Mammalia > Primates > Hominidae > Homo > Homo sapiens. The sequence continues at coordinate 41,276,879 of NC_000007.14, read as the reverse complement.
CTCTTTATAATGTCATGAGAGGTGAGAACTTTAAGCAGAATGAAAGGAAGGAGAGTTAAAAGCATTGAAAGGATTCTGCGGAATAACACTCTCAGAGCCAGGTAGCTCTCTGTGTAGCTGGGAAACAAAGACCCATTGATTCTTTTTTTTTTCAGCTCACCATTCAGCCCACACTCATTGTGTACCCACAGTTTGTCAGGTACTGAGCTAGGCACAGGGAATACAGTTGCTCTTGAGGTAAGCAAGACTGTTGTTAAATAAGCAATTACAACAAAGTGAGATGTTGTGATAAGGACGCCTGGGTATTATAAAAGCGTAGAACAGAGGGGTTTAAATAGGATGTGGCATTTAGAATCCACAGGGTAAACAGTAGTTAATTAGATGAAGAGAAAGGGGCAACTTTCCAGAAGTGCAGATGAGCAAGAAGTAGAGGCCCAGATGTGTGAAGGAGAACAGAAAGAGTTCCAATATACCCAGGGAGAGAAAGCACACACACACACACACACACACACACACACACACACACCTGCATGCACGCACATGCACACACACACATGTGCACACACACACACATACACACACACACATCCAAAACAGCTGGGCCTGATTGAAAGAGAGAAAACAAACAAAGCCAAGGTAGGAAAGTTGGCCATGGCCAAGTCGAGGATGACTTTTTAACTCAAATTAAGGTATTTGAACCACATCATATGGCTGTAATAGAATCAGATCTGCAGGACAAGATTAGAATTGCATCTTAGGAAAAGAATCTACATTCAGCAGGCAGGAGGGATTAGAATTGAGGAGCCTGTTCCCAGGGTGATGGTAGTTGAAAGCTAGGGTGGGCAGAAGCTGGTGACCCAGAGCACTTCAGAGCAAACAAGCATTACCCATTTGAGTTGTGCAGATAGAATGCAACACCAACACAGCTTCCTCTACGCCTGTGGCTCTTCTCCTAGGGTCTTACTGGCCTAGAGACTGTACTGGGAGGGGTGCCCGTTAACCACCTGTGATGTCTAAACGACTTGCTGCTGCAATATCTACCTTTACTCTTTGCACTGTGTGGTTTGGGTGTGTGACTATTTGTGTCATTTTATTTTTCTCCTGCAAATGTTAAAATCTGTTTTGTACTACTGAGGAATTTAGTTTGGCTCATGGAGATTTACTCCAAAGCAGAGGCCTGGAGGCAACCAAGCTTAACCCACCCAGTGCTGCAGAACAGAGCGATCAATAATCTGGTCAGTCAACAGGAACAAATGTGATGAGGAGGAAAAGCGCTACCAGAGGCCTGGTGCTGAGCTGGAATCGTGGTGAAGCAAAGATGACAGATGCCACTGCTTTCTGCCAAAGACCCATTCCAACCCCATTCGTGCATCGTGTAAGGATGAGCGTGCAAAAATCACCATAAAAACAAAGGCAGCCTGTTGGGCTGGGCATGGTGACTCCGGCGAATGGGGCTGCCTGCACGCTGGTGCATTGCTGTGCCTGCTGGGGTCTGGGGTGGCCAATCTGGTCTGGTCAGACCTTCACTCCTCTCCTGTTCCTTCGTCTCTATGCTGGTGGTAGGGGATCTGCAGCCATCCTGCCTCTGTTGGAGAAGGACCACAAAGAAGAGCAGGGACTCAGCCCTAGCAACAAAGGCTCTGCAAATAAGTGTACCCCAGGAGTAGGGCAACAGAGCTGCTGCTGTTACTCATATGAGCCTGGAAAAGGCAAGTCCATCTCAATCTGCAAGTGTTTAAACAGAGACATTGAGCACATCAGGTTGCCATGAAAAAGATGGATATTAAAAGCAACTTCATGTTTGGCCACTTTGAAATTTCCTACTGAATACCGCTGAGGTTGACCTGATGGTGGGCAGGGAGGGTGATTTTAACATGCAGCTTCCTTTTATAAAGCCTGGGCCTGGGAGTTATTAAAGATGGGGTGGAACGCTTTCATCTTTACTAACTGTGTATTAACACACGGTTAGCACTCTGTAGTTCATTTGCATGGGCTTTCTGGTCACAAATAGAGGGCAGATGGCATGCTACTGCTGAACCAGACTCCAGGCTTCACCTCACTTGCTTTATTCTAATGAGCTCCAGGTCGTGGGTGAGCAGAGGGTTTTGCTGTGCTTGTATGGCCTTCTAGGGGGATGTGTTGAAGAACAGTTCTGGAATCTCTACACAGCAACCCACTGAGGGGCTGGGGTCTTGATTCACATAGGCCCTCTCTGGAAGGAACTGATATCTAGATCTGCTGCCTGCCACAGGCAACCAGAAGTACCTGCCTCCTGGAGTGTGTCCTAGAGAACACTGGCTTTGGCACTAGGCACAAACTGCATGGACGCCAGTCCACAGCCATGCGGTGAGAGGGAGGGGGATTCCTCAGGCCGGAGATGGCCAGCCAGAAAGAAGCCTTTGACCCAGAGGCTGCTCAGCTGTCTGGCCCACTACTGGCCCTGTGGTGCTCCCCAGCCATGCTCAGCTCTTTCTCTCCTCTTTCTATCAGCACTGCTTCCCAGTAAGAGATACTGGAGGGAGGACAGTCATTCCCCTGATAGGAAAGCAAGGACATTAGGGTCACCGGGAATTAAGCAGAGGTGTGATAGCATGACCCAGAAAGGAGGCTGAAAGCAAAGAGATAGTAGCCAGAGTGAACTCAGTGCAATGCCAGCAATTCAAGGCAACGTCAAACAATGTGGTCTCAGCAGATGCCCACTCCAACATAGAGAGGCGGCCAGTGAGGCTTTAGGGTTTCCTGCCGAGGTTAGGGCCTTGGAAGAATGCTGATAAAGAGCCTATTACAGAAGGACAGGGAAGGCCATTTAGTCTAGGCTTCAAATTCAGACTTTTGATATTATCTTCAACTGAGTTTATTTATTTAGTCACTGAGATACAGTGACTGGATTGGAAGAAGATGTCTATGTTTTCATAGTCAATATTTTCATAAGTTCTGGCTGTCTTGTGAATAGCTCAATATATTTTATTTTTTGAAATAAATTTGCTAAATGTAAACATTTAAAAATGAACCACAGAATTTATAGTACTCTTCTGATATATCTTTATGTTTTATACCTGGAGTTTTAACAAAATCAAAGTAGCCTTAGTTTCTCCTGAACTCTGAGAGATCCTGGTTATTCCTCCCTCTCACCCTCCCAAAATAAATTAGACATTTTTCATTTTATTCAAAATTAAGGCAAATGCCTAACTGACACTTAGAGCTAACCAACTAATGCCTGAATTGTAGAATCTGAAAACATCAACTTGTGACCAACTTAGCAACTTAACACAAAGCCAAATGTGTCCCCATATGGCACAACACTAAGATCATAGGAAATTTAAAAAGACGCACCTGCTCTGGCCTTGGCTTTGCCACTAACCAGGTGCGTGTCTAGATGATGTTCTTATGCTTCTGTGAGCCTCCGTTTTCTCACCTATGAGACATCACAGGGGAGAACTGAATTAATCATGTCATATACCCTGCACAGGATTTGGCCCATAGAGGTCCGTTTTCCTCTCTTTTTCTAATTCTGGGGCTCACTCTTCTTTTCTGTTAAGATGCGAAGGTTTCAAACTCTAACACCTTCTATTTTCAAAAGAAATCTAAGTAGTGATTTTTGTTTTCTCTATGCCACAGATGATGACATCGTTCTTTGTTCCTTAAAGGCAGACCTTGATCTATGACATTACAGCTATGGCCCATAAAACGAATGTAGGAATGACCCCCTCATACACGGGCAACTACCAGGAAACAGGGTCTCATCACATCCTCCTTCCACCTGGCCTTGTCCAGCAAAATCCTGAACAATCCTTCCAGCCCAAACCAAAGGTCTCCTTCTGTCACGTGGCCTTTGGTAATCACCCTTTTCGGAAGTGAATGTCCCCTCTCCAGGGCACCCTCGGTCACATGCATGCTCACTTTGGTGTAATGAGTACCTTGGAGAAGGGACCATGTGCCCGTAGGTTTCTGTGACATCACCTTCTCTTTGTCTCCAACCTCCTGCACTGCAGACTGCTCATCCTCCTGCATCTCCTCTTTGAGGTGTCTAGAGGAGACCAAGGGAAACACTGTGAGCATTTGTATTCAAGCCACACATGAGAGCCACATATGAAACTTTAAATGCACACAATGTCACTGCTTCATTTGCATAAACAATGAGCACGATGCAATAAACTTTCCTACAATAAACACATAACCTATTGATAGCAGGTCAAAGAGAAAAAAAGTTTTCTGTTTGTAGTTTCAACACTAAAGAAGCCAAGGTAGGTTATAAACTATACCTATTTTTGAAGCATACAAGGCGTTAATTAAAAGCACTATTGAGTAAATGGCTAGAATAAATGAGACATTTCAAGTATGGAAGATATATGAGCTAAGGAGAGACGACCGAGATTGCAACGAGGGACATATATAATTTACTGACATAAAAGAGACTCACCGAATAAAGCCAAACCTTTCCACTCTTGTGTTTATAAAAAGGAGTAGAAGCCAGGAATGGACATATGGTGTCCCTGGGGAGGAAAGAAGACAGATGCAAAGTAAGTTATGTTCTTGCCACAACAGGTGATCAAGAAATTTATAATTTTTGAATTAATAACCAAGGCAACTCCAAGGCCAGAGAGAAAACTGTCACAGTATTTTGAGGGCAGTGGCAAAAGAGAAAAGAATATCAGCGCTTATGAGAAAAAGTCAAAGTTTAACACCTGGAAAAAGCATCTTTCCCTTAAACCTGGAGACTTAGCTTACTTTGTAGAAAGCAGCCCTTTGGGGATGTAGTCTTGTACCCCTTCCCCTATTTTCTCTGGTCAGGACACCGGAGGCAACTCTTAAAGGACTTGAAGACCAGCCAAATTGTCATTTGACCACAATGAGAGGGAGCAAAGAAAGGCTGAGGAGGGGGCGGAGAGATGGGGAGCCTGTCCCAGGGTTTAGAAAAGACTGAAAAGACAAACAAGAGAGAAGGGGCTGTACGAGGAAGAGGAAGCAGCAGGGCCCTTAGCAAGAACATTATGGGTTATGAAAGTGGAACACTTTGCTACTTCAGGTTCCTAGGAGTGAAGAGCATAAAATAAGGCAAAATATATAAATATTTCCATGTTGTAAGTTATTTATATTAAAAATAATATAGGATGGGCCAGGGATAGTAGCTAATGCCTGTAATCCCAGCATTTTGGGAGGCTGAAGCGGGCAGATCACTTGAGGTCAGGAGTTTGAAACCAGCCTGGCCAACATGGTGAAAACCTGTCTCTACTAAAAATACAAAGATTAGCTGGGCATGGTGGTGCACACCTGTAATCCCAGCTACTCGGGAGGCTGAGGCAGGAGAATTGCTTGAACCTGGGGGGCAGAGGTTGCAGTGAGCCAAGATCATGCCACTGCATTCCAGCCTGGACAACAGTGAGACCCTGTCTCAAAAATAATAATAATAATAATATGTTTAATAGATCAACTGATGAATCAAAATGCATACTGCAACCATTTTAGGTAACATTTTATAGATTTTTCCTAAAAACAAAACAAAACAAAAACAAAAACAAAAAACGACAACTAAGGCTGCCTGAGAGCTCACAAACCCTGAGCACTGTACTGAGGGCTTGACTCATTCAATTTTCAAAGTAGCTCCATGAGCGAGGAGTTTTGTTTATCCCTTTTACCAGATGCCAAATGAGTTTTGTTTTTGCCAGAGCAGTCCATTAAGAATTACAAGGAAATAACTCACAAATTAGCCCTCTCTGTGGCACCTGCAGGTTATTGGATATTCGGTCAAAGCCTCAAACATGGAATGGGATCCCGAGTCTAGTCCACCTTGAGAATGGATGAACCTGGCACTTGAATGCTATGGCCAGATGCAGCATGGTTATGTGCAGGAGAGGGAGAGGTTATGCCCACTTGAGTACTTCGGGTAAAACAAGCACCCACTTGAAGCAGAGGGAGGAAAAAGGGACGCTTACGCTTACGTGTCCCTTGTTCCTACTTGAATTACTGGCTTCACTGAGGCAGCAGTGATGTGTGGGCCCTGCCAGCCTTCCATAGGAGCTCTGCATCCTGCCATTCGTGAGAATCACCTAAGGAATTTTACAAGCCCAGATTCTGATGCCCTAGCGCAGACCCTCAGAAAGACCCAGGCGGGAGGGCCAGGGCTGGGGACACTATAACCTGAAGGACACCCTGGTGTGATTCTGACACTTGGCCATGTGTGTGAACAGAAACCCAGTCCTGGGGATAAGTTGAAAATAATGTTGATGTCTCTGAATTTTTGTTTTTCATGTTTTCTTCAAGTTAGCATGAAAAATAGTTAACAAAGAGAGAGGTAACAACTGACATCTCTCGGCTACTTAGTTTGCTCCAGGCACTGAGCTAAGTACTTACTGTGAATTACCTCATTTTATCACGATGATAAATTTACCAGGTACTACAATTATTATCCCTCTTTTACCAATGACAAAGCTAGGGTTTAGAGCAGTTAAGGAATTTGGCCAAGGTTAAGCATTAATTAGATTCAAAATATCCAAGGGAGTATAACTAAAACCCAAAAGGGGTCTAGTAAAGTATTTATGAAATTGAGACGGACTCTTTGACCACTCTTGGTTTTTGAGGCACATTCCTGGGATACAGTTATTTAATGTAACCTAAATGTGAAGGTCCTCATTTGCAAAGTGGGTGCAGATTGACCTCATTCCCTGGAACAGGCTTGCCTCCTTGAGGCAATTCAGAGATGAGGAGGATGTTTAGAAGGTATTTCTACAAAATCCTGGTGTGAAATCAAGTAAGTTGAATCTGAGAACAACCTTTGTTTAAATTTAAGCAAAAGAAGCAAACCACTGATATTCTTTGGAAGACTTGCTAAATAACCACACTTTGGAAATGTTGATCTGATGACTTTTAAAAAGAGTAGCATAACCAATCCCTAGTTGACCAAGTGCATGTTTATCCCATTAGATTCAAGTGGGTTCTAAAGGCTTGAAAACAAATATTTCCTGAGAACAGTCCTTGGGGAGAGTTATTTTGTCAATGGAAAGATTTCCAAATGTAACCCCAAATCTGTAGAACTGTAAATAAATCATACCATAATGCCATCAAGACATTTTCTGGTAAAAGTTAAGTAAATGCTGTTTACTGAGGGTCAAATACCCAAGCACTGACAAATGTAACAGTGATTCCTCAATTGCAATGTGCTCTCATCCACCAGATGATAAGCCAATGGCTAGGAAAGCCATCCCCCAATAAACGGTCCTGGCCACTTGAGAATAGTCATTGAATGCTTGTAATAGCCCACTGCAGAGAGCAGAGAGGAATCTAGAATTCATAGGAAGTTTCCTAGGGATAGCTCAATCCTTTAGGAAGGTGAACTAGTCAAATAAAAACTAAAATCATAAATAATGATTTTGGTTTGTCTGCGGTGTAACTGAAGACTTTCTGGAGTTCCTCACAGCCTGCGAATATTGACTGATCCCATAAAGCTCAAGGATTTTTCACAAGGAGCAAGTCCAAGAATGAATCCCCTAATTATGGTAGTTATTTTTATGTAAATAAAATAAGCACATGTTCATTTATTCTCAACTTTCCAACAGAAATGCCATGGACAGAATATTAGAAATGGTACAATTTTTGTAGTGTTCTGGTGGAGAAACATGACCTTTGGAATCAAGCAAACATAACCTGTTTTTTAAGTTCTGGATTCTCCCTCTTAAAATGTGTAAGTTTATGCATCTTACCTCTCTAACCATCGGTCACTGCCTCTATGAAAATGGAGGCAATGATACACAGTATTGGAGAGTTCTGGTTGAGGGGATGGCTGAGTCATGGCTACGCATTGCCTGTCAAGCTCAATGTGATTGATGCTCAGTGAACACCAGTTGCTTTTTGTGACTTCCTGAAATGCTTCATCTTCCATTTTAACAACACCACTGTCTACCATCACAGCTAGGTACATCTGAGACAGTCAGCAAAAAGAAGGACATTTGTTTCAGAAACTTCAGAGTTATGGAAATAATAATATACCTAAATGGAATCACAAATTTGAACTGGGTCTGAGCAAAAAATTCTCCTGCAAAAGCTTCCCATCTCCATTTTTCTCCCCTCTCAAATTACTCAAAAGCTTTGGTTTTGATTAAAATATAACACTTGAAATTTTTCTTTAACATTTAATGTTAAAAGAAATGGCCGATGTTCAGTCATTTTTAAGTATTTTTGGGATATATATATATATATATATCAAGTGTTTTTAAATGGGTGTGACACATTTTGCTTCCTCACAACAAATTTTAACATGTGTTATTCAACTTTGCTTTCACAATTCATCTTCTTCTGAAAAAGAAAATCTTAAAAAGTTTCCTTAGGACTAAGACAAGACAGGGAAAACTTTCACTCTAGGAAAATAATATTAGATTTGACATAAATTAGATGCTTGCCAGTAACTAAACCACACCTGTCAAATAAGATGTTAAAATATGAAATAGAATATTAGCAAAAGTTGATTTTGCTAGTGATGGAGCATTAGATTTAACTGTGTTGCAACCAAAGGGAAGGGGAATTTGAAGGCAGATCTGTCTTAGTTGAAGAAGCAAATATTCATACAATAAAGAGATTAACCACCAGACTTTTCACTGTACTTTCTCTCCCAAGTAACTTTTGGAAATAAAGAAAAAAATATAGCTAATTTCTCTGCAAAAAAAAAAAAAAAAAAGAAAGAAAGAAATTGCATTACTCTTACAATACTTTTATTTAGCAATACCTTCAAAAGTATGGAGTGCAAAACAAGCAAAAATACAAGTACAAATAAAAACAAGAAAGCAATCACAACACGATGTGATAAGGGATTCTATAATTGTATTGATGCACTGTGGGATTAGCTAGAAGGGCACCTAACGCAAAGCAGAGTGGAACTTGAACATTCGAGATCATTTCCAAACATGCATTTTATTGCTCCTCAATTTGTGCTTAGTTCTCCTTGGACGTATACACCAGTATTTCTCAAGCTTTTTTTATTTTTTGGGACATAGTTTCTCTCTGTTACCTTGGAGCGGGCTGGAGTGCAGTGGCATGATCACAGCTCACTGCAACCGTGAACTCTTGGGCTCAATGATCTTCCCATCTATAGGTGCATGACCCATCTAAAATATATGTATTTTGTAGAGATGGGGTCCTGGGCTCAAGTGATTCTCCCTCCTTATCCTCCCAAAGTAGGTATTACAAGCATGAGCCACTGTATCTGGCCATGTTTCTCAAGCTTTAATGGGCATGGAATCAACTGGACATTTTGTTAATATCCATTTTCTGATTCTGTACATCTAGGGTGAAATTTGAGATTTTGCATTTCTAACCAGCTCTAGGTGATAACCGAAGCTGATGGTTCCTGGACCACACTGTGAGTAGCAAGGGTGTAAACAGCACTTGTGGATTATGCCTGTTATTATAGCCTCTTCTAGAATTTGTCCCTAAAGCTCCAAATAGCAAATAAGACTTTCTCAAACACAGGCCGGCCCATGTTTGTAAATAAGTCTTAATAATATTAACAATGGGGGAATATGTGCTATTGACTTATCTTTTTCTAGTACCTACAGATGTATAACCTTCAAATGTAGAAGGAAAGTTGGTCAAGTGAATTAGATTATTTTTACCAGGATTTTTAAGTCCTCTGAGTTTTCACTCCAAGGCAGATGTATGATGACTGGCATTATTTTTCTCGGCAGATTTCCCTTTTTGTGTTGGGACAACAAGCCAGATTTGCTTTTAAAAATTAGGTAAAAGCTAAAGTAAATGTCAACTTTAAGAAAACATTTGGATTTGCTGATATGAAGCCCTCATACCCCTTTGGAAGAAAGTATATAAATACATAGCAACATTTTCTAAAAGCAATCTGGTAATATGTCATACATGCCATAAGGAATTTTTACCCTTTTACTATAACAACGTGTACTAAAGAAATCCCAAAATATAGGGGAAAGTTTTCTACACAAAGATGTTCATCACAATGACATCACTCATAGCAGAAATTTGGAAACATCCTAAAGTTCTAAACATCATGTAGTGATTAAGTAAATCACACAATGACCCAAAGGGATATTATTTGGTTTCTGAAAAGCATTGTTAAAGCAGTTCTTGAAATACATAAAATATACTTCATGTTACATGAAATTAGTAAAATGCAGTATCATACTGAGAATTTTTACACTATGAAAAGAGAAAAATGCACATGTATAGAGATATATGTTATATGTGATGTGTGCACAACCCAGAGAGTGCTGATCATATAGCAATTTATGTGGATGGTGCTTCCTCAGATCATACAGTGCACGACTTGCACAGCTGAATTTGTCAGCCCCGTTTCTAACCTACAGATCAAGAATCAAGAATGAGTACACCAGATATCAGTAATCTTTGGAGGATGATATATGTTTTAATTTTTTCCTAATTTTTCCAAATTTTTTATAATAAGCATGCCCACTTTCAAAAGTAGAAGCAATGAAAATAATTGTATTAAAATTTGAAGAAATGGCTGGGCCCAATGGCTCATGCCTGTAATCTCAGCACTTTGGGAAGCCGAGGCAGGTGGATCTCTTGAGGTCAGGCATTTGAGACCAGCCTGGCCAACTTGGAAAAACCCCATCTCTACTAAAAATATAAAATAGCCGGGTGTGGTGGCGCGCCTGTAATCCCAGCTACTGGGGAAGCTGAAGCAGGAAAATCGCTTGAACCCAGGAGGCGGAGGTTGCAGTGAGCCAAGATCACGCCACTGCACTCCAGCCTGGGCGACAGAGTGAAACTCTGTCACAAAAAAAAAAAAAAAAAAAAATTTTGAGGAAACAAGCAGATCTATTTGCTCTCCCATTATTAGAACTCTATCTCAAAGTATATCAATATGCATTCTATAAGTCTTATAATAATATTTTTTTATTTTAATTTAAGCAGATTAGAGGAGTTTTTTCCCTCCTTGATTTCCCTAAAGACATATGACACAGGACTGAATTTCTCTTTGGATCATAGTCAAACAAATCTTTACTGAGTGCCAGGCACAGGGTTTATATGGCTGATTTCATGTAATCTCAACATTGTACTATAGGTAGTATTACCATCACCAGTTCACACACTGGAAAGAAAAAAAAGATACTCACTGATTCGACCATTCTTTCTTGGCTTTTCCATTTTACTTCCTTCTCAATATTGGTGGGTAGGAAGCTGCAGTAAAAGAATGAGAGTGGGGAAAGGTGGGCTAAGAAATCTCACTTGTCAGGTAAGTAAATAAGACTCTTCTATGCAAGGGGGGCAAAGCAATTGTTTAGAAGAAACTTCAGCTGGAGAGAGCCTGATATTGACATTGTTGAGAGAGTTGGACCAGAAGACGGAAGAGATGACTGAAATCCCACTTCACGTCTTACGAGCTGGGAGATCTTGGACAAGTCCTTAATCCTTCCATATCTCAGTGCCCTTACAAAGTTATTTAGAAACTCAAAGGAGGGAATATAAGCACCTATGAGATCATTGTAAGTGGCAAAAGGAGGTGGTGGTGATCGCCTCTCCTCCTCTATATATCTTGGACATGCAGCAAATATCCTACTTATCTTACCAGAAGTCTAAAATTCAGGACTCAGTGGCAATTAAAGGTCTAGTATGAATATGTATGGTTAACAGCCTTCAAGAAGGCCACACAAAAACATGGAGGAGTTAAGTTCTCTGATGGAAGGAACATGAGTAGAAGGGCTGAGACCAAGAACAGTGCATTCCTTGGGGAGCACTCTTCCCGAGAAGGGCCTTGGTGGAGTACTTGTGGACTGGGAAGAAATGTGTTATATTTTCAGATTTTTAGGAAACCTGTCCAAGGAAGAACCAAGAAAGAGGGCTAAATGCAAATCAAAGTCGGGGAATGCCTTAGAATCAGGAGACATGGAGACTAGTTCATCTCTTCCCACTACTATACTGCGTGACTCTGGGCCAATTATTCTGCTGATCCAGGCCCCATTTTCCCTATCTGCAGAACAGACCAAGTCATCTGTACACTCAGTTTTAGTTTCACAGCTTTGTTTTGTCTGCCTTTCTGTAATTTGGTGTCCAATAGTGTTATAAGAAGATGAATAAAAAATGTCTGAGGCATGGTTGGGAGAGTTCCCACACTGGCTGTGGGAGCTTCCTAACCCCGGTGATGTTTCTACAAGTAATTTGCTGTATGGGAAAAGCTATGAATTCATTTTCCTCCTGTACAATATTTTGAGGATCTAATAATCTCTAGGGAATAGCAGATCCACTAACTTTAAGTGAATATTAGTCTGTGCTTTTGGGCAAGATGCAGACCATTGTTCATAGAGCGAGCTAATGCAGTAGGATGGGGAGACAGATGTTCCAGGTCCTTATACAGAGGCACCCATTAAGGGGTAATGACAAAAGAAAGTTGTCAAGATCAAGGACGGATTTGTATACAGTGGAGTAGCACTGCGCATATAGGCAGGAAGGAACCAAGGGAAGTGCTTTCAGAAAAGAAAAGGTGCAAGACTGGAAGCTTACTGAGGAAAGAAATGCTTCTTCTTTTTTTTTTTATTGTGGCTTCCCGGGACCAGAGAGTCTGCAGTGCCACAGCCACACATAGACAATATAAATACTTGTGCAGTGAATGAAGAGGGTCGAGAGGACACCTTAAGCATTGAATGGAAGCATGGCTTCTTAAAAAAGTAGAATTTTATCTTTAAATTGATAGATATGGAAACAGAAATAAGAAGGAGGAAAATAATGAGAACATCTTATATGATCAGACCAGGCAGGTAAACACGATAAGTTCCCTAAGAGCAGAAAGACTACAGGATGAGAAGTCACAGGTAGGCCCCTCATTTTCCTTTTCTTGTCAATTGTTTGGACATTTATCTCTTTACTGTTTGGAGGAGGCAGACATCTTCAGGAGAAGAAAAGATAATCAAATTCCCAAGAGATAACTGTGCTGATGCTGCCTCCATCAGAACAGATAGATCTGGACCTTTGCTGGTCTCAGTTTCATCATCCAGTCTTCACTGGTCAGCTTGAGCCCTGATATCAGAAGGATTTCAGAAAGTGAAGAATCAGAACAGAAAGTGGGCAGAGAATATTTCCAGAGGATTCTTTGTGCCATGGAAACTTTGAAGTGAGTCTACTTTTCTCTGTCTCAAAAACCAGGTAATGAATGCCTCAGTCAGCTGTCTCATGAATGATCTCACCCATATCAGTCCATAGTTTCTTAATAGATTCCAGCAAGAGGAATCTCTTCTCATTTAAGATGCTTATTTTCAACTCACTTTTATGTTTAGAATATTGTGATAAAATTTTACCATTCTTTCATTCTTGAAAAAGTAAACAAAATGTTCTTTGAAAAGAGGTTTCCTAAGAATTTTTTCTTTTATAGTATCTTTTGATAAACCCTATCATATCATACTGTTTGAAAAGACTTAAATACATCTTTTTTCTTTAAATTTAGGGGTTGTAAACCCTGAATTTAAACTCAAATTCAACTTCAAAACTCAGCACATTCTTTTTTTATCAGCACATCAATGGTATGTAAAATTCAAAATTCAGTTTTATTTTCTTTTTTGTGAATATGCTCTTTAAAAAAACAAAAAAATTTACTCAATTAAGTCCATAGTTCTGCCCTTCTAATTTCTAAATTTGGTTGCCAGTTTTAAGAGAATTTGCATACTCTTGAATAAATGCCACTGAAAGGGGAAAGTGGTTTAGTAAAACTACTTATATGCAGCTCCCCTCCTAAAGTGCCCTGTGAATAGCTTTTATTAAGCAAGATTAAAATTGCTCATTATCCCAAAATAACTTCGGTGCATGTGATGTTATAAAAAAAGCATACACCGTAATCAGTTTGACATTTTTGGAATTTCGAAAGGTAATTAGGCTCTCCTTCTTGAAAAAAAAAATCTGCTATTGTGAGCATTTCCAATGAAGCATAGTCCTTTTCATAGATCTTTAGCTCGCATTAGCTTATCTCTAAAGTGACTGATGTTAGTACATGATCAAATACAGGGGAATTTGCCTTTAAAGGACAGATTGATGATACAAGCTAGAAAGATGTTTGAGGATAGGTACTTGGGAAATTTGTTGTAGGTGCCATTCACTGGTCTATCCCAATGTGTTGGGTTTCAATGCTGGGCTTTCAAGTCCAGCATCTCTGGAATTAACTCTAGTCCATGTACCATCATGAGGAAAACTGTAATTAAATCTAGTCCACGAACTAGGATATGACCTCAGCAAAAGTACTCTGCTTCTCACATCTTGGTTTTCTCCTCTATAAAAGAAGGATGATAACTAACAGGACCATATGTCCCAGTTTGCCCTTGAGAATCTGTTTATGCTTGTTATCAGGTCTAATTATTAATAATGAGTCCTTTTAGCTTTCAAAAGTGTCCCAGTTTGCATGATAGATTATAAACTAACTCTAAAACCACCTTAGTAGGATTCTTAGGAAGATTCCCTGCATCCAATTTCTGGTACATCATTAGCATCAAACACATCCTTCAAAATAGAGTCCTCTTGTGCTGGTCTCTCAAAGTGATGGAGAGAACTAAGTAGATCTTCCATACAAAGGTCCAGCATGTGGCATATATTAAGTACTTAATAAATATTAGTTACTATTAATTTGGCATGTGTATATTTCATGATATTTTATCTACCCTGAAAATATCTGTGTATATGGAGTTCAGACCTATCTACCAAATTGGAATTTGTCAAAAAGGCTTAAAGATGGAACTATTAGTAATTTTCTAGATGACTGATCCAGAAATTCCTAGTTCCACTTTGTCCAGGACAGATACATAGACTTCTTTAACTGGAGAGAGCCTGTGTTCATAGCCTGAAAAAAATCTTCAAAGGTACTTTGGATCTACAAAAAGTAAAGAAACACTGATCTTCTCAGCGTCTCTTTAAGGAACCCAACAGGTGAGGTGTCTGGGCCTGATTCACAGGATCAGTCACGGGAAGACAAAGAGAAAAGCCCAGTTCTTTGAATTTTAACCTAGGTGTTCTTCTCACTATATATCATTAAGAGAAATAATTTTATGTATCTTTAAATAACAAAAAGGAAAGATTGCACTTTGGAAATACAACATTCAGGCCGGGCGCAGCGGCTCATGCCTGCAATCCCAGCACTTTGGACAGTCGAGACAGCAGGATCACTTGAGCCCAGACGTTTGAAACCAGCCTGGGCAACATAGTGAAACTTTGTCTCTACTAACAATAAACAAATAATGCTACATTCAGACTTCTGGTTTCCAGTCGAGCATGTAAGAAGCCTTCACGTTTTTTTGGGTTTTACCTCCAGGAGCCTGACTAGATTCTCACAGTGACTATCAGAGAAAAACTTCCTCCTGCTTCTGGCATAGGGCAGAGAAAAGGAACCACTGAAATGTTTCAGAGCATTCTGTTCTTCTTAACAAGGCCTGCCTTTAAGAGAAACTTTTTTAACAGAGCCTAAAGGATTAGGGTTTTCTCAGAGCCTAACAGACCTGCGAAAGGGAAGTACCTAACTCCAGCCCACTCTAGCAATCCTATTCCACATCAAGGGAAGGAGAGGAAACAGAGGCACTCATGAAGTTCCCGGTTCAGAGGCAAAGGCTCACTCAAAGACTAAGACATACTCATGGGGCTATCTAGCATCCTTCCCCACCCACACACCTCACCACCACATGATTAGCGGCCTATCGACAGCACTTCCTTTTACCCAACACTATGTTTATCAAGAGAAAACTAGAAGGGAGACTAAAAGGCAAAAAACAGCTTGAAGAGACTGAGCAAGCTTAAGAACCAGACTCAGATATGGCAGAGATGCTGGAATTATCAGACTAGAAATTTAACAGAGCTATGATTAATATCCTAAGCGCTCTAAAAGATAAAGCAGATCTCATGCAAAAATAGATGGGCATCATAAATGGAGAGATGCAAATTCTAAGAAAAAAATCAAAAGGCAATGCTAGAGATCAAAAACCCTGTAAGAGAAATAAGGAGTATCTTTAATGGATTTATTATTGGACTTAACATGGCTAAGGAAAGAATCTTGGGAGGTAAATATATGACAAGAGAAACTTCCAAAACCCAGTAGGAAAGAGAAAAAAGAATGAAAAAATGGAAATTACCCAGTAACAGAAATGAAGAATGCTTTTGTTGGGCTCATCAGTAGACTAGACACAGCTGAGAAAAGAAAATCTGAAACTGACATTAGGTCAATAGAGAAAATTCCAAACAGAAAAGCAAATAGAAAAATTACTGAAAAAAAGCAATACAATGTCCAAGAACTTTGGGACAACAGAAAAAAGGTATAATTACACATAATGGTACTACCAGAAGGTGAAGAAAGAGAGAAAGGAACAAAAATATCTGAAGAAATATTTAAATCATTTAATTTCACACACCAAACCACACATTCAGGAAGCTCAGAGAATACACACACACACACATACACACACACACACACACACACACACATATATATATGTATATGGTGGCTCATGCAGCCAAGGTGGAAGATTGCTTGAACCCAAGAGTTCAAGGCTAGCCTGGGCAATATAGTGAGACCCCCATCTCTAAACAACATTTAAAAAATTAACCAAGGGTGGTGGCATGCAGCTGTAGTCCCAGCTACTTGGAAGGCTGAGGTGGGAGGATCCCTTGAGCTCAGGAGGTCGAGGCTGCATTGAGCTGTGATTACTGTACTCCAGCCTAGGTGACAGAGTAAGACCCTGTTTCAACACATAAAGATAAACAAAAACAAAAACTACACCTAGACATATCATTGTCAAACTGAAAAAGAGAAAAGAAAATTAAAAATCTGGAGAATAGCCCAAGTGGGGGATAAAACCTTACCTACAGACAAACAAATATAAGAATTACATCTAATGTCTCCTCAGAAACTATGCAAATAAAAACAGAACGCTGTGAAATATTTAAAATGTTGTAAGAAAAAAAAACCTACCTAGATTTCTGTCCCCTGCTATAGTAATCAAGTATGGTATTGGTGAAAGAACAGATAGATCAGTGGAACAGAAGAGAGGGTACAGAAATACATCCATATAAATGTAGCCACCTGATCTTTGACAAAGGAGTAAATGTAATACAATGGGGAAAAGGCAGTGTTTTCAACAAAAGGTACTGGAACATCTGGACATTTACATTAAAAAATTAGTCTTATACCATTTACAAAAAATTAACTCAACATAGATCATAGATCTAAACGTGAAATGCAAAACTATAAAACTTACAGAAAATAACATAGGAAGAAATCTAGGTGACCTTGGGAACAATGACTTTTCGTCTCCAACACCAAAGGCACAATCCATTAAAGAAATAACTCATAAGCTAGACTTTATTAAGATTAAAAACTTCTGCTTTGCAAAATACACTGTCAAGAGAATGTGAAGATGAGCACAGAATGGGAAAAATACTTGCAAAAAACATCTGAAAAAGAATTGTAACTCAAAATATACAAAGAGCTCATAAACTAAGCAATAAAGAAAACGAATGACCTGATTTAAAATGGGCAAAAGATCTGAACAGACACATTACCAAAGAAGATTATAAGTGGTAAATAAGCATATGAAAAAATTCTCAACATCATATGTCATTATGGAATTATTAAAACAGTGAGATACCACTACACACCCATTCAATGGCCAAAATCCAAAACATTGATAACACCAAATGCTGCAGAAGATGTGGAGCAACAGGAACTCTTGTTCATTACTGGTGAGTATGAAAAATGATACATCCACTTTGGAAGACAGTTTAGCAGTTTCTTACAAAACTAAACATACTCTTACCATATGATCCAGCAATCGCTCTCCTTGGTCTTTATCCAAATGAGTTGAAAACTTATGTCCACACAAAAACCTGCACACAAATATGTATAACAGCTTTATTCATAATTGCCAAAACATGGAAGCAACCAAGTTATTCTTCAGCAGGTGAATGGATAAATAAACGGTGGCACATACCTACAAATGGGATATTATTCTACAATAAAAACAAATTGAGCTATCAAGCCATCAAAATACATAGAGGAAACTTAAATACATGTTGCTAAGCGAGAGAAGCCAATCTGAAACAGCTACATACTGTGTAATTCCAACAATATGACATTCTGGGAAAGGCAAAATGATGGAGACGGTAAAAGAATCAGTGGTTTCCAGGGGTTAGTGGGGAGGGAGAGATGAATAGGCAAAGCAGAGAAACTATTTAGGGCAGTGATACTATTTGGTAGGACACTACAATAGTAGCTATACGTCATTATGCAATTGTTAAAACCCATAGAATGTACAACACTAAGCAAGAATCCTAATGTAAACTATGGACTTTGGGGTAATAATGAAATATCAGTGTAGGTTAATGCATTGTAACAAATATACTACTCTGTATCAAGATTTTGATAGTGGAGGAAGTTGTTTCTACATCAGAGAAGGGGATATATGGGAAATCTCTGTACCTTCTGATCAATTTTGCTGTGAACCTAAAACTGCTCTAAAAAAATAGTTTGCTTAAAAATAACACCACATTCATTTTAGAATTCTTGTTCTCCACCAAAATTGCTTGTCAGTTTAGTTCAGATGTTAAGGATACTCCAGACAGGGACTTTGAGTGTTAACTGACTTCTTTGGAATCACTGGCAAGATCTTCCAGAATCTGACAATAAATGAACTTTTTTACTTCTTTCTCAGTGCTATGTCCAAAAAAAAAAGACTTTCTGTGTTTCCAAGAGTACGTTAATGCTATCTAAGTGAGAGCCATCTAAACCAGAAATGTCTTTTAGTGGGTTAATATATAAAATAATCAAATCTGTGAAGGAGGTGTGATCATTTCCCTGCTATGAAGAACTTTTTTAAAAATATATTACCTCTATCAATCTGTGTTCTGGCAGGAAATAGATAGAAAACTAAATAGCATATTTGAGGAGAGTTCATTAAGAAGGCTATCTACAGCTGGAGGTGATGGCGCAGTTTTCAGAAACTAACCAGGCTGGTGCTGTGCCCTGGGAGCTGGTGTTACTCTGCTAGGAATGGCTCCAGGAAGTGGTGTGGAGGAGCTCTGTGGGGAAGACAACGTAGCCACCTGTACCACCCGTAGCCACCCGTACAGGGATGTGGTAACCTCTCCACATCCTGGCCAAGAGGCTGCTCCAATAATCAAAATGCTGACCTCACTGTTCTCCTGCCAGTGTCTTCTATTGGCTAAACCCAACCAGAAACCATAGGCAAGAGTCAGGGTTTGGACACATAGTGGGGTGCATCTGCGAAGAAAAACAAAGATTATCCAGGAATTTTACCAATTTGTCTTACTCTCTTTTCACTACTCTGCTTTTTATTTTTATGGGAAAATTAGCAAAGTCATGAGGCACCCATTGTCTCAAAGGACAGTGGTACTATAAGAATCCAGGGATTAAAATGTAAGCTTTTTTACTTTGGGTTTTCCTATGTTAAGATCTCCAGATAAGAAACACTAATCAGTTGGGAAGCCAGCTTTTCCCTTATACCCAAGACTAGATAAAAATTTCTAGAATGAAGCTAGAGAGAATATAGAATCCTTAAATTAGGTTTGGAGTTTTAATTGAGGAAACATTCTGCTCCCTGTTTTCTGAATAGGCAAAACCCTGAGCTCCTTGCACCCAGCATAGTGAGAACAATGCATATGTGGCTGCCAATGCAGAGGATTCTGATGGGCTCCAGAGTTGCAATGGGAATGTCAACATTTCTCCCAGATTGAAAGTCGCGCAGAGAGCTGATACATCTAGAGGGTCCTCGTGGTTGGGAAGATTCTGTGTGGACCTGCCTGGAGCAGCATCCTCAGACAAGGCAGGAATGAAGCATCTCAGTTGATGTCACCGTGGAGGGAGGACAGCCATCTCCTCTCCCTTCAGGCCCTCAAACCCCTAATCTCTTACTCTCCCATGGAGACATCATGCTGTGGAGAGATGGGAGGCCACAGTTGAATTGCATGATGGTCAGTTCCTGTCCCTAGTGGAAGAGGGACTTGAAATGGAAATCAAGCTCATTGCAGAAAAGCAGTCACCTTCTTTCAATAACTCAGTTTGTAGTCTAAGATTCTTAACTGATACAGTCATTTGTATGAATCAGGAAACTGAGGAGTTAAGTAATTTTCCCCTGTTGGAGGAAACTAACTTTTCCCAAGTGTCTTCCATGAAAAGAATGCTGTTTGGTGATTTTGTGAGCTGTTTGTATGAAGTAGGGGTGCAGTACTCTTGAGGTAGGGCTATTAGGCGAGTGTTAGGTGAGAAAGCTAAACTGTGGCTACGTGATGGAAGGTATTGGTATGTTAAAGTACCATTGGGTGTATTCATATGCTATGTCTGCTGTAACAGATTACCACAAACCTAGTGGCTTAAAACAATACAAATCTATTATTCCACAGCTCTGAAATTCAGATGTCTAAAACGGTCTTCACTGAGCCAAAACTAAGGCTTTAATTTTGTTCACAGGGCTTTGCTCCTTTCAAAAACTCTCAGGGAAAATCTGTGTCCTTGCCTTTTCCAGATTCTAAACCGGCATTTTTTGCATTCCTTGATTTGTGGCCACTTCCTTTATCTTCAAAGTCTGCAATGTGGCATCTTCAGATTTCTCTCCACTGCCATGACCACGTTGTCTTTTCCTCAAACTCTGACTTCTCCTGATCCCCTTTAGTGCAGACCCTGTGATTACAATAGTTTACCCAGATAATCCTGGATAATCTCCCCATTTCAAAATCCTTCACTTGATCACATCTGCAGCATTCCTTCTATCATATCAGGAAACAGTCACTGGCTCCAGGGATTACAGCTTGAACATCTTTGGGACTATTATTCAGCTTACAATGTGGGTGAATACAATACTGAGAGATGTACAAACCTAGGTATGTATCTTGGATTAGCCAGTCAACTTGGGAAGGTTACTTAGCTTCTGTGAGCCTCATAGGGTACGTGGGGGTGGATTAAAGAACATCATGAAATGATATTTCTACTCAACATGGCAGTGTGCCAGTAGCCCTTAATTTAGACTCTGTGAGGATCACAGCAAACTTTTTGCCAAAATGTGAGTGAGGCTCAGAACAGCAGTGTGGAACTTGTCCTACCACCTGAAATGCAGCAATTCCGTTGGCCTAAAACAGGTAAGAGACTCTCCTTCTTAGCTCTCTGATCCATACAGGCCCAGAGTTCATCTGTTCCAAATAGAAAACTGGGGATGTTTCTACATTTAGAAATTTCAATCCTTCCTCCTAAAGAAAATGATGGGAAGTAGGACTCTGTGGATGAATTGGAGCTGCACCCAAATAAAATCATGTAGAGGACACAGAAAAAGTAGGGGAACGACAGGAACAGACTGCTAAGAAGGTTAATCCTGTAGCAGCCAGAAGGAGATGGAGAGCAGTGGTGAAGTCGGAGAGACTAGATGAAGTCAAGTGGTAAACTACTGGAATCAGACAGGGTTCTCCAGAGAAAATACACATATACAGGCACACACAGGCACACACAGGCACCCACCCACATATATAATAAGAGATTACACATATAAAGACATTTATTTCAAGGAATTGGCTTACACAATTGTAGGGTATGGCAAGCCTGAAATTTGTAGGGGAGCTGGCAGGCTCGAAACTTTCGGGCTGGAGCTGAGGCTGCAGTCTTGAGGCAGAATTTCTTCTTCTTCAAGGAAACCTCAGTTTGGCTCCTAAGGACTTTGAACTGATAGTTGGATGGTGAATAGTTGAATAGATGGATGAGCCCCACCCAGATGACTGAAGATAATCTCCTTTCCTTAAAGTCAGCTGATTGAAGATGTTGACCGCATCTACAAAATACCTTCAGAGCAACGCCTAGATTCACATTTAACAAAATAATTGGGTAATATAGCCTGCCAAGTTGATGCATACAATCCACCATCATACTATTGTGATTTTGCTCAGAAAAGCAGTAATGCAGATTTCAAATAAGATAGTGAGAACTCTAATGGAAGTGAGAAGGTGGTGTATGACAGAGACCTGGCAGGATTGGACCAGAGGCCTCACTGCTAGACGTGAGGAAGTAGCAGGCTGTGAGATTGCATGGCTCCGGGCCTGTGGGCAGCACGCACAAATAGGGACGTAGCAGGGAGAAAGGGTTTGAAAGACCGTGAGTTGCGTTTGTGAAAAATTGAATGGAGACACCAGCAGGAGCCCAGATGTAGCCGAGTAACTATAAAGCCAGGAAAGGACTGGGGATTCCAGGTTTGGAATCCTCCACCTGGAGGTGTTGGCTGAAGCTCCAGGAAATCGAGAGGAGGAAAGCTTGGGGAATTCTCCCATTGAAGGGGAGGGTCAGGACAGGCAGTAAAAGCATATAATTCAGAGCACAATGATTGATGAGCAATGTCCAGTCTCTCGTGTTCCCCTTCACTCCCTGACACTCATGTGTTTTCCGTAATTAACTTTTGCCAAAATATATATGGACATATATGCTCACACTAATACAGCCCTCACCAGTAGATCTGCATAAATTGCTTCAAATTTCAAAGCTGGATTTTTTCAGCTCCTTTTTAAAAAATATATAGAGACTGGACCAGAACAATGTGGATTCTTAGGACTATAAATCTGATAATTGAAAATCTCTGGTTCTGAGACAATAAAACTGAAACCCAGAAGGCTAAATCTCTTGTATAAGTTTATGAAGCTGGTCAGTCACAATGGATACTAAAACCAAAGTCTGACCCTCAGCCCTGACACTTTTTCTCTGCCCTGAAGTTGCTTTCCCACTGCACCACAAATTGCTGATTGTAGACACAGCCAAAAACCTCCAGCACACTGTATTATCATTCAGAAAATTAGATGCTAATGATCTCAAGAATCTCATTCAACAGGCGATACTTTTTTTTTTTAAGTAACAGTCTATGTGAGTATTATAATTAGCTAATGAGTCTGAGCCTGTAATTCCCCTGTCAGGCCTTCAGGCTGAACTGTTTGTGTTTTCAAGTCTTATCACACAGACTTGTTCTGCAGGAATTGTATGTTTTATGGAGTAATGAGTTTTCACTTTTATGTAAGGAAAGCAGGTGGATTTCCACCTCTCTCAGCAGCCCAGAAATAGATGCACACTGCCAGGTGGGGAGAGACAGTGCATAGGATGGAGACCTCTAAGGCACCCCCATCAATGTCCACATCCCCCTGGTCTATTGCCTAATATTCTTCAATTCCATTCCATACACTTCTCTCGTTTTCATGGCTTTATCCTTCCTATAGGCCAAGATCATCTCTCCTTACGTTGCAAAATGACCATGGCCAATGTGACCGGCATTTCATCTTCACTTTAACAACAGTAGCCAGTGTTAAATGTTACTTGAGTCCTGTGCTCCCAGAGAACAGAGATGGTTAAGAAATCCCCTCAGACTTTTGTTTCCCAAAATCCACCCACTGTCTTGTGTTCTAGGAAATCTTGAAGGACCACCTTAGCCAACATATTTCAGAGTAAGCCTGGTCTTCATCCTCCTTCAAGGCTCCCAAAGTGGATGACTCCCTGTATCCTTGCCTTTATAAAATCCTAGGTCCTCTTCCTTTTGTTGAGAAGTCTTTCCTTAGTGAACATTCTCTATATTGCAATAGCCCAAATAAAATAATCTCCCTAATTGTCCAGTGCATTTTTTCTTTCACAGTGGCTACAGGTAAAGAAAAGCATAATCTCACTCAAAGATACGTAACTGAAAGCAAGTCTCATCCTGAATGCTGCCTCACACACGAACATGTGTTAGCAAACAGGAACAGCCAGTCCACCTGCCTGTGGGGTTGGTGGAGCCACCGGCCTCTGTCCCCAGGGTCACCTAAATTTGCCCTGATGAAACAGTTTCCAGAGACAAATCTGACAGAATTCTAGTGGCAGAACCTTGTCCTATCAGATGAGAGAAAATCCGTAAGGAATGGTAGGAACACGGGTTCACATCAGAGGGACCCTTCGCTCAAGAGTTGCAAGGCTGATATTGCTGAGGTTTGCACCTCTCAAGAAAGCAGACATTTCTAATCAGCCCATCTATTTGGAATACAACTCAATTCAAGAATGAAAATGTATTTCCAACATTCCCCTATGTGAATTACTAACTCCTCCAGGGCAGATCAGATAGTCATAGTGGAAGAGTTTGCAGGAGCTGGTTGGTGTCTCTCAAATGTTAACTAATAGCCTCACCCTGCCACCATAAGTGTGAGTGTGCATTCCTGGTTAGGGTATTCCAACCATCAGGCTAACCACACTCATAGATTAACAGACACATATAGCTCATGCAAAAGGTCAGAACATAAGTATTTTCAAGTAATTACAGACAGCATAACAACCTACAGAAACGTTCTGAGATCTTACTTCCAGGATTGTACAGCTTGAAGTCATTCTCCTCACTGTAGCCAGTTATTTTTCTTTTTTCCTTTTTATTAATTGACAAATAAAAATTGTATATATTTGTAGTGTACATGATGTTTTGATACATATCAACACTGTGGAATGCTATAATAAATCTAGCTAATGAGCGTTACCTCACATACTTATGACTTTTTGTTGATGAGAACACTTAAAATCTGCTTTCTTAGCAATTTTCAAACGTACAATATATTGTTTATTGACCCCTGTCACCATGATGTTCCATGGATGATCTCCTGAGCTTATTCCTCCTGTCTAACTGAAATTTTTGTAATTTTTCTAAATCATACACCTGATTAGTCATTCACTCACTTGGAATCTTTCAGGGATTCTTGATTAATCTGATGATGTATTCCAGACTGCATAAATGCCCATGAGGTCCTGCATAGCTACTCCCTATTTATCTTTCCAAGCTTACCTCTGACCACCTACCATTTCTGGGTCTCTCTTCACATTGTCATAGCTCCCCAGTCCTCCAAACTCCACCAGTCCCCCATCCACCCACCCATGCCCTGCTGGCATGTTGCTGCTTGCCTTCAGATCCTCCTGCTGAGCTCCATAAGGCAGCAGGTTTCTGGCCCCATGGCCCCCAACAGCTGTGGTTTCCCAGAGAGCTTCCCACTGGATTTGGCCAGGGAGGATCTGCTGAGAGTTGAGAGAGAATGGGGCAGGGAGATGCTGAGGGCCGTATCCTTCTGTTCCTGCTTTGGAGGCCAGGTCTGGCAGAAGATGCATGCCCCTTCTCTAGCTCCTACGGGATGGGCCCATGAAGGCTCCAGGATCTTCCCAAGGACTCTGGCCTTGACCTCTAGTCACTGTGCTTTTTCCCTTTTAGGTGGCTTCCTGCTGCTACTGATCTCATCCTCCCTGGGTGGCTTCTCATCCTCTCCCACCTCCTAGGAAACTAATTCCCCACATTAAGTTTCCTATTCAGATACATACAAATGAACAAATATTTTCCGTGTTCCTTATTGGCTTTGAGCAAGTGCCGGATGTTATGATTTGGTTCTTTGAACAGCATAGCAAAATGTCTTCCATGCAAGACTTGGGTGTAAATAAGACATAGCTCATGGGGCTCCAACAATGTGATTATCCCCATCTATAGGTTACCTCTTTGTTACGGTCTGAGCATTTGTGTCCCTCCAAATTCATATGTTGAAACCTAATACTTATTGTGAGGGGATTTAGCGATGGGGACTTTGGGGGCTGATTAGGTCATGAGGGAGGAGTCCTCATGAATGGGTTTAGTGCTGTATAAAAGAGTCCCAGCAAGATCTTTCAATCCTTCTACCATGTGAGGACACAGAGAAGTTGCTCTATGAACCAGGAAGGGAGACTTCACTGGATACTGAATCTGCTTGTGCCTTGATCTTGGACTTTCCAGCCTCCAGAACCACGAAAAATGAACTTCTGTTATTTAGAAGCTCTTTAGTTTATGGTATTTTGTTATAGCCGCCCCAACAGACCAAGACATCCTTCCATGGGCCTAGCCATGCTGAACATCCTTTAGTTACTCAAACATGCACCAGTTTCTATGGTCATCTGCTTCTTTCCATCTCTACTGCTACAGCCCTGGCCCAAGCCACCATCATTTCTCTTTGTATTTACCTTACTAGTCTCCTCAATGACCTCCCACCCTGTGCTGTCCCTGCTCCCCACACATTATTCAAAATGGTAATTTAAATATAAATCACTCTCTTGCTGCAATCCCTTTGATAAATTCACTCTGAACTCAGAACAAGATCCAAACTGCATAACCTGGTCCAGTGTTTGGGCTCTGCTCAGACTGTGACCTCACTTTCTATTGTGATCCTTAGGGCTCCGTGGGTCCTGTGGCTGCCTGTAAAGCCCCTCTCCCCACAACTGTTGATGGATAGCTCCTTCATGCAACTGAAGTCTCAGCTCAATGTCACCTCCTCTAAGAATTCTTCTCTGATGCCCCAATGAGAGCAGCTTCCTTCCGGGTACCCAGAATCCAGGTTTCACAGCACTTGCCATCATCAGGCAAAAGGGTTTTTGTAGACACTAAAATGTGACCTCCAAACATATCTCAGCTACCTAATCCATCTCTATATATCTAGCTGGCAGACCCATCCCTGGCTCATAGTTGGGACTCCACAGATACGTGTTGAACAAATGAGTGAATGGAGTGCCACACAATGTGAAAAACGCTTTACAGAGATGAACTCATCATCTTCTTTACAGTAACCCAGTGAAGTAGGTGTTCTCTTTGATCATTTTCAAGAGAGTAAATGGATGGCCCCTGCCATGGGCCTAGTGAGGGGTGAACCCAAGCAGTCTAGTCGCAGAGTCAATGTATGACCTGAAGGTACATCACCTTGCTTTTCATCACAATACAGTGTCTTGGACAATATTTCAAATGATGATGAGTAATAAAAGTATGTATTAGAAGTTAACATGTTCTACTAGCACAACTAACCCAACCAAGATTACAATCAGTTGATGAGACCGTGCGTCTCTCCGGACAGTTTTGAACATGACCTCACAGTGCTACTGTGTTCCTACCCTCTCCTTCCTCTGGAGGGTAGGAAGCTTCATTTTACAGTCTTTGTATGGGGCACTCTAAGTTTAGAAAAGTAAAAATGTGAAGAAAAAACATTTTAGAGGTAAGGAAATATAGGCTTTGACAAAAATACTTGGTAAAATATAAAGTGGAAAAAAATATAAAGAATCCAAAACATTACTTAAAATAACAATTCAGGGCTGGGCATGGTGGCTCACGCCTGTAATCCCAGCACTTTGGGAGGCCGAGGCGGGCAGATCACCTGAGGTCAGGAGTTTGAGACCAGCCTGGCCAACATGGTGAAACCCCATCTCTACTAAAAATACAAAAATTAGCTGGGTGTGGTGGCAGGCGCCTGTAATCCCAGCTACTCGGCAGGCTGAGGCAGGAGAATTGCTTGAATCCAAGGGAAGAGGTTGCAGTGAGCTGAGATTTTGCCACTGCACTCCAGCCTGGGTGATAGGGCGAGACTCTGTCTCAAAAAATAAATAAATAAATAAATAAAATAAAAAATAAAAATAACAATTCGGGTAAGATAATACATTTCAATTATTATTATATGATATCACATTATTGTCAACCTACGTATTCTCACTTTATTGAAAGGGTAAGACATGAGGCAGTAATATCTGAAATAAGACACTTACTGTCTTAGCCCCTGACCATCTTATGGCAATTCATAGTTACACATTTTCTGTAAAATCACAATTCTTCAGTCACATTACTAAAAAAATTTAACTGATCCTCATTTTCCTAATTCCCCTCTACTTTATCTCCACCACTAACTAATTGTAATACCTGTCTCCTTTTCTCAAACTTGCTTTGAATTAGATACATTGCCAATCATCCATAAATGACAAGAAGAGTTCAAGAATTGAAGTAAAGCTATATAGGGAAGAAAATAATATCTTCTCCTTTAAAAGCATCATATAGGTTTTTGGAAATGGCCCCAAAGATATTTCATAACATAGATTACTGTCAACAATCACCACAGAAGGAATCTTAATTTTTTTCATCTTTAATCTTTTTTTTTTTTTTTGAGATGGAGTCTTGCTCTGTCTCTCAGGCTGGAGTACAGTGGCAGGATCTCAACTCACTGCAACCTCCACCTCTCAGATTCAAGAGATTCTCCTCCCTCAGCCTCCTGAGTAGCTGAGATTACAGGCATCTGTCACCAGGCCCAGCCAATTTATGTATTTTTTAGTAGAGATGGGGTTTTGCCATGTTAGCCAGACTGGTATTGAACTCCTGACATCAGGAGATCCGCCCGCCTCAGCCTTCCAAAGTGCTGGGATTACAGGCATCAGCCACCGTGCCCGGCTCCATCTTTAATCTTTATGGGAATACTTTTTCTCACTATTTCTGCACACACACCTATTGCCCAGTGAAAATTGCTCACAACGAACTCTCAGAAGACACAAGAATCTAGAAATACAGTCTCTGCAAAATAATTGCCGCTCACCCAGACAATAATAAAAGGTACCAATCAAATATTTAATTTGCATAAGAATCATCATAGTGGAAAATAGGTAGGTTTCTCTGTCACTGCTTTTCTCTGTTGAAAACATTGTAAATTAATGTTTCTGTTGGCATGTGCCTTAATATTTAAAACTCTTAACACAAATTGTAAGCACAGAAACTAAGTATAGTTTATGTGCTCAGGCCACTGTGATGCTCCAAGATTGTTGGTTTAAGTCCATTTTCTGTGCTGTGTAATGGAAAACACCACAAGCAGGCTCAACTTCAACAAACCTGTCCACTGGCCACAGTTAAATAGGTGACATTGACCTTACTCCCTTGGGCATGCCCTACCCAAGATACCTGTCTTACTTTCTCACATGGTTATTGTCTTTCCACTGCCACTGACTTTTCCAGAAAGCAAGTTGCCAACTTCTTTTATTAGGATATAATGGTTTTAAAAAATTTAATTTTAATATTTCCTATAAGACAGATTCACTAATAATCCCCCCCCCCATAATTACCTGTGACCTCAAAAGCTCCCCTAGGTATGGGATGTCACCATTAGGCTCTTCTTTTGCTAGCAGGGATAGAAATGGAGGTGAAAAGTGCAGCAGGAAGACATTCAGGAAGCTTCTAGGCTCCACTCTATGCAAATTTGAAAGCAAAAAGTTTAACAGTCAGTTCCTTGAGCAAACAATTAATTTATCTTCCCTTCATCATTCTTAGATTGTCAGCATTTACCTGATTTAAACTTATCTTCTCTGCTTCAGCAAGCCAGTGAGTCATATTTATAGGGATAAAGTTACAAAGATGCATAGATACTAGTTGTGTGTATGTGCGTGTGTGTGCGGTGAGGCGTATACAAGGGCTTCATTGTCTAAAAGTATGTTTTAGAAAAACACACAATAAAACAGTGTGCTGTGTCTAGAATGAGTAATTCACATCCTTAAACAAAACAAAACATACACATTTGTCAACACCGCTGAGTGGGAGACACTGAAGTGAACACAAAACAAATCAGTTTCTGTGAAGAACACAGGTTAATGCCTGTAAAGATCAAGTGACTGATTTAGGAGGAAGAAAAGGTAGTTGATTTTTATCACACTTCTGGTAAAATAAAAAATCCAAAGCTAACAAAAGAGAGCCACAATCCTATGATAATTAGTGCATCCGAGAGATGATGTCAAATGGTTTGCTGATACTGAATAAGACCCATCTCCCAAGAACAACACCACTGGGTCTATTCTCCAGTGAGAGAGGTTGGAGGTCAACTTCAGGTATTTCAAGAAAAAATGTGGCACCTCATCATTAAAGTCTCTGTCTTCAAATGGCTTTTATACTCTCAAAACCATTTACAATATAAATTCTGTAAACAATTTTCTCCAAAATCATGGGTCAATTGAAATTTTTTAAAGTACAGTTTGCATGTCAATAGTTACATATAAATGAAAGACAACAATGGGCAGATGAAATTTTTCTAAATTCAATTTTTGGTTTTTAAAGCTAGAAACACCACTTGTAGAGAAGAGAATGGCATCCCCTATGATAGAACCACTCAAGTAAAATGTGAGGGGTGGAGATAAAGTTCCCTTGGGACTACATTTTCCAAGTTATATTTGATCTTCTGTAAACAACAACAACAGCAACAAGAAAATGGTACTTTTTACAACCATTCTCTCATTTAATTCTTGCCTACCCCCTTGAGGCAGTTATTTGTTATTCTTACTTTACAGATGAGGAAACTGATCATTAAACAACATCTGCATTTTCCCAAAATCACATTGCTAATAAAATCCTTGTGGTTTTGCAGTTACACCACCTGTATATTTACTTATATTCTGCCAAAATGACCTACTGACATTCCTTGCCATACACTTCTATATTTTTGTACTCCACTTTATTCCACAAAGTTGAGGAAGATAATTGAAAATCTTGGAGGAAAGAAATTCCTGTAACATATTCCATTTTTCCTCTATTCAGTGCTTTCTGGAAACATCTATTCAACAGAGTGGGGGATTGTTGTAGAAATATGGAATTCACGGTGACTCAATTTGTTCTCGTCTTTTGCTATTCCCAAATAGGATTTCAGATAAAGAGCAACTATTCAAGGCTAACAAAAGGGAAGAGCTGGCCAAGCTGATTTCTTAATTCTACATAATGACAAAGCAGTGGTAGAACGTGTTAATTAAGTCAAAAGTATTAATAAAATCTGTCTTCCACAGACTTTTCTTAAAGAATGCGTCTACCCTTGAGCCACCCACTGTCCTGAGCAGACTTTTGCATTTACTCTCTGAACATTCCTTCAAGAAATGCAGTCTGCCTAGAGATTCTGAAGTTGTCTTTATACCTACAGAAAGCTCTGCATCACTTAAGACCAAGAGAACAACTTGAACTCCACCCACCAGACTGCTGAAGTTACTCTATGCTGACCTGGCAAAAACAAGGTAAAAGGCAGAGCCCTTGCAGCCTACTTAAACAATTTCTGTATAAGTGACAGGTGAGTGTATGTGTGTGTGTGTATGTGCAATTCTAGGCCCCATTTTTTTCTATCACTCTGCTCCTATTGTAGTTACTTATTTATTTTTAATTTACCTATTGAATTTTAAAATCAGTCTTCCACTAAGTTATTAACACCAAAAGGTAGAAATTATTTCATGTTTATCTCTGCATCTTCAGGCTTAATATGAGACCAGCATTCAATAAATGTTTGTTGGAAGGAAAAAGAGAGCTAGAAAGAAGGTAAAGAAAAGAAATTGTTAGGAAATACACATTAACGGCAGAAGGTGACAAAGTCTGTGATAAAGAACTGTTTGAAAATTACAATATAGAAATTTCTACAGTTATTTTTTGATGCATGGTATAAATATTGCATCACTGCATGCTTCAGTAGTATTGGGTATGAGATAGAGTTTATTGATTTATTTATTCCAGATAGAAAGGTCCACACTGTCCCAGGCACCGTTGCAAGCACTGGGGACAGAATGAGGGAGCAAAACAGCTAGGTCCCTGCTATAACTGGAACTTACAATTTATTGAAAGGACATGATCAATAAGGAAACATACCAATAGACAATGGTGATGAGTGTGCCAAGGAGAATGCAAAGGCAATGAGACAAAGGGCGGCTGTAGTTAATGGTGGTTGTAGGGAGGTGAAGGGGTGGGGGCTACTGTAGATAGGGTCACCAGGAACACCTCGGAAGTCAGTTTCTTTGGAACAGAGTGATAAGCAGAGAACATGCAATCCCAGAGCTATTTGGGAGAGGAGGTCTATGGGAAAAAAATAAAGGCTCTGAGGTGCAGAGTTGAGGGCTCCAGAGTAGGGCAAGAGTACCTGGGGCAATGTGGGTGAAAAAGAAGATTAATTAGAGATAGGGTCAGGTCATAAGGGTCATGGAGGCTGCGGTAAAAAATTTGGAGGTTCATATTCACCTTAATATTCTTTCTCATAGAATTATTATTTCTCTGATCTTATGAGAAATTTTCCTTTCACATTCACAACATTCATTTCCATGTTTCTCTTACTCTAACTCTTGGAGATGTCTCTGGAAGAGTCCTTTTGTTGAGATTCTTGATGGACACACCAAATACTCCAGTGGGTGTTATCCGTGCCCCCACAATTGGAGTATTCCATCTTTGAGTGTCACCCAGTAACTCCAAGCATCTTGACATGTCTGCAGCTACGCACGAATGCCACTGCTGCTCCTAAAGGATAAATTAATATGCAGTCACACACTTCACTGGAGAGTATTTCATGGAAATTTTTGCTGAAATAAATAAATATTAAATGCATGAAGGACTGATGGAAATTACTGTAAGGCAAGTACCTAGCTCCCCTAGTAGCAATAGGAAAAAGTTATACTTGAAAGTTGAGACTTCCCAATTTATTTGGAAAAGGATTTTCTATGGGATGTTGAAATAGCAACAGAACCACTTGGAGAAACTGCAAAGAGAATGACATATTTTAAGAATAAAGTTTATTTGATAAAAAAACATTTTGAAATGCCCATTTCAAGTATCTGGCTGAAAAACTCTTGAGACAGCGAATTATGCAGGAATGCTTTTAGCCACTGTCCGTTCAGCCAGACTCCTCTGAGCTGCTTTCTCCAGGAGAGCCTCTTTGTTGGCTGCTGTGACCTGCTCATTACATGGACTCTATTTGGAAGCTTGGCTGGGGTAGTCATCACGAATAATAATGACAAGGAGCACAACGGCCAGTTGGAAAAGTCAGGAAGGAGATGGAAATGGAAAATGGGAAGGTACAAATGGTCAGGCTTCTTCCACCACTGGACCCCAGGAGGTAGCGTGGCAGATGTGTGAAGGCCACATTCAAAAAACTAGAGAGCGGATGAGGCTCTCATGATAGCTGTCTTGTTTTTTAAAAAAAATCTTGAGTTTTATATCTTATTACATAGTTAATAGACATGCATGCATTATGGAACATAGGTGTTTTTGTTTTGTTTTGTTTTGCCATTGCTGTTTTACAGAATTAGGATCACTCTTTATACAGAACTCTACTTTATCACCTAATAATTTAATATAATAATTTACTCTATGTAATTAAATATTGACCTATATTATCTTGGTGGTTTTATGGAATTGTAGACATTTATCCAATTGGTTTTTGCTAAATAATTAGATTTCTTTTCAAATTTTGCTATTATGCATTATACTGCGTTAAGAATCTTTGCACACATGTCTGATCAATTCATTAAAACCAATTTTCCAGGTGTTAAATTTCTTGTGAGGGTACAGTATTGGCCAGTTTTGAGAATTGTATTTCTAGATACACACATAAATAATATGTAAATATATTCTAAATACATAAAAATAGACAAATTATAAAGACATAAATCTAAACATATAAATTCTAAATACCTAATTCTAAATAGACACATAAAATTTAAATATCTATATTCTAAATACATAAATCAAGTAAATCTTGATTGTTTGTATAAACAATATTTTAGGCTGAAGAATAGTCAAATAAACCCAAAAAGTACATAGAAAGAACAGGGTGACAAGAGAGCCTGGGCTCCGCCCTGGTGGGGCTGACTCATCAATGAAATGGTGTAAATTATCAGCAAGGAAACACACCAACAAAAATGACATCAGATGGTTCTAGGTGTCCTGAAGGCAATAAAAATCAGAATGTTGTCAAATAAATCTCTAGATTGGGTATACTAACATACATTTATACCAGGTACAGACAAAGGTGCCTATTTCCTCATACCTTTGCCCAAACTTTAGATGATCACATTTAAAATATTCACTTATTATTTTAACTTACATTTCTTTGATCATTAATGAGGTCACTTAAATATATATATAACTGTTTGTGTTTCTTTTATTATCAATTATCTGGTTGTATCCTTGGACATTTTTCTATCATGCTGATCACATTTTCATGTTGATTAAAAGCTTGATATTATGTTGCAAATATATTAATGATTGTCTTTTGATGGTGCTATTTGGTATGCAAATATTATATTTAGGAGGTCGGGCAGTGGCTTATGCCTGTAATCCCAGTACTTTGGGAGGCTGAGGCAGGTGGATCACTTGAGGTCAGGAGTACAAGACCGGTCGGGTCAACATGGCAAAACCTCAGTCTCTACTAAAAATACAAAAATTAGTGGGGTGTGGTGGCACACACCTGTAATCCCAGCTACTCAGGAGGCTGAGGCATGAGAATTTCTTGAACCCAGGAGACGGAGGTCGCAGTGAGCTGAGATCGTGTTGCTGCACTCTAGCCTGGGCAACAGAATGAGATTCTGTCTCAAAAATATATATATATATATATTTAGGTACTAAATCCATCAATTGTTTTTCTTCGTAGTTTTCTGATTTTATTTTTTTCTAAAACAAGTCCTCATTGCATCCAAGATAACATATGTAGGTTTCTAAGTCATTTTCTAGTTATCTGACAGTTCTATGTCATGTATTTAACTCTTTAATTCAGTTTTATTGTAATGCTCTTACTTTACTATTTCCCAAACAGCTAGTGCCATTGACTATAAATATTTTCCCCACTGCTTAGAAGCACCTTCATCCTATTTTACGTCTGTATATGTGTTCATCCCAGGATGTTCTATGTCGCTTTACTGACTTGCCTTTCCATCCTTCAGACAGAACCATGCCTTGGTCCAGTCTTGGTTTACTCTAGTAGTATCTGTTTGAGTAAATACAGATACAATAGTATCTGTTTGAGTAAAAAGACTCATTTGCTAGAAATGAGTCTTTTGAACTGACCCCCTTATCTCCTATCTTTCTCTGCCTTCTAATCTGATGAACGAATTGTGAAATGCTCATTGACTTGTTTGGAGAGGGAGAGATGGAGAGACTGCGAGAAGAATAGAAAAGGAATGAACTTTTTTTGAGTATTTTCTTGCATAATGCTGCGTACAGTAAGTGTCTTTAATCTTGACAACAACAAAGATAAATATTATCATCACTATTTTGTAGATAAAGAAATCGTCCCTCAGAGAGGTTATTAAATTGTCCAAGATCACGCAGGAAAGAAAGGAGGAATTAGGATTCAAACTCAAATCTATCTGACTTCGACTTACAACACAGGGAACCCATGTCCTTGGGTGCTAGTCCATGAAGGACTGTGGAGACAGAGGCTTTACCAGCTCTAGCGCCACTGTGAGGGAGAGGGCACCAAGCCAGGCAGTGCTTCTGGCTGCTGCTTACCCTTGCTATGCTAGTGCCTCGCCACTGTTTGTACAAAGACATAGGTGCACCCACATGGTAAAATTAGAGGTCATTTTCAGCAGCGCCCCCTACCCTGTCCTCTTCCCAACTATATATTTTCCTCATAAGTCGGCCATAGTCTTAGAAACTTCCTACAATGCTTCCCAGACCTTCCTTCATGTTTAGGTAATGTCTCTTGAAATACTCTGTTTTAGCTGGCAAGGAGGTAGGGCCTCAGGAAAAATGTAGCCCTTGCTATATGGCCTTGGGTAGTCTATTTTACATCTATTTTTTTTCACTAGCTTCCATTTTTTTCACTAATAAATTAAGGATAAAAATAATTGTACTTATTGGCTGGGCGCAGTGGCTCACACCTGTAACTCAGCACTTTGGGAGGCTGAGGCGGGCAGATCACCTGAGGTCAGGAGTTTGATACCAGCCTGGCAAACATGGTAAAACCCTGTCTCTACTAAAAATACAAAACTTAGCCAGCCGTGGTGGTACACGCCTGTAATCCCAGTTACTCTGGAGGCTAAGACAGGAGAATCGCTTGAACCTGGGAGTCAAAGGTTGCAGTGAGCCGAGATGATCCCATTGCACTCCAGCTTGGGCAACAAGAGCAAAACTCTGTCTCAAAATAATAATAATAATAATAATTGTACTTATCTTGTGAGAATAAAATAAATTATGAAATAAAGTGCTTTGAACATGCCTAACCTAGAGGTTATAGTGCGTGTGAATGATTGTTACACCATCATTGTTCTTATTCATTGTTATGACGAAAACTGAGAGCAAGTCTATGAAGAAATGGATACCGGATAGATAATGTTAGTTAGAGGAAAGGATTAGTTCATGGAAGTGTAAAAATAAAATGGAGTGAGTAAAGCTTTAAAGAACAGATCTAAATTATGTGTTGAGGGCCCAAGATGACAGACTAGGAGAGAAAGTGGGAGAAACTGGACACCTGAAGCTAGGTGAAGTCTTCTCTCTCCAATTTCCCCAGGCCTGGTATCTGTCAAAAGGAGGAAAGGTTTTCATCACCTTCAAAGAGACCTAGCATCTTCCCTTCCAGGATTTGGTCTCATTACTGTCTGTCCTTGGGAAGCCAGATATAGGAAGCCAGTAAATAGCTGATGAGGGATCTGGGAAGCAGTGAGAAAAGGGGCAAGGGCTTTGTGTGTAGAAGGCACGAGATATTCTTTACACAATCATCCATGCCTTGTGCTTTTATTCAGTGAACATTCTTTAGAGACTGGGTGAAAGCTAGGGATATGCTGATGAAAAAGTTACAGAAGACCCTGTCTGTAGGAAAACTTAGTAGGAAAGACTGACAAAATAGAGAGGCAATTATAACCAGTGCAACAAGTACTATGTCATGGTCAGGACGGTAGGGGACTCATGCAAGGAGCACTCCCCTACATTGAAGGCCAGAGAAGACATGAGATGCTGCGTCTGCGGGAAACCAAGATTGAGACACCAGGAGGGGCACGCCATGCAGTGGATCAATCATGGGCAAAGGCTTAGGCATGGAGGTGAACGAGGCCACTGAGGGAACTGTGAATGAGCTGCAAGTCATTTATTGTGGCTGGAAACTAACAAAGGAAGAGAAAGAGTGGGAGAAGATGGGTCTGAGCAAGTGAGCTGGGAGCAGATGATGAAGGCTCCCATGGACCAGGCTGAGGGCTGTGGCCTGGGAACAGTGACCTTCTGTACTTACTCCTAGCAAACATCCCCTGTCCTGCTGAGCGTGGATGGTAGCAGCAGGTTTGGTGCATTATTGTAGAGTTCAAGTTTTTAAACTAGGATAATAGTTTAATTCTTGCTACCACATAAGTCATTTTGAAGTTCTAACATAACCTCTTGACATGTCCTGAGGAATAAGCCAGGAAGATTGAACTATAGCTAGGCTCAAAGGTAAACTTGAAACTGGACCTAGGTGCCATCAAAAAAAGTTCTCACTGGTATCTTGAGGTTCTATATGAGAACTGACCAGACTTAAGTTCTGATGTTGCTTCAGTAAAGAGCCTCAAAACCTTTTTCCTGAAATGAGGAAATGCCAGAGATAAAAGCCAGCTCAAATTTGGCCAAGCAACACGTATTACTTCTATGGCTTGTGAACAGTGATCTCTCTACAAAATATAATCATAATTCATCTAGGGGAATTATCTTTCAGCAGGAAGTTAAAACTGCACATGTTTTAGTACACACTTTTTGAAGGAGGGATGGTGAGGAGAAGAAAAACAAAATAAAGGGAAAGAAAGGGAAGGAGAAAGGGAGGGAAGGAAGAAATTAAAAATGGAAAAAGAGAGTGTCTATCTGTGTTTGTATTAAATCATGGCCAGGTTGGAATAGCACAAGCATAATATTTGGACATTTTCTACAATCCTCAAAGAACAGAGAATACAACAGGGCATCCCTTCCTGCACCCCTGGGTTTAAGTGAAACTCACAAATGTCATAAGTAATCAAAGGGTCTCATTCCAAAAGACTTAAGTTGTTCTATCTACTGAAGGTGAGCTTGGAATATTCAGTTGGATTCCTCTGTTAGATCAGTTGGGAGGATTTATTGTAGTTATTGATGTGTCAGCTTATTTTGGAACTTACTATCCTCCACCGAATTCCTTTGAGTCAAAGGGAAGTGACACATTAACAGGAAGATGTCCTCTTGTAAATCTCTTTAAGCACAAACATGCTTTTCAAAAGGCTCATCACTCATGAACCTCTCACCATGTGGGTCAGTAACTATTTCAAAATAAATCTAATCAAAAATGCTTATCATCCTAAAATCATCTTCTATGAGAGATGGTCACAGAAATGACTCATATTGGACTTTTTTGATTGCCAAAAAAAAAAAAAAGTGAGAGACTCACTAAAATTGCCTCAGAAACAAGGTGTTTCTCATGTGGCTGTGCAGGGAAACAGGATATCAGGAAACTCACCCATGTGGAACCCAGACTTGGGAAAGCCACACATCTAGATTTATGGGGAAAAGGTGATTACAGGGAACTGGGACCAGATGATTCGAAGACCAGGTTAGCTCCTTCTGTTTTCTGTGGCAGGAATTTGCCAATAATTTTTCTAGAACTCTGCTATTAGGGTTCCCCTCCAAGTCCTCTCTGTATTTCCTTACTCTTGTTTTTCTGTTTCTTCTCCTGCTACCAGTATACTTCATAATTTCTTAAAAGAAAATCTGATTTGCCACTTCTATTACACAAGAATAATATTTTTAAAGCTCCTGCCTAGAAGAAAATTATATACCTAAACACACACACACACATATCAGTTAACAAAATATCCATTGCATGTAATAATCACAGCTAAGACTTCACATGTGTGAGCTTTTTTTGCAAAAAACTGCATGTAGCTTCCCCCATAAAATTGTGTAGAGAATAAACAAACAATTGAATGAATACCTTAGGAATCTCAGTGATTCTATAAACATGAAATTAAAGCTATTAACAATATTTTTCAAAAAAGAGCAAAAAGAGTGTAAACCCTACCTTCGAAGTCGCTATATGAGCCATGACAGAGGTTGGCCAAGCAGAAGTGGAGGTTGCCCTGTCCTGTTCTGCCCACTCACTAGACTGGAGAAAGCCCCACCCCTGAGCTCCCTGGGTACAGGCCACCTCAGTCCCAGCCTTAGCAATGCATAAATCATCGCAGGATGATGAGAGCTTGACAGCCACTCCTGATACCATAAACTTTAAAATGCTGAACCATTGAATCCCAAGGGTGTGTTATATTCCCAATAAAATCAGCACTATGCTTTAGAGGTTGTTAAATAACTGTCCCAAATGTGATTGCCTTTAGGCCTAAATTGTGCTGAATAGGTTACATCCAGTATTGGAGGGGGGCTGGTTTATAGTCTCTGGGAAGCATCCATCGAGGATGCACTAATACAGCCTTACAAGAGAGAGTGAGATTTGAATTGGCCAGGAGGGGAAGGAAGGGTATCCTAGGAAAAGGCATGGAAGGGGAAATAGGTCTTATGAGAATGTTGAGTGGGTGGAGACCATTCAATATGGTGAGGTTTGAATTAAAAGTGCTTTATGCAATCACATTGGAATCTGGCAGAGTCCAAATGTTAAAGGCCATTGAAAGTCAAATGGACGAATTTAGTCTTACTATGGTAAGCAACAGAGGGCCATTCTAGATGTCTGGACAAAATATCACATCTGTGTGAAGAAATTGTTAAGTGATCTCATAGCTCTACAATAAGTTGGTTTCTTGGGTAAACATCTAGAACTGGCTGAAGCCTAACGTTACTCTGACTCTCTTAAATGCGGAATCTTTTGCCTGCAATCTAGGGGGGGCATTTATATAATTTTCTGGGAAGCTCAAAACTATGAAAAAGAGTTAACTCACCTAAGAACAGTTTACATTTACAGTATGTTGGACCATGCCTAGCACAGAGTCTTAAGCAGAGAATTCCCTTAATGCATTTCTTTTCTTGTTCTGATAGAGTATTTAGAATTCAGAAATACTTATAATTGTGTCATTTGTTTGGTGTTACTAACAAAATTTTTGCAGTATTATATTTTTGATCATATGATGAGATATATATATGTAATAAGCTATGTTAATAGGTTGGATTTTATTTTAATGTGAAAAATTTTAATATGAAAAATTTAATATGAAAAATTGCTATGAAGAATTTAAAGGCTACTGAGAATGAGGAATCAGAGAAGGCCCTGGATTTTTCTAGTTAGGGAAAGAATAAGATTCTTAATCTCTGCCCTTCTGATTCTAAGTCATTAGAAATTGTCAGAAAGAAAAATAAAGATTCTGAAATAAAATCACAAAATGTATAGAGGCCTAAACACAATCTGGCCTCTGCCTGAGTCTTGTGACCTTGAGGCAGGGTAACTTCATGTTTTGAGAGTGGATTCTGGAACTGATCACGACCTGGGGACTCCTGGGGGCTGGTTTGTCCCTGAGGAAGAGGCCGTGGGAGAGAGCCTAGAGAGCTGTCATGAGGGGTCCAGGCCAGTTCACTGTGGAGCGCCCTGGGCTGAGCAGAGCTCCTGGGAGAAAGGCTCTCTGATGGCCCTCACACCTGCAAGACCATTGTGTCCTCAAGAGGGGATGACTCTGCGACTGTGGCAGCAACAGGCCCCAGGAGCTCAGCCCAAACCCTTGAACTCAGAAATGTCCATTGGCAATGGCTATAACAAATAGTGGTTGAAGAATGTTGCTTCAAGTGGGAGAAAGCGTGAATGACTTCCAGATACACCTGAGTGGCAGGAAACAACAGGGCTAGTTCCCTTGGATGTTCTTAAACACTAAGGGCATCACTTCTACATAATTTGAGTGTACAGGGAAGAAGATGAGAGAATGGGAGCAAATGATCTTGAATCGTTGCCAATCTGGTCAATGGGAAGTCTGGTGTTTCCTCCAGTCACTACGGGAGGCCA
Organism: Homo sapiens; assembly: GCF_000001405.40. Lineage (NCBI taxonomy): Eukaryota > Metazoa > Chordata > Mammalia > Primates > Hominidae > Homo > Homo sapiens. The sequence continues at coordinate 41,236,439 of NC_000007.14, read as the reverse complement.
TATTTTGAACCTCTTTTCATAATGTGAGGCAACCCATATATTAGGCAGCAAATAAACATTAATAATGTGCACTAGAGCCCATTTCATTGTGTCTCAGGAGTCCTGGGAACCCAGGAAGATAAACTCACTGGAAGAATAAATAAACAAAGATTGTGATAATGTCAATAGAGTTAATTGAATAGACTATGTGATGGGAAAATAAAGTACCAACCAAGATTTGCTGAAGGTATTTGAAAGTTCACTGCATTATTAGGACATGGAGAGTATTTACCCAACAGCCCTAATTGTCACGAATCTGTTTCTATGCATACTTGCATATAATGCTAGAATTTTCCCAGGAGTCATATCCTTTGATTTTTTACTAATTTATAATGAGTTTGAACCACTAAAAATCATTACAAATTCTTTCATTTTTACCGATGTGTAATGGGCTTGAACTTTTTAAGAGACTGCCTGGAAAAATATATATAGCTAATTATAAATTATCTACAGGCTGGTTATGCCTTTTGTGGATAGCTCCTTTCTTCTTTCCCGTCTTACATTCTTATCGTTTGCAAACTGATGCAAAGGTGAGCAATAAAATGTAGAGACCACAAAACATTTGTGCTTGAACTACAGTTTTCTAAAGACTTGTTAATAAGCCAGATTTACCCATGCCCCACCCCTACCCCCACCCCCACTACCTGCAGAGATTAGATATTGTGGCCTAGAAAACAGGGTCAGGATTCTGTGGTTTAAATACACACCCCAGGTAGATTCTGATGCAGGTGCTCCCAAGGCTGCACTTGGAAAAACGCAGCAAGATTTTTGATTAAATATCCTTAACAGTGATGCTACGAAGTATAGTGAGAAGACAAAGTAAGGGGTTACTTATCCTTATTTTTTCATAAGCATATGCATATCTTTATTATCTCCAAAAACCAGGTAGGAAAAACTGTTGCATGAAAAATGCAGTGGCTCCTAAAATGGTAAAGAGATGTGGGCTGAAGACTGAAACTTGAGCCTGCTCTTTCTGGGGCTTGTAACCTTACACAATATTAGCTTTGCACACGATAGAATGGCAAGCAAGTATAGATCATCTTATTTGGTTAAATCCAATGAAGCACTTCCAATTCTGCTCCAACGGCATGTGGTAATATATTCTCAATAAAAATTACAGCCACATATGTACTCTCTTGATGTCTATAAACCCTTGTTACAGGGCATTATAAAGTGAGACTTTCTCTTTTAGATTTCTGGAGTACAAACAAGCAGGTTTGCTTAAGAAAGAATGAAAAGCTGTTTTATCAGACTCCCATTATACTCTCTAACTGGAGAGTTAGATGTCATTGTTTCCAATATGTTGGTTTAAAGTTTTGATCTTTACTTAGTGATAAATGATTACTAGAAAGATAATAGAAGCACAGTCTTAGCATTTCTGCTTATGAATCCAGAACCTCAGTAACTTAATGATGTCCAATACTAACTGCACTCACTTATACTCTCCTTAGTTATTTAGACACTTTCTTTGCCTACACTGCCTGAACAACATGGGTATGTCGTGACAATAACTGAATCTACTGAGAGCATATAATGAGCACCTAATTCTTTAGGCAGGGCCTTATGTATTTAGGCCAGGATTACACTGGGAAATTTTCTATCACTTTTTATTGTTATTACTTTTGGGGAGACATGGGCTGTGGCATGAGGAGTGGGCTTCCTCTCTAATAATAAATAAATAACAAATTTTATCTATATTTATTAATTCACAAAACTGGAAGTACAATTTTTTTTAACTAGCTCAGACTTCTGGACCTTTCCCCCACTTTTCACTCATCCAATAGCCTGGAAGAATTCCAATTCTGCAAATCAAGTTACACCATCTCTTCCAGTTAAATTTAGAGAATGGATATGAGAACATTTTATATCAGTTGCCTAATTTAAAGATGTTATAACATTTTATTTTGTGTAATTATGAAGATTTTAGTTGAATGCCTTAAAATTAGTAAAGTTAACATAGCCTGAAGTCAAATAATATTTTACAGTGTCTATTACTTAAGTCCAATAATGTTTGGTTAGTGAATAAAAGAACTATTAGCGTGAACTAAATTTGTAATGTTAAAGTAATTGGTGTATGGTATACTGCTTCTATGGAAATAATGCCATTCTCCAGGACATACAATAGAGTTTTCTTTTTCTGAGTCCTCTGTGTGAAAGAAAAATATGTGAGAGGGCAGAAACAACAAAGTTGCATGCATATTCTTTTTTTGTTTTTGACGGAGTCTCATTCTGTCTCACCCAGGCTGCAGTGCAGTAGCACAGTCTCAGCTCAGCGCAGCCTCTGCCTTCTGGGTTCAAGTGATTCTCCTGTCTCAGCCTCCTGAACAGCTGGGACTACAGGTGTGTGCCACCACACTCGGCTAATTTTGTATTTTTAGTAGAGACGGGGTTTCACCATATTGGCCATCTAAAGCTACTATAATACAAATAAATAAATAAGTAATTTCAAAAAATTTTTAAATAAAAAATAACAATAAACTCTGACATTTTAGATGGTTAGGAGCTCCACTAAGCTGACAGGCAACCACAGGTGCCAAAAGCCTACGTGTAGTTTTACCTAGGTTATATACACATACTTGTAGCTGGTCCAGATTACAATATAATAATAAAATTAAATAAATAAAAATAAAAAGCAAATAATTATCCCCTGTCCTGACTCCTCACCCCTCCATACAAATGACTAAATGTTGACCACATTTTTAAAGTATGTGTAAGGGAAAATGTCAGTGACAGTGAAGGTTCTTGAAGCTAATAGCATTTAAGGATCTCTCTCATTTCCTACTTTTTCATTGTTTTACCCTGCATATTTCAAAGATAGGTTACAATACAGATTAGTGGGCATTATGATCCTTGAGAGAATGATTCTCAGAGTCATGAGAATTGAGAACAGCTCCCATAGGTGATACATACCCAGGAAATTTTGATATACCTCCCCTCCAAATTATTCTGTATAAATTACTGCATATATAATTCAAAATGTGTTTCTCAGTTCCCTAGGAAATAGAGTAAACTTCCTATAGACAAAAACACAAACAAAAAAGAACAAATGGCTGAAACCAGAGCAGATAGCTGAGAGCAGTGAGCAATAAGGAAGGGGAGGATTGTGCTGAAGGTGCTTCTCTTCATCAGACATGTGATTTCAAGACTAAGCCTTCGGCTGACCTCAAGGTAGAAAAGCTAAACCTGAATATTTCCCCTTAAGCAGAGACCTTCTAAGACAGCTGCAACTTAGCTTTGCCTGCCTCTTGGCAGAAGCAAATACAAATCATATCTGGAGGAAAGCATCCACAATTTAGGCCTCAAGATTCCCACAGATTCAATTCTATTTAACACACGCAATGAAACAAGACACTGTGATGGAGGTCAGCAGAAACCATAAACAATTGCTCAAAATCTCCAAAAATCTTCTGAATTATCAGATGAAAAATATGAAATTATGATATATCATACTAAAATTATGAAATAAGTATCATATTATAAAATAAAATGTCATAAAATTATTATGAAATGTTTAATGTAATGAAGTCTTGATTTTAGCAAATGAGTATGGAGGATGATATTATAAAAACATGTCCATACAGGTTCGGAAAAAAGAACCATAAAGAAATTTTAAAACTAAAACAATTTGAAGTCAAAAGCACAACTAGTGAGTTAAAAAGATTACACATAGCTGAAGAGTGAATTAGAGAACTGTCAAATAAATTTTAAAAGGTTATCCAGAATGCAGCAAAGAGAGGTAAGGAGATGAACTCCATGAAAGATATTAACAGGCATTAATGTAATCACACGATGGGTACTCCCTGCCTGCTGCACAGTCAAAACCAATTCACTGGAACTGTAGGATTGAGGTAAAGAAAGAGTTTAATTGACATGAGGCTGGCCACATGGGGGAACTAGAGTTATCACTCAAATCAGTTTCCCGACAGGATTGGAGGTTAGGGGTTTTCAAGGTTAGTTTGGTGGACAGGAGACTGGGGAATGGGTACTGTTGAATGGTTGGGGAATGCAATCATAGAGGTATGAAAAATGATCCTCATGCACTGAGTCTGCCTCTGGGTGGGGACCACAGGATCAGTTGAGTCATGAGTCATGAGTCTTGGTAGAGTCAGTCTGAACAACATCTTAAAAGACCAATCTTGAAAAATTTTGGATTAAGATGGCAGATAGGAGGCAGGACTAGCTTGGCACTCCCGCTCTGGCAGAGCAGCATGTGGAGAATTACATAGCAAACTTCTGCTCCAAGAACTATTGCAGGAACATATCAGGAAAGCTGAATCACTGCTGCAGACTCTCTGAGATGACAAAAAATTGTGAGTCTTCTTGCCTTCTCAACGGGGAGTCTCCTGATCTGGGACACGTTCTCAGCCCTGGTTACTGGCTGCTAGGAAATAGACTCAGTGCTGCTGTGGGGGCATAATGGGAGCGAGACCGGCCTTTAGGACTGTTGGCTGTGTGGGAGCAGAGTGAGGCCGGTGACTGCTGGCTTTCCCCCACATCCCTGGCAACGTGTATGACTTAGCAGAGGCAGCCATAATCACCCTGGGAATATAACTCCATTGGACTGGGAACCACACCCCCAAACCCCACAGCAGCCACAGCAAGCCCTGCCCAAGAAGAGGCTGAGCTAGACATGCCAATCCCTGCCCCAAACTGGTGGTCTTTCTCTATTTGCCCTAGTAGCTGAAGACGAAGGTCATAATCTCTTGGAAGCTCTATGGCCCTGCCCACTGCCTGATAAACCTGAATACTTAACCAGGTGTCTCTAGGGCAAGTTACATCCTCCCTATAAGACCACAGCTGATGCGCTCTTGAAAGTGTCATTGGCCAGGTGCGGTGGCTCACACCTATAATCCCAGCACTTTGGGAGGCCAAGGCGGGCTTATCATGAGGTCAGGAGATCAAGACCATCCTGGCCAACATGGTGAAACCCCATCTCTACTAAAAATACAAAAATTAGCTGGATGTGGTGGTGCATGTCTGTAACCCCAGCTACCTGGGAGGCTTAGGCAGGAGAATCACTTGAACCAGGGAGTTGGAGATTGCAGTGAGCCATGAGCCATGAGCCGAGATCATGCCACTGCACTCCAGCCTGGTGACAGAGGGAGACTCTGTCTCAAAGAAAAAAAAAAAAGAGAGAGAAAAAAAGAAAAGAAAAGTGCCATCTGCTGGCTGGAGGCCAACCAACGCAAAACCGGCGCACTAAACAAAAACACAACCAAGGATCCTCACAGACTCCACTTTACTCCTCTGCTACCTCCACTGGAGCAAGTGCTGGTATCCATGGCTGCAAGACCTGAAGACGGATCACATCACAGGACTCTTTGCAGACACTTCCCAGTACCAGCCTGGAGCCCGGAAGCTCCGCTGGGTGGCTAGATCCAGAAGAGCAAAAACAATTACTACAGTTTGGCTCCTGGGAAGCTCCATTCCTAGGGGAAGGGGGAGAACACCACACCAAGGGAGCACCCCAGGAAACAAAAGAATCTGAACTGCTTGAATCCCAGATCTTCCCTCTGACATTGTCTACCCAAATAAGAAGGAACCAGAAAAGCAACTGTAGTAATATGGTAAAACGAGGTTCTTTAACACCCCTGAAAGATCATACCAGCTCACCAGCAATGGATCCAAACCAAGATAAAATTTCTGAGTTGTGAGAAAAAGAATTCAGAAGGCCCATTATTAAGCTAATCAAGGAGGCACCAGAGAAAAGTGAAGTCCAACTTAAAGAAATAAAAAACACGATACAGGATATGAAAGGAAAATTCTTCAGTGAAATAGACAGCATAAATTTCAAAAAAATCACAACTTCTGGAAATCAAGGAGAATGGAAATGCAGAATGCCCAGGAAAGTCTCAGCAACAGAAACAAACAAGCAGAATAAAGAACTTCAGAGCTTGAAGACAAGGCTTTAGAATTAACTCAATCCATTAAAGACAAAGAAAAAAGAATTTAGAAAAAATGAACAAAGCCTCCAAGAAGTTTGGCACTATATTAAACATTCAAACCTAAGAATAATCGGTGTTCCTGAGGTAGACGAGAAATCCAAAAGTTTGGAGAGCATATTTGAGGGAATAATTGAGGAAAACTTCCCTGGCCATACTAGAGATCTAGACATGCAAATATAAGAAGCTCAAAGAACACCTGGGAAATTCGTCGCAAAAAGATCATGGCCTAGGCACATAGTCATCAGATCATCTAAAGTCAAGATGAAGGAAAGAATCTTAAGAGCTGCACGGCAAAAGCCCCAGGTAACCTATAAAGGAAAATTTATCAGATTAACAGCAGATTTCTCAGCAGAAACCCTACAAGCTTGAAGAAATTGGGGTCCTATATTTAGCCCCCTTAAGCAAAGCAATTATCAGCCAAGAATGTTTTATCCAGCAAAACTAAGCTTCATAAAAGAAGGAAAAATACAGTCTTTTCCAGACAAACAAATGCTGAGATAATTTGCTACTACCAAGCCAGCACTACAAGAACTGCTAAAAGGAGCTCTAAATCTTGAAACAAATCCTCAAAATACACCAAAATAAAATCTCTTTAAAGCATAAATCTCACAGGACCTATATAACAATAACACAGTGAAAAAAAAAAAAACAAGGTATTCGGGCATCAAACAGCATGATGAATAGAATAGTACCTCATGTATCAATGATAACATTGAATGTAAGTGGCCTAAATGCACCACTTAAAAGATACAGAATAGTAGAATGAATAAAAATTAATCAACCAAGTTTCTGCTGTCTTTAAGAGACTCACCTAACACATAAGGACTCACACACACTTAAAGGTAAAGGAGTTGAAAAAGATGTTACATGTAAATGACACCAAAAGTGAGCAGAAGCAGCTATTCTTATATCAGACAAAACAAACTTTAAGCAATAGCAGGTAAAAAAAACAAAGGGGAACATTATGTAAGGGCAAAAGAACTAGTCCAACAGGAAAATACCACAATTCTAAATATGTATGCCCCTAACATTGGACCTCTCAAATTTATAAAACAATTCCTACTAGACCCAAAAAATGAGATAGATGCCAACACGATAATAATGGTGGACTTTAATACTCCACTGACAGCACTAGACAGATCATCAAGACAGAAGGTCAACAAAGAAACAATGGACTTAAACTATACCCTACAACAAATGGACTTAACAGATATTTACAGAACATTCTACCCAACAACGGCAGAATGCACATTCTATTCATCAGCACACGGAACATTTTCCGAGATAGACCATATGATAGGACACAAAGCAAGTCTCCATAAATTTAAGAAAATTGAAATTATAGCAAGTACTCTCTCAGACCACAGTGGAATAAAATTGGAAATCAGTTCCAAAAGGAACCCTCAAAACCATGGAAATCCATGGAAATTAAATAACCTGCTCCAGAATGGTCATTGGGTTACAATGAAATCAAGATGGAAATTAAAAAATTCTTTGAACTGACAAAGGACTCTGACAAAGGACTAATATCCAGAGCCTACAAAAAACTCAAATGAATTAACAACAAAAAAATGAATTAACAACAAAAAAAATCCCAAACAATCCCATCAAAAAGTGGGCTAAGGACATGAATAGACAATTCTCAAAAGAAAATATACAAATGGCTGACAAGCATATGGAAAAATGCTCAACATCACTAATTATGAGGGAAATGAAATCAAAACCACAATCCAATACCACCTCCCTCCTGCAAGAATGGCCATAATAAAAAAAAATAGATGTTGCCATAAATGCGGTGAAAAGGAACACTTTTACACTGTTGATGGGAATGTAAACTAGTGCAACCACTATGGAAAACAGTGTGGAGATTCCTTAAAGAACTGAAAGTAGATTACTGTTTGATCCAGCAATCCCACTACAAGGTATCTACCCAGAGGAAAAGAAGTCACTGTATGAAAAAGATACTTGCACAAGCACGTTTATAGCGCACAATTTGCAGTTGCCAAAATATGGAACCAGCCCAAATGGCCATCATACACACACACACACACACACACACACACACACACACCATGGAATACTACTCAGACATAAAAAGGAATGAAATAATGGCATTCACAGCAACTTGGATGGAATTGAAGACTATTATTCTAAAGTAAGTAACTCAAGAACAGAAAACAAAACATCATATGTTCTCACTCACATGTGGGAGCTAAGCTATGAAGACGCAAAGGCATAAAAATGATACATTGGACTTTGGGGACTCAGGGGAAAGGGTAGGGGGTATTGAGAGATAAAAGACAACACATTGGGTACAGGGTACACTGCTCGGGTGATGAGGGCACCAGAATCTCAGAAATCACCACTAAAGAACTTATTCATGTAACCAAACACCACCTGTTCCCTAAAAACCTATTGAAATAAAAACATTAAAAAAATTTTTAAAGACCAATCTTAGCCTCTATAATAGTGATGTTATCTATAGAAGCAACTGGGGAAGTCACAGATTACGTGACCTCTGGCCACATGACTCCTGAGGGATAAAGGATTGTAGAAACTACATTCATTTTGCCAGGTGTGGTGGCTCATGCCTGTAATCCCAGCACTTTGGGTAGCCGAAGCGGGCAGATCATGAGGTCAGGAGTTTGAGACCAGCCTGACCAACATGGTGAAACCCTGTCTCTACTAAAAATACAAAAATTAGCTGGGCATGGTGTCATGTGCCTGTAATCCCAGCTACTCAGGAGGCTAAGGCGGGAGAATTGCTTGAACCGGGACCCGGGAGGTGGAGGTTGCAGTGAGTCCAGATGGCGCCAATGCACTCCAGCCTGGGCTACAGAGCGAGACTCCATCTCAAAAAGAAAAAAAGAAAAATAAATAAATAAATAAACTACACTCATTTAAGCAGAATTTAGCCTCCTCCCATAATCCTAACCTTGTGGCCTTTCATTAGTTTTATAAAGGCAGTTTCCTCTTGGGAAGCACTATTATCATTCTTGTTTTTAAAGTTAAACTATAAACTAAATTTCTCCCAAAGATAGCTTGACCTGCACCCAGGAATAACCAAGGACAGTTTAGAAGTTAGAAGCAAGATGGAGTCAACTATGTCAGAATTCTCTTACTTTCATAATTTTGCAAAGGTGGCTTCATTAAAGAAGAATAAGGTTTTAATATATTTTTGATTGGTGTTCCAAAAGGAGCAAATGAAGGGGTATCAATATTTAAGAATATTTTACCAAAAGCTGATGAAAGATAAATTCATGTCTACAGAAACTGATGTCCCAAGGCAAAAAAAGGAATCCATCTATTAATACACACTTTGTTGTAAGATTAAAGTACAACAATACCAAGAGAATACCTTTAAAGCAGCCTGTGAGGAAAAACAAAAATAAAAAAAAAAAGATCATCAATGTGAAATGACATTTAGATTGACAAATTTAGACAGTTCCCAAATTATGGTGACTTGACTTACAATTGTTCTGCTTCATAATGGTGATGAACCAATGTGCATTCAGTATGTTCCTTGACTTGTGATGAGATTATGTCTGCACAAACCATCATAAGTTGAAAATATCCTAAGTCAAAACTGTGTTTTCAACTAGGATATTTTCAGTTTATCTAACCCCCATTATGATGTAACCCTATCAAAAATTGAGGAGTATCTTCCACTGTTCAATATGTTGAGGGAAAACACTTGTCAGACTAGAATCGTGTATTCAGAAAAAGTGAATGTTTAAGTATGACTGAAATAAAGACATTTTCAGGTAAGTGTCTTGTCATGAGCCCTCTCCCATCATCTCATCTGTTTTGCTTTGCCCTGTGTCTTCCCTAATCCATCCACCTTTTCACTCCCTTTGGAACCCAAGGGCACAGTTCTCTTTCACCTGGTAACCTCTGTGCTGCACATCCCATCTACTCCCCCACTGTCCAAAGACAAAATTACAACAATTTAGTTTAAAGATCTGAATTGTCTTTATTTGATATTCCAGAATCAGGCAACACTTTGTTCCATAATAAATGTTCCAATAAGTGTAGCACAGGAGATTAGTTTTATATTCGGAGAGGGGCTGAAGAAAGCAGGAACAGGAAGCAAACTGTGAATTGGTCATTTCAAAGTTACTTTAATGTGGGAACAGGAAAACAGAAGAATAGAGAAATAATTGATTTGTTAACATTAGGTTACTCTTTTTTTGTAAGGACTAAAGGCAATGGGGAACTTCATTAGCATGCCATTGAAACTGGCCTGTTTGGGAAATTTGGATTTGATCTCTCTCTCCTGATTTCTCCGAAGACCAGATAACTCAGTTTTGGTTTGGTGAAGAAGAACCTCAGAATTAATGACTCCATTTTAGTTTTTAGTCTGGTCTGTTGGGGCTAGTGCAGGAGCTTAGCCCACAAGAATGGCCTCCTTTAATTTTTATTTAATGCTTATTTAAGTGATTTTACTCTCCCTTGGGGGCACCACATCACTCAAAGGAGCTCAATCCCCCAAAACCACGTGTCTCTCGGTTAGGAGAAGCACTGGCCAGCTCCCCAGAGCTCCTGAGAGCTTCCTCTCCACTGCTGCACCCACCTCTCCCCCATCATACTCAGTTTCTGGTCACTTGAGGTCAGGTTGTCCAGTAGAAGCCTCCACCTTTCCCTGGACAGACTTCCTAGAGCTTGTTCTTATCCACTGAGGATGTCGGGACCAAGCTCACAGCCTTCCTCTTCCTGGTTCCTGCCGTCGACTCAAGTGACTTCAGGTTGTGCAAGGGCAACAGACTCAGTCTCTTCATCTCAAACATTTTCACCTTTAATGCACATCAGCCTCCCCTAGGCAGGGTTAGAGCCCAGGCCATCGCCTAACACCCCTTTCCTTTTGGTCATTTGTCTTTCCCTCTGTCTTCCTCCTTCATCTTCACGACATTTATCTGAGTCACTTGCATGACACTGAAGGTGAGCACCTCCTTATATTTTGCTCCCACAGGCTTTCTACCTGCCTCACTGTGCCCTGGCCACCATCCTGTTTCAGCTGCATTGTCAGTCTCATTCAAAATCAAGCCAACTGTGCACGAGCTCTGCTCCTCTGTCTCCTGCTGGAGATAGATCAGATAATACAACTGCATGTGTTGGATTCACTGAAAGTTAAAGATTTCTACCCAGAAATGAGTGTCCTGCTTCTGGGTGTGGTGGTGAACTCATGCTGCCACTCCTGAATGTGGCTGTGTCCATCCTCTCACTCCATGCATGGGCCTTCATGTCCCGCAGAAAGTTGTACCCCTGCTTTGCTGAAAAGTAGACACTTTCTGTCGGGAAGTTCATTAGCTTCTTTCCTTTTACACCTGCACACTCGCCTGTGGAGGATGTCTATCCTTCTCTCTATCAGCATGGTCTGCATCCACAGCCTTAGACAGTGACGATCCCTTCCTTTAGAGTGTCCTCCCGGTGGGTGTTCTGCCTGCCACTCCTGTCCCTCCCCGCACTTCCCACCTGCTAACTGTGCTCTCTCAGCTCCTCCAGGGACAGTGATTTTCAGGTTCCGTGGCTGAACAGTTTCTCTCCCCACTCAACACACTTTGGCTAGGTAATTTAATCTCCCCATAATTCCAATTACCATTCTTATGCTGATTGCTGTAAGTTCATATTTCAGGCCTAAATCTCTCCATCTTTCCATCTCAGTTTTCCCTTTGCCGCTGTTTGCTCCAAGGATACTTATCTTCTGGACCACACAGCTCAAGTCCACACATGCTACTGTTTCCGCTGGGAACCTCTTCTTCCTCATTCCCCTCCCTTCACCTACACAACTGGAACTTCCAGTTCTGAGAAAATTTCTTCAATCCTTCAATTGTATACCTCTGAGTCACATGCCTCTTCTGTTAGCACTTCCTATGCTTAGGAAATTGCATCCCTCTGTGAGAGTACTCACTCATCACTGTGTGACCTGTATTATTTCCTCACCAGGGCCTAATTTCTGCGGGGAAAGGCAAATGTTCTGTACCTACAATAATGCTGCCTTCATAATAAGCATCCCCTAGTCATTTCGAAGGCAATGGATAAACAAGTGAACAAATGAACTTACTAGCTGTGTGGCTTTCACACCAGCAGGAAAATGCTCCTTTCTGATAAGTAAAAGGACCCTGTGATCTTTAAATGAGTAACGATGAGTTTTGAAGGTGTTTTGTGAGTAACACAATTGCTTTATACATATGACGTGAAATATGACATTGCTATGTTTGCCTTTGAAGGAGATAAGATTTTTTTCATAATATCATGATTCGTGATGACACCATCATTTTTAAAGTTTTTCATTTTGAGCCCATGTAGCCAGGTAGTTGGAAAATTGAACCACAGAATGATTCAATAACAAATTATCCAATCCTTTTTTCTAGAATGTTTAATAATAATCTGGAAAGCTGTGCTCTACAAATCATAGTAGAAACAGCCCCATGTGTGAATCATTAATGGTTATTTTTATTTAATAAATGCTTGTAAAAAAGATTTTAAGTTTTATAAGACAAAACTCAATTTTCTTCAATTTTAAGAAAATAAAACCTAAGTCGATTAAAACTGGAAGAGATAAGTGTTATGTTTACCAACTCAAATCTATTTTATGATGTGGTTATTTTAAGAATCATTGAAACGTTGTTTTAATTCTTTGCAGTTTAGATTTAATGTGCCGTGAATCTTAGTTCAGAAATTTTACAACTGATTCTATTTGACTTTTTTATGAGTCAGTTGCTTGTACATATTGTTAACAATCTTTTTCATATGATGTTTTTCATTTCTTTCCATTAAAATACTCTATGAAAAGAACTTTTAAATCCAAAATTTTATATAAAAGGGATTGGATTAGGAAATGCCCTTTTATTTGTTATAAGAGTAACAATGTATTTTTTTTGTTTGTTTTTTCTGAGATGGAGTTTCACTCTTGTTGCCCAGGCTGGAGTGCAATGGCACAAACTGAGCTCACTGCAACCTCTGCCTCCCGGGTTCACGTGTTTCTCCTGCCTCAGCCTCTCAAGTAGCTGGGATTACAGGCATCAGCCACCACACCCAGTTAATTTTTGTATTTTTAGTAGAGACGAGGTTTTGTCATGTTGGCCAGGCTGGTCTCAAACTCCTGACCTCAGGTGATCCACCCTCCTTAGCCTCCCCAAGTGCTGGGATTACAGGCATGAGCCATCGCACCTGGCCTGAGTTCTTTTATTGAGTACTTATTATTGCTGAGGAAGGTACAGCTCCTTCTCTGCTATCATTTACTAAGGAAAATCAATTTGGAGTTCTCAAGAGAAACACGTCATTTTTAACTATAAGTCAGATGATAGTATAGAAAGGTATAAATAAATAAAGTACTTTGGAAGGAAGAAAACATAGCTGTTAATCCTGCCTGAGGATATTGGAGAGTCTTAAGAAGTGGCTACTTTTAGAAAGATTCCTAAATGAAAGAAAGACATTTTAAAAATGACTAAGAAGAAGGGCATTCCAGATATAGGAAATTTCTAGAATTAAGGTATGACGTAAAAGGATGTGATATGTTTGTAAGAAAATAAATAAAGCATTATGCCTAGAGCAGTAGTTCTGGAACTTCAGTGTGCCGGAGGATCATGGGGCAGGCTTATGAATCACAGAGCTGGCTGAGTTGGCGTAGGGTGGGGCCTGAGAATGTGCATTTCTAACAAGCTCTTAGGTGCAGTTATAGTTGTTCTGGGTGGACTGCCACTAGACTAGAAAAAAGTTGATATTGTCTAAAGAGTTTTGGAAGACCAGGTAAGAAAAAAAAATGTTGTAGTCAATTATAAAGATACTGAATATCTACGCTCAGAGATTTTTGGTTTGTTTTAGCTCATGGGGAAAAACAGGGTTGAATCTATTTTATAACAGGTTGGAGTTGAAAGAAGCTGCAAGCCATTGAAATGAAGTTTCCCTAGTAATAGAAAGATGATGAGATAGCCATAAAGGACACACCATTGACAGGGACCTGTGGTCTTTTGACTTTTGAAAATGGAAGGAAGAAAGTAGTTTGTGTGCCTTAGCATTGGTGGTTGCCTGGGCGTGTGGCCATTCACTGAGTTAGCAACCCCAGGAGCTGCACCTCTGGACTAGGGTGGGTTCATGGCAAGAGGGAGAGACGGCGAATGCCTTACGATTGGCTTTAATGTGCTGCAGCCACCCCAAGGGCAGGGCCAAGGAGTTACTTGGAAATTTGTGTTTAGATTTCAGAAGAGTTGGAAGGAGAGGTTTAAGGAACATACATGTCAGAAAGAAGAGAAGTCAAGAGAAGGTGAAAATTTCCAGGGAAATATTGGGAGCAGGCAGAGGAAACAATTAAGAAGGAAAGCTGAGAACTACCTGAAATTTACAGGGAAGAATCCAAGGACAGTTGCAGAGCCTGGAACTTTCCAAATGTTGTTAAAATGTATTGGCACTTAGTGTTTTGAGACAAAACAAATTTTTCTGTGCTTGCTATCCATAAAATTTAGGGAATTTTCCTAAAATCTGGCATCAATGTACTTCTCGCCCCTTATTCTGTTGAATATTAACATGTTATTCTGTTTATGGACTTGCTATAATACATTCCATTTAAAAATCCATGCAAATTCAAGTATGGACTTATTGTGTATTTTGACTTTCATCTATTTCAATGGCAAGTAAAACTTTAAAAAATTACCTGGCCTCTTTTACCTACTTTGCTTTTAGAGACTTGTGGGAAGACGTGGGTTATGATTAATTTGAGAGTTTTTAGATATGGTCTACGCATGTATAGTACAAGAAACTTAATCAAATGCTAAGACTAAGGCTAAAATCAAACTCTGGGATTTGTTAAGTTTTTCTTGATGATTTGAAAATGTCCAAATGAATGAGCATCTGATCCCTTCAGGAAGCCTGGTGATACAAGGGAGAATTATTCACTCAGAACGAAAGCTCCAGAATGCGTTTGGAGCAGTTGGAAGCAGATACAATTACATCAGGTGAAGTTCTTTTATGACTGCTGGAGTTGCTCCGAGGTGAAAGAGAAAATGCAGAAACTTGGGGCTCCAGATGGCAGGAGATCTATTTTTAGGCCAATAGAAACTTATATTTGGTTGGGTCACTTAATAGAATGAGTAGCAGAAGTGTGTTGAAAAAGTAATTTATACCTGCATTTGAAAGAGTTTAGCACAGAGCAGATGGTAGCAGGTGCCATGGGAACAGCCTAGGTCAGCCAGCAAGTAGGAAAAAAAAGGTAGAAGAGCAAATATTTTAGTGACAAGTTACTCAGAAAGTTTGGTTTTCCCTAATCCTTCCTGAGATATTTATAAGTAAAAAGTGGAAGTCACCAATATACAGGAAGCTTCATTCTGTCCTGAAAAAAGATAAATTCCTTGCAACTATTACATATCAATAAAAGAAAACATGAAAAAATTCTTATGTAAGTCAATTATTTAGATTTTAAGACTCATCTTCCAAGGGAATTTTTTTACCTAGTAATGGTGGTTAGGTTTCCAGGCTAGGTAGCAAAGAGCTCCTTTAATAGCAACTCATCTATTTGACTATGAGACTGAAGTTGAGTTTCTGGAATAAGAGGTCCTGGGGAAGATGAGGAGAAAGAAGAAAATAAAATAAGCAAATTTCCTTTTGTTTCCCAGATGCAATTCTCTTGAAATATAAAAAACTTGGAATCATCTCAGCTTCCAGGGCTACTCTCCATAGTCCATAGGAATAGCCTCAAACAGTTCCACCCAAGTCTGCCCTTCTCCCCTATTACAGCAGAGTTAGGCAGCACCTCTCTCTACTCCTGTGCAAAACCCCTTTCTTCCCAACAAGAAACAGAGGTTAAGTCCATGAGAACACGGAGCTAGAGCTGAGAGCATGTGGGATTTAAAATCAGGAGATTCAGTTTCAAGTATTAGATGTATCTTCACACTCAATTTAGAATTTCCATGCTATGATTCTGTTTATACACAGAAAACAATATTGTGAACAATTTCAACATCACAGGATTAGAGTGAAAATGGAAAAATTTGATGTAAAAGTGAATTGCAGGCTGGAAATGGCTATGATGCAACATTTAATGTTGTTAGTGTCATTATCTAATTTTGTATTGAAAAAAAAGGAGTTGCTTGAACCAAATTATCTAAGTGTGTGAATTTCTAAAGAGCCTCCTCTATAGCTATAAAATATGGATTTGTTTGATTTAAAAGATTTGTTTTTAACCAGAATAAATATCTAATTAATGGAATTTCAGGAATAAAATTAAGTGAGGTGAAAAAAGAAGTTAGGGGAGGAGATATTTTTAGCCATTGGGACCCTGCCAGGAAGTATATCACTGCCGTCATGAAATTTCTCCCTGCATAAAATTGGATCAATTGTACCTGCCCCCTGCTTACCTGTCAAACATTATGAGGAAGTTTGTTGATGTATATGAAAATATTTGGTACCCTTGAGAGTAACCGTGCTGTGCTATTTTTATATTCAAGTTCATTTGACTACAAATTCAAAATCAGATGTCTGAAAAGTCAAATTAAATATAAAATATTTTATTCACCTCTAATATTAGCATATTAATACTTATATTTTCAATTTGATAGTAAACATTATTGCAAAATGTTTCTGATGGTTTGATGCTTATTTGTATGATTTAGTACTTTAACTGGGGATAAGGTTGTCATCGACCTCACTAAGTAGAAATTATGCTTCTGCTCGGTAGAGCATTTAAATTTCTGTCCCATGAAACTATGGACACTTTATTTCCATTCTTCCTGTACTCCTTTTCTCATCTTAAGAAAGGAAGAAATAGAAAAGAATGGAGTACTTTAGAAATATCTGGTCTCTTGTGGGAAAACAGAAAATTCAAACTGGCTTGTAAGGTAATAGAACCACAAACTAAAGGGAAAAGAGTGTTTTGCCAAGATCACTAGGAGTCTGTTTTAAAGCTAAGTTGCAACAGGAAGGAAGCTGTGATTTCAAATAGGGCTTTAAAGTTAAGGACCCAATCCAAACTCTATTACGGAGCAGATCCTATTGTGATGGTAATGACATGTTGCCTGGGAAGTCGTGGTTTTACTTGGAATGGAGAAAGAAAGAAATTTGCCATGATTGATGTACCATATGAGGGTCAAACCACAAAATCACTAACTTGCTGACTGTCCAACTCAGTGAAAGTGGGTTGCTTATTTTCTTAAGAATCCCAAGTTTTGTATATGTGTGTGTGTTTATGGAACTATTTCATAAATTGATCGCATTTTCTTTGGGGGAGGGGTGCAATTGTTAACATTAGAGTCACTTTCTATGGGTTTATGATAGGGCACTAATCCGAATTAGCAGTCCACCTCACCAGGCCAATGTAGACCACCCAAGGGGTCTTTCATGGTTTGCACTAAGTTGTCTACATTTTAGCAACAGGCTGGTGAAGGTAGCGAATGGGAGATTATAGTCACCAATCCAAGCATGTCACTATTTGGCTTGAGATTCAAAAGAAGTAAATTTGAGGCCACGTTATTTTGAGGCTTATAGGACATTACTAGAACCATCAAGAGGATTAAATATCTTTTTAGTATTTCATATTCATTTTAACTTCTCCAAGCAAATTAAGATGTGTGAACGCATTTGAGGGTGATCCATGACAGTAGCCCGCACTTCTGAAGGTTGCTCCTGGACTTCCTTTCTGAGTGAAACAGGGGAGGGGGAGAACTGGTGATTTAATAAAGACACCACCAACATTTGCCCACCAGCCCTGTTGCTCTCTAGGGATTAGGAGAGAAATGTCAACTTAGGTGTCTCAATCCAAGAGAGTTGGATTTTTACCAGGTATTCTAAAATTCTGGTAAAATGAAAGAAGCTTCAAAGAAAAAAAAATTAAGATTATTTCATTTACTTCATTTTATTGGAAACCATGGCTATGGCTTCCAATAGAAAAACAACAATTACTGAATATAAATATCTTGTCTTTCCCAAAGAGGGACTTAAAATCAGATCTAAGACTCTTTCAACTTTTTCCAAGATTCTTGGGAATCCACTCTTCTTTCTTTAGCTCCAAAAGAACAGTCCTTTCAGGGTACACTGGTCTAGACTTTTATGAAACACTGTAACAATTTCTTTCAAAATAATTTAAAACAGTGAGGCACCAATGTAATGATTTGCCATAAAATGAAAAGGGAAAAAGTCTGAAAATTTAATATGTCTTTGATTTTAACTTTCTAAAGACATGAAAAAACAATTAATAGAGAGTTTGTTATTTAGTATTAAATGAAACAAAGCAATCATCTAGAACTTTTCATTTTTCAAGATTTTCAAATACATTAGAATTTGAAAAGCTTGATAAGTGGTTAATAGCTTAAACCATCTTTCTCAACCAGAATTCCTCATCTGAAAGACAGAATACAGAAAATGAGTTGAATGACAAATTTCTCAGATTCTACCAGAGACGGCATACACCAATACATTTCCATCACAGGGGAGAAGCTAATTCATTGCATACAATGCATGACTTTTGGTCTCACTGCATACTTTTCTCTTGCAGTTAGACTTTAACTGGCTTTCTCATTTGCTTCCTCATGGCATTATTTTAAATGCAATATGTCATCATGATACATTGATGGCCCATTATTGTTTAATATGTACTTCTCTCTTCCTTTTTGTAGTAAGATACTCAAACTTCACATCTAAAACCAATGTCACAACAAAGAAGTGACCTGTGTGGAGGGCTTTAGCCAACGAGCATTCCCACCTTTCCCTCTTCCCAGTAACTTCTATTAGCCCTCTTCCCGCCTCTCTGAACAATTTTAAAAACTAAGATTTTTTTCATATAAAGTTTTTTTTGGTCAGTCTCCTGTACAGTTCCAGTGGTGCCTAAGTCAATCCAGTGGCCAGATGAGTCAAACTCAAGCCTTAGGTTTTGCCAAGTTGCAAGATACTGAGTTGCTGTCTCTTTCCTGTAATCAGCAAATTGTGAGAATGAATGGTTCATTGGTTACAGGTTTCCTGAAAAGGTGGAATTAAGCCAGCCCGGGCACAAATAATTCATTGGTGCCCACGCTTCTGAAACATAAATAGTGAGGTAACCACAAGAGAAAACTTCGACAGTACTGACAGATTGTATTCCTGTAAAATCTGGCTTAGTTGGTAATTGTTAGCCTTGGGCAATGGAATTCCTTTTGGGAAAAAAAGGTAAGGAAACTGTAACTTGCAATATGTATAATAAAAATGTTATTGACCCTTGAACTATGGATTCAATAAAACATATATGCTCGAGAACAAAATGTGAAGAGGGGAAATTTGAAGACAGAGAAATGAAGGATGAAGGCAATGATGTTCAAATTACAGGAGTATTTTTATGTAAGGTCCTATTGTGAATAGGTTTGCCAATAGATGAACAAAAACATTTCTATGTAGTTGATTTGTGGATATACATCACAAAAGAAAGTATTTTAAGGAAATGTCTAACTTGACATCAATTCCTTAGAACCCTGGGTTGTTGACAAGATGGACAAAGCTACACAGAGATGTGAACAACAATTCTCTATGTTAAATCTAAACAGAAAAATGCTATGAATCAAACTTTTAAAACATCTAGGAAATTAGTTCAAGAAAGTGTGGGGTCCTCTTTGGAAAATTAACCTCTAGAGTCAATTGAAAAACAACCAGCCAGGAAATCCAGGGGTCATGCTAAAATTTCACCCCCACTCCCATGCTGACTGTATTGGAAAAGCCTTATAGATTTTTCAATATGACAGATTTCACACCTTTCTTTGTCATCACAAAAGAAGAAATCTCAAAAAACTTGGAAGGATGGTTCACCTGAGTTTATTGAAAGATAAGATCCTTCACCAAATTGTCAAATCTTCTCTTTCCATTAGATAAAATAATGGGTCAAGAAACCAATAACAGGCATTTTTTTCAAATAAAATTATCTAGTCACAAAGGCAGAAATTATACTGTATCTTAAAAAGAGTTAGCTAAGGGAAAGTCTTCAGCTCCACATGACCTCCAAATATCTGTGTACCAGGAGCTTATTGTAGAAAGATCTGTTGCTGCCCTACAAAGGTAGTTCTATACTCTATCCTGTGAAGGAATGAAATATCTGATGAATTCCACTCAGAGATCCAAGACATTTTTGTATAACTACACTTTCCACTTTAGCCAAAACTGCAGAAGCATGAAGGCAGAACTGAGGGGGCCTCTAGACAACCAACTTGACATTCTAAGAGTCAATGGCAGGAATTATCTCTTTCTATTAGGACACCAGCCAGGGTGAGAAAAAGCTGTGGATGGGTTCCTGTCATGGGGAGGTCAAAAGAGAAAAAAGTGTAAAGAAGGCAGAGAAAGAAAAGAGATTATTCAAGGAGCAGACAAATAACAGGATGATCATGATATAAAGACTACATCAATTGCACTTTCATTTTATATAGAAATGCATAGTTGAAAATTTAACTGGATATGAATTTCAAAATTAGACTCACAGCTTGTTTTATATCTAATTTTCATTTGAAAGAATTTGGTGGAGGAGTGGAAACACATCTAATTGGATAAGAATGCTGTATCTAATGTCACCCTAAGGTCGTTGTTAACTACAGTTCACAAGCATTTGGCAGTGTGTTTATAATTTCAGAAAACATAGAATAAATAATTGAATTAATAATTGATGCTATGAGAAACAGATGGCATGGTGCCACCTAAAGAGTATAACTCTCTTGTTTCTATAGTCCATCATATAGATTCATATTTAACCTTTAAGCAAAATGGACTTATATCACAAACAGAGTTTCAGAGTTAAAATCATAAAGCTGAAAGTGATTTCGAGGATGATAAAATAATAACTATAACCTTAAAGAGAACACGAGTTGATTTCCTCGGACTTATTTTCTCTGGTAAGTCCACTTTGAAAAGATTAATAGTTTAAGAAGCACAGGTGCTCAGTTTATGGAAATTATTTATGCTAAGTGTTCATTTGCAGATTTCCTCATGCATCACTGCAAAACACAAAAGTTACTCAAGAATAGATGAATAGAGCATGACAGAAGGCATACACATTTATTCTTTGGCTTCCAGTTTACTAGAATCATCAAGTTGATGATACAGGGACAACCAAGAACTGCTGGCTTTGATTTCCTCTGCTTTTGGAGAACCTGGAATAAGGGTGGAAGCCTCAAATGTAACAAAAACAATGGATAATATTTGGAAAAAATTATTTCTAAAAAGTAATTGTCAATTTTGACAATAGAATCCAGACCGTGCATATATTATTGAAGAAAATGTACATATATAATAACAATTAGCCATTTATTTACATATTATGATACTACATGCAAATAATCATTAATAATATCCTATTTGTTAAGGCAAAAAATTAACAAAACAAAATATAATTATTTGTTATGTATTACTACAGTCTTCAGTACCCTTTAAGAATATACTTAAAATGATGGAATATTTTATTATGAATTATAAACAATAGCCCCTAAAATGTCAATGAATAAATAACAAGCAAAACAAATTCTTGCCTAAATTTATGTAAAAGCTTTAAAACTGAAAACTGAAGTATTTGGACCCTAATATTTTTGACTTTTTAAAACCCAGAGTTCAGAATTTCACTCCTGGCTATGAAAGACATAGCCTGACACTCCTGACTTGGATCAGACACCAGCCCTCCTGCTGAAAAGAGCTAGAAAGGCTGAATAGAATATTTAAATACATGTCTTCGAAGCATCATAGGGCTCCCAAGGCAAGAAGACTTGAAGGAGCAAGACTCTAGAGAGAACGGAAACACAGGGAAGTAAGCCCGGTAGTAAGGGTGACTGTCCCACTTGGGGCATTTGCTGATTCTCAAATGAGAGGCTAAGAGATAGAGAAGTGCAAATGAGAGCTTTCGGTAGGCTCAGCAGCATGGGAAGTCAAAATCAGAGCTCTTTCCCAGGCTTTCGTTTTGGACATCTTGGTACTAAGGAATAACTTTAAAAAAAGTGCATATGATACATTCACTAGGATTGACCATGTGCTTGGCAAGCCTCAGTGAGTATAAAAGAATCAATATCATACAGAGTGTATTCTTTGCCCACAATTGGGAATTTATAGCTATAAAATGTCTAAGAAAGTTTCAAAAATTGAAAAAATAAACAACACAGTTTAAAATAATCCATGGAAAAATTGATAAATAATTAATTAATTCTAATAGGGTAAACTAGAAAATATTTTAACCTGAATGACAAAGAATATACAAAATACCCAGATTTGTGGAATACAGATTAAGCATTGCTAAGAGGGAGCTTTTGTCTTATTTAGTTATTTATGTATTTATTTGGAGACAGAGTCTCACTCTGTTGCCCAGGTTGGAGTGCAGTGGTGTGATCTCGGCTCACTGTAGCCTCCGCCTCCCAGGTTCAAGCAATTCTCCTGCCTCAGCCTCCTGAGTAGCTGGGACTACAGGCGCTCACTACCATGCCTGGCTAATTTTTTGTATTTTTAGTAGAGACAGGGTTTCGCCATGTGGGCCAGGATAGTCTGAATCTCCTGACCTCATGATCCGCCCACCTCAGCCTCTCATAATGCTGGGATTACAGGCGTGAGCCACAATGCCCAGCCCCTCTTTTATTACATTGTTTTTGAATATTTATATTAGAAAAAAAGGAAAAGTCTAAAATCAGTGACTTAAGGTTGCACTTTAAGAAGTTAGAAAAAGAAAAGAAAAGTAAAGCCAAAGAAAGTAGAAGAAAGAAGAATAATAAAGATGAGAAACAGAAAAAAGGACCAAGGATAGTCAAAGACATCTTGAAAAGAAGAACAAAGGTGGAGGATTGATAGTACATAATTTCAACTTGTATTATAAAGCTACAGTAATAGAGACTGAGTGGCACTGACATATGATTGACAAATTCATTAAGAGAACAGAATCAAGAGCCCAGAAATATAGTCACACTTAAATGGTCACCTAATTTTTGATAATGGCACCAAAACAATTCAATGAGGAAAGGAATGCCTTTTCAACAAATGATGTGAGAGTAAATAGATATTCACACGGAAAAATTGAACCTCAATCTCTACCTCACACCAGACACAAAAATAATTTAAGATAGATCCAAAACCTACACACAAAAGCTAAAACCATATGTCTTTAAAGGAAAGCAAGAACATATTTTGCTCCCTTAGATGAAGGCAAACATTTCTTAAATAGATCACAGAAAACAATATCTGCAAAAAAAAGGATCAATTAGCCTTCATCAAAATTCAAATGTTCTGCCTATCAAAAATACCACTGAAAAAATGAATATGCAAGCCACATACTGGAAAGAATATTTGCAATATGTATAGCAGATAGAAGACAAGCATCCAGAATATGTAAAGAATTCTGGTAATCAATAATAAATGGGCCAATTATTTAAATATCTATTTACCGAAGAAGAAAATAAATGTCCAATAAAGAAAAAAAAGTACTAAATATCATTGATCATCAGGGAAAAGCAAATTAAAACCACAAGATACTACAACATATCCACCAGAATGATGAAAAATAAGAGGATGACAACACCAACTGTTGGTGTGGTTGTACAGTGACTGAACACTTAAATATTGTTGGTAGGGATATAAAATGATACAACAATTTTGAAAATATTCTGGCAGATTTGTATAAAAGTAAACATTTGCAATTCTACACCTAGGTATTTTGCCCAAGAAAAATGAAAATCTGATTATAAAAAACACTTATACAAGAATGCTCATCGCAGCTATATTTATAATAGCCAAAAACTA
Organism: Homo sapiens; assembly: GCF_000001405.40. Classification (NCBI taxonomy): domain Eukaryota; kingdom Metazoa; phylum Chordata; class Mammalia; order Primates; family Hominidae; genus Homo; species Homo sapiens. The sequence goes on along the minus strand of NC_000007.14, from coordinate 41,212,752 downwards.
GAAACTCAGGTTTCCATCAATGAGGGAAGAATAAACGACAGTCTGTGGTATTCACACAATGGAATATTATTGAAAAATAAAAAGGTAGGAAGTACCGACACACACAAAAACACGGATGAGTCCCCAAAACATTATACTGATTTAAAGAAGCCTTACACAAGAGGGTATACAATTCTAGAACAGAAAAAACTTATGTATAATGGAAAAAGCAGAACAGTCGTTGACTTTGGGTGGGAAAGGAAAGGAATTGGGTGGGAAAGGAAAGGAATTGACTGGGAAGGGGCATGAGGGAAATTTCTTTGGATTACACAGGAGTAAGGATTAGTCAAAACTCAGTAACTTTAGGCATAGTATTTGTGCATTTCACTGTACATATATACATATAACCAAAAGAAAAGTTAATTAATTACAAACATCTATTTAGTGATATACATGCTGAAGCATTTAGGAGAAAGTGTATGAACTGTGCAATTTACTTTGACATGAACCAAAGGAATCAAAATATAGTGATAGCTAGAGGGATGAGTAGATGAAGAGATAGGTGATATTAATCAAGCAAATGCAGTAAAATACAAATCTATGTGGTATAGGTTTACACCATAAAATACTTTCAACTTTGCTGGATGTTTGAAAAAGGTAATAATACAATGTTGACAAAATGAAGGTGGAATGAGATTATTTTCAGACATACACACATAAAAAAATTTATGACCAATAGATTTCATTAAATGAATTAGTAAAGGAAATTGACAGAAGTAAAATGATCCAAATTGGAAGCATGGGAAGATCAGGAAGGAAAGAGGCATAATAAAAAAGGTCAATATTTGGGTAAGCCTAAATTATTATTGACTGTGAAAACAATATATGCAGAATTAAAATGCATGAAACAATGGTATAAAAGGCAAAACTGGAGTGAGTGGAGTTACAATGTCCTAAGGTCCTTGCATATACTTGGTAGCAACACCAGTTTATATTGAACTAAGTCAAAGTTATATTTCATAACATCCAGGGAAAACACTACTAATTTCCTAGGGCTGTCATAACAAATTACCACAAGCTGGGGGTCTTAAAACAACAGAAATTTTTTCCATCACAGTTGCAGAAATTAGAAAACTAAAATCAAGGTGCTGGAAGGGCCATGCTCCCTTTGAAGGCTCTAGGGAAGAGTACTTCCTTGCCTCCTTCATCTTCTGGTGGCTCCTGGCAATCCTTGATGATTGTTTGCTGGTAGCTTCATCTCTCCAATTTCTGCCTTGATCACCACAGGCTTCCTTCCCTTGTGTCTCTCAGGGTGTCTTTTCTTCTTCTTATATGGACACTAATCATTGGATTTAGGGTCCTCCCAGATTGACTATGACTTCATCTTAACTAATTACACCTACAAAGACTTTGTTTCCAAATAAAGTCACATTGTGAGGTACTGAATTAATATGAATTTTGGGGGAACACTATTCAACTGACTTCAGGCACAAAAAGAAAAGAAAAAGAATACATAACAAATAAGTAAATAGAGAGGGAAATGTAAACTATAAAATACTTAACCCAAAATCAGTAAAGAGGAGAGGTTAAAAGACAAGTGGACAAATAGAAGGAAATAATAAGAGAGGAGATTTAAACATAAATATATCAATCATTACATTAAATGGAAATTGACTAAAGCACACCCAATAAAATACAAAGATTTTCAGACTGGAGAAAGAACTCAATGATATGTCACTTTGAAAAGAAAAACATAAAGAAATATGGAACATTTGAAGGTAAAGGGATAAATAAAATCATGTAAACAGTCACAAGAAGGCTGACATTGCTATATTTATGTAAAAGAAAGTAGCCTTTCAGACAAGAAGAATTACTAGAGACAAAGAGGTACACTTCATCGGGATGAAAGGATCGAGTCACCAGAAAGAATCACTCTAAATTTATAGGCATATTATCATATAACTTTCCTATTATATAAAGTAAAATTTGAAAAACTGTAGAGATTTATAGACAAATTCACAATGTATACATTTCAGTAACCGACAGAAAAATACAGACCTTTAAATAGAAAATTTATAGAACACAATGAACAAACTTGAATCAAATTGACATTTACAGTTTAATGCAATCAATGCTTGCACTAAAACTACTTATTTCATGTTCACTTGAAGCACTCACCAAAATTGATCAGTTTCAATTGATCAGTTTAGCTATAGCAGTGGTCAAAAACTTTCAAAGTATTGAATTCATCTATGAAAGGTTCACTGAGTACAGTGGAATTAAACAAGATGTCAATAACAAAAGATAACTAGAAAATTCCCAAATGCTTGGAAATTAAACAAGAAAATTATAAATAATCTATGATTCAAAAAAGAAATCCAAGTGGATGTTAAGTAATATTTTAAAATGAATGATAATGCAAACCTGGCCTAAAAGTTGTAGTTGAAGTTGTGCTTAAAGGAAAATGCACGTCTCTACTTACTAGCATATGCTAGTGAGTAAAACAACTGAAGTCAATAAACAAGAAAGGAGAAAGAGAAGAAGGAAAAAATAGAAGGGAGAAAGAAGTAAAAATTAATAAACTAGACAAGAAACATTCAATACAGAGGAGTACTGACAAACTAGTGAATTAATAATATTTATAAAACTTTGTCAAGGTTGATTAAAAAACACAAATTACCAATTTCAGGGATAAAAAAGGACATTTCTAGATCCTACAAACATTGCAGAAATAAAAAGAGATTATTAATTTTTTGCCAATAAATTAGAAAAGTTAAAAAACAGTCAAATTCCTAGAAAAATACAACTTTGTGAAATTGTCACAAAAAGGAAAGAGAAAATCTGTATAGATCTGTATCTATTAAAGAAATTGAATCTGTAATTTAAAACTTTCCTACAAAGAAAATTTAAGGCCTAGATGGCATCACCAGTGAATTTATCCAAATTTTACCAAAAAAAAAAACCTAAAAATAAAAAAAGAGAGAACATTTTCCAATCCATTTGATAAGACCAACATAACCTTGATATGAAACCTGAAACGACATTTACAAGAAAGGAAAATGCAGGCCTGTGTCTCTCATGAATATAGTTGCAAAATCCTACTGAAAGTATTAGCAAACTGTACCTTGCTATATATAAAGGGAAATACATCATGACTCAGAAATTTTATTCCAGCAATACAAATTTCATTTAACATACAAAAAACCAACTGATGAACTTATCACAATTCAGAAAATAAAGAAGAAAAAATCATACAATCATCTTCGTAAGTGGATCAAATTTAATATGTATTCATAATTTAGGTTAAAAAATAGCAAACTAAAAACAGAAGGAAACTTCTATAATTGATGTTTTTAAACTCTACAAAATCCTACAGCAAATATTAAATTTAATAGCAAAATATTGAGTTTTTCCACCCTGGAATCAAGAATAGAAAAGAAAATAGTCATATCACCACTTCTCTTCAACACATTTTCTAATATCCTATTAGTGTAAGAAGGTAAAATAAGAGGTGAAAGGTATATGAATTAGAAAAAAGAAGTAAGACTATTATTTGTAGATAACTTGATGTGAATATAGAAAATCCGTAAATTATTGTATTTAGCAAGTGAATACTGCAAGCTTTCTGGATACAATATACAAAAATCAATATTTTAAATAAACCAGTCCTAAATAAACATTTGGAAATATAATTCAAAGACAAAACTAACATTTACATGACATCACCAAACATCAAATTCTAGGAATACATTTAACCTTCTATGAAAAACCTCTATATAGCAAATCACAAAACATTATTGAGAGACAGGAAGGAAAAATACCTAAATACACAGAATAAATGCATTCTTCATAAATTAGAAGCACTATTATTTTAAAGATGCCAACTGTCCCCAAATTTATCTGGATTCAATGCAATCCCAATAAAAATCTCAGCCGCCTTTTGATTTCAATGAAAATTGACAATGTAATTCTAACATTTATGCGGAAATGCAGTATAGCAGCAACTAGTAGACTGAGATTAGCCCAGTTATTCTTGAAGAAGGATAAAGTTAAAGGGCTCACACTAACACATATGAAAAATGAATTTAAACTAACAATAATTAAGAAAATATGTTACTGGTACAAGGGAATAGACCAATTGAACAGAATAGCAAATCCTGAAAACCAACTCTTATATGGACACCAGATTTAAGACACTTTAGAATGAAAGAACAGTCTTTTAAATAAGTGGTATTTGGTCAGTTGAATTTCTAAATGGAAAAAATGATTATTGACCCCTACTTCATACCATAAAGAAAAAAAATTAATTCCAAATATACTGTTTAATGTAAAAGGTAAAACAAATATACTGCTAAATGTAAAAGGTAAAACAATCCAGCTTCTAAAAAACAACATAGGAGATTTATTTTGTAATTTCAAGAAAGCAAAGATTTCTTAAATAGAACATAAAAAGTAGTAACATAAAGGAAAAGATTGAGAAGTTGGACTGTATAAAAAAAGAACTTCTGTTTATCAAAAGATACACTTAAGAGAATGAAAAGGCAAGCTACAGATGGGTAGAACATATCTGCAATATGTATTTCCAATAAAAGACTCATATCTTATATGAAGAACTATAAATCAATAAGAAAAACACAGTTCAATTTTAAAAATACACTAAGGAATGAATAGCACAAATTTTTAAAATAGCACTAAGGAGGAACAGGAATATCCTCTTCGCAAAACAAGATGTCTAATTTGCCAATGAATATCTGAAAAAATGCTCCACCTCAAGCATAAGGAAAATGGGAAATAAAACCACGATAAGATGCTACTACCTCCCCATGAAAATGCTAACATTAAAAAGGAAGGATGGAGCAACTAGAATTCTCATAAATTGCTGTTTGGATTGTAAATTGTTGCAATTTCCTACTTGTGAAATTGAAATTATCTACTAATGCTGCATATGCATATGACCCAGTAATTGCATCCTTAGATACAAACCCAACAGAAATGCCTTAAACAAGCCCACCTTGCCCCATCTCCCCACCCCCCACACCCCCACTCAGAAAAAATGTACAAGAGAGTTCCTGTCATAACTATATGTAACAGCCAAAAGATAGGGAGAAAAAAACAAAAACAAATTACTGTCCATGAACAAGTAGAATGGATAGATTGGGGAATATTCATACAATGAAATACTTGACATCAATGAAAACCAACAAATAACCACTACACCTTAGAGTATGGATGAATTTCACATACAAAATGTTGAGCAGGAATGTCAAATACAAATGAATAATGTTTTGTATCCTTTCATGAGATGGTCAGTCAGGTGCAGCCACAAGAGGGGACAGATGAGAAGCACAGGAAGAACAGTGTATTATACTCACAGGTCCCAGAACAGGGATCACCGCATGCCACTAGGGGACCACATGGGGGAGAAGCGGGCTCAACCAAGCAGGTGGGGAGCTGAGAGCCAGCGAGGACCGTGGGCAAGTGCCTTTACTGGGGGTCAAGGTAGCGTTCACAAGCAAAGGGCACGAGGGAAATTCAGTGGTACATTCAGAATGTCATTAGGTCACAGCAGAGGCGGGAAAGACGGGGAATTTGTGCCAGAGACCAGCCTTACACACTGGTGCACTCGGTCACCTGACAGGGGCGTCGCAGCCCGTTTAGGGGGATGTTGAAACTGCGGGAAAATACAAAGGGTTAAAATTCGCAATGTAAATTCATAATGAATGATTCCGTTTATATACATTTGTGAAAGAAGAAGAACTAATGTATAGCGTTAGCACTGAAGACAATGGTTATTTGGGGGAGGAGAGGGTATAGTGACTGGAGAGTTTGCATTCTATTTCTTGCTGTGGATGGTGCTTACTCAGCTATGTTCACTTTGTGAAAATTCACAAGCTGCATAATATGAATACTTTTCTGAATATATTTTATACTTCAATCAATAATGCATTTATTTTTTTATTTTTCTACCATTTTCCCAAGTCATTAGGTTGGAGACATGTAGACTTGGTTTTGTCTTGCTTTTCTTCATTCGTTATTTTAAAAGCTGCCTTAGCTCTTAAAACAATTATCTCTTTCTTGAGCTTTGGAAGGGAAAATTAACATTATTTGCACAGTTGTTGAGAAATCACTTAATCCAATTAAAAATGCAATTAGGGTTTTTCATTTGGTTTCACTTTCCCATCTTGAATTCATATAACTGCCATAGGTTAGCCCTTATTAATTATTTACTATTCTCCCAATTCGTTGTTTCTGCAGCCCAGTTTAGACATTTCTCTTTAGTTGAAGTTTAGACCCTGCCCTATCCTGTGTTGACTAACCCTACTGCATATGTCAAAAATTCTTTAGAAAAGACACTGAGAGGTACCTTTTGCCCTGAACTTGTTTGTATTTCTTTCTTAGATGAATGGCAGATAGTCCCGTGGTGAGAAGGGAGGGCTGGTTTCTAAGAAGTTTCAGGGCTGGGCTAGTCCACTATCAAAACAGTAAATATACCTAATTACTGTATGAATGTATTACAGTAAAAGGATGTGGACTGTACATGTATTTTCTAGAAATGTAGTTCTCAAAGTTTTTATTCTCAAAACCTCTTTGCATTCTTAAAAACTATAAAGGGCACCTAAGGAATATGTTCATGCTATTTGTATCTATCAATATTTACCATACTAGAAACTGAGAAATTTAAATATATATGTTTATTAATTCATTTAAAGTAGCAGTAATATACCCATTACATCTTAACATATGTAACATATTTTGATGGGAAACTACTGTTTTTCAAAACAGAAAAATATAGAAGAAAAGTAGCATTGTTTTACATTTTGCAAATCTCTTTACTGTCTGGATCAATAGAAGACAGCTGGATTCTCATGTCTGCTTCTGCATTCAATCTGTTGAGATGTAATGTGTCAGGAAGCTTTTGTAAAACTCCACTGTATCTACATGAGAGATTGAAAGTGAAAAAGCCAAGTAACATCACATATTATGATGAAAATAGATTTGACCTTTGAGGATCACCCGAAAGGATCTTGGAAACCCCCAGAAATCCCCAGACCACATGTTGAGAACCCCTGATCTAGGAAATTTTAAGATTTCTTTTTGGCCTACGATTTAGTCAATTTTTGTAAATGTTTCCTGTGCTCTTTAAGGAAAAAAAAACAAGGCATTTGTAGGAAATTATACCTGTAATGTAATTAATATTAGTACAATATCAATTGCTTAAATATAATGTGAAATATATGAATACTTTCATAGATTATACATAAAAATCAGGGGTCAGCCAACTGGCTTGCCAGCCCAGAGTCTGTTTATATATGGCCCTTGGGCTATTTGCAGTTTTTATATTTTTAAAGGATCGTTTAAAAACCATACACTCTCAGAGAAGAATATGCAACAGAGACCATATGTGACCCACAAAGCCTAAAATACTTTCTCTCTGGCTCTTTACAGAAAAAGGTTGCTGACCTCTGAATAAACAAACTACTAATTATATCACTTATATTAGATATAACCGTATACGTTTTTCTTCTCTTTGGCAAGTAAAAAATAAAAGCAAGTTTATTAAAAAGTTTCCCAGTATTAATAATATGAATTTTATGGAATGCAGAAAAGCATTGAGTTTCATGTTCTGGCAAAAAGAGTTTTATCTATTTTTAATTTATCCTTGAATTCTATTTCTTCTTATTTTAATATTGCCACTTATTTTTTTTTTACATTTTTGATAGCTTTTAAAGTATCTCATAAAATATATACTATTAGATTGTGTATTTTAATACAGTCTGAGAATATTTGTCTTTAAGTAAGTTAATTTGGTTCATTCACCTTTGTTATATAAATTGTATTTATTCTCCAGTCATCTCAGCATATCATATATATTTTTTAAATTTATTTTCTAGCCTTGACCATCTGCAATATGTTGTTTGATTTTCTTAATCCTCTACTAATTTGTGAGACATGGCCAATTGTAATACAACAAGGGGTTATTAATATCAATGCAAATATTTAAAAGAACAATGTGAAGAATACAACTATCTATTCAAGAACCCCATGTAAATGAGAAATAAAAACAGCAGTAGCTCCTATTTATGGTGTCAATGTCTGTGTAAAGCATTTACATAAATTAGTTCATTTAATCCTCACAATAATCCCATGAGTAGGTCTCTCTTAGAGATGAGGAGCTCCTGGGGCTTCAATAAATTGTCCCCAGTCACTCTTCCAGTGAGTGTTGAGTGGCTGACTTGGAAGTCAAACCTCCTTCTGGCTGACTCCACAGCCCCCCATCATTAGCCTCTATACTATACACCTGGTGCTTTCATGGAGCTGGAGAGAAGGTTCTTCCCTGGCTCCAGTCTCTTCATCTGTCCTGCTCACTTCAGCGGGAGCTGTAGTGGAGTGCATCTACAAGATCCAGCATTCTCATGGGAGCATTGCAGATTCATGTTGTTCATGTTGAACAAATTCATGAAAATCACAAGACAATGTGAGTGGAAGCGCGAAGGTTTTAGGCCTACTGGGGGCCAGAAAGGAGGTTATTCAGTTTCCAACTCTGAATTGTCCTTTAAACTCTAAGTTCAAGCTGCACACCTGTGTTGTCCAGATCACCTTATTGGTCCATTTCTCCCTCAGAACTAAAGCATTCAAATTGCGCAGGATCTACGTATATTTAAGGTCTCTATTTCTCAATTTTTTATTTATCTTATAATGTATGCTTTTCCTGTCTTTCTCTTTTAGGCCATAACCTTCTTTGTATTCACATGTGCCTTAAAAAAAAAAAATCCCACACTATTCTAAATTCACATGAAGCCAGATAGTTTATAAATGTTCTTATCTGACTACCCCTTATGATTGTTTAAATAGTTACAAATGAAGGCAGTTAACATATAGTTTGGATTTTGTCATAAAGTCAACTCAAAAGATAAAAGGATAAATTATGTCATTTATATTCTTTGTCATCCACTTGAATCATACATAACTTTTTCAAACAGCCTACACACAGCACTGATCCATGCAGATCTTTTAGTGGGATGGAGGAAAAGGCACCTGAGAGGTTCTGACTCACGTCCTCACTCACGGCAGTGGGCTGGTGTGACCCAGCAGGGGTGGGAATGGAAGGGCCAGGCCCCCCAGCAGCAGTGCCTGGGTTCCTGAGTGCCTGCTCAGCTCAAGAAGTCTGCATCTGGCTGGTTGTCCAGGCAGCCTTGCCCCTTATGTAGACACAGCACTGGGGGCCTTCTGCTGGTATTCTTCAAGGCTCTGCCTCTCTTTGCCCTAATGGATGAGAGTATTTGAGGCTTACCTGTGCAAAAGCGTATAGAACTTATAGACCAGATATTGTGATGACAAACTACCCCTATTTCAAAACAGACAGCAAAGGTTGGTGGGGTACAGGATCTGGAGTGTGGCTGGCATGAATCTCAGTTCAGCCACTTATTTGCGATGAGACTTCTCTGTGCCTCAATTCCCACATCTAGAAAATGGAGTAGTAATAGTACCTTTCTTACAGGGTTACTGTGAGGGTTGAAGGAATTAATACTTATAAATTACTTTCTGCCAACAACATAGTAAACATTTAGGACAAGCTTGTCACATCATTATCTTTATTTTTATTATATTTTTATTGCTTCTGCATATCTGCCTCCCTCTCCTCCTCCTGCCTGTCCCCACTTTCCAATGTTTTCAGTTACCTAATGTTTATGTTACCTTTGTAAGCTGCCTCATAGCCTTTGAGAACAAAGTGGTTGTAGAAATACATTCTTATAAATAAAAAAAATAGAAAGGAGGGAAGAAAAGAGTGAAGGAGGGAAGAAGGAAGAAATGGAGAAAATTACATATGGAATTATTCAGGGCAGAACTTTCACTTGTTGTCTACTTAAGGTCACTAGCCCCTAGTTTTCTTATCTAGACCCTCTGGCCCCCTGCTCACTTCTGGAGAAAAGTGAGTGTGGTCGTTGAATCCTAGGGCTCTGCTTCCTAGGACATTTCTCCTGTCTACAGTGACCTGTCTTTGCCTGCCTCCACAGGGGCCACACTTCGTGGATACAAGGCCATTCCTCCATCTCTAATTGATCAGAAGTTTTGTCAGTTTCTCAGAATCATTCTCAGCATAGTGCTGGGAAGTCACCACCCACCAAAATTACCAGAGTTGAGATGGACCAAGGATCAAAGACACCATGGCTGACTGTCCATCTTGGTGTCACTGTCTCAGGAATCTTCCCCCTCATCTGGGCTTTCTTTATGGCTTTTGCTTAGTATACATGGATAGCCCATTATTCTTCCTGCACATTTGGCTAAAGCAGAGGATAGCTGTAGTGGGTTAAAGTACAAGCATCACCTGGAAGTAGCTCCTCAGATATAGTTATGAGTCAAGGTTAATTACACTTTTAAATAATGTATTTATGCCTTGCTTTTTTACACAAAAAGATTCAAGGATTCTGGTTAATTATTACTAGTAAATCTTTGGAAACTAGCATTGGATATGAATATAATTACTTCTCCTTTGAAACAGGGTGTCTTGGAATTAGGAAAGTAAAAGTCACAATAAAAATAACATGATTGATACCCTGACATACATCAGATTGAAAAATCTGTGTGGCTTTGGGACCAGGAATACCAAGAGCCCTGGAATGAGATCGTTTGGACATTTGGAGCCAGTCAGTAAACAGTGTGGATTGTGATTGGCATTGTACTAGGCACAAGGTGATATGGGTATATGACATTTGCTTCTGTAGAGATGAGCCAGAGGGCTCAGGAGCTGTCTCTCAAGCTGGTTTTCTCTTGCTGTGTGACTTTCAGCAAGTCATTAATCTTTGTACCTCAGTATCTTCCTTTCTGTAAAATAAGGAACATATTAGAAGAAATCACTAAGAAACCTTCTTTTCTGTGATTTGACCCTTATAAACTCCACATCACAATTTAGTCATATAGCTGTTAAATTGATTGACATTCTTTAAAGATATACTTGAAACTTTTTCTGAGCACCTCTTCCCTCCTCTTAATTTCCAACTCTGTAACAGCTTTAACTCTAAGAATAGAACATGGCACTGAAATGAGCTATATACTTCTGCATTTATACGGGAAAATTCTTATAGCGGCTTTATTTGCCTGCATAGCTAGATACTTAACTCTTTAATTTTAATGCAATAATTCATCCATTTTATTCAACCGTAAGAGAGTGTGTACCGGATTTTTTAATTACAAGTCACAAGAGACAGTTACAACCGAGCTCTATTTCTTACTGGGAGGCCATGTTCATTTTCCTTGCAAGATTATACATGAATAATGGTTACTGAAATAAGTGAAATCATGAAGTCCCTAAAAATAGTTACAGGTATATTTTTTTCTACTTGCATTTAATTTACACCATAACAATGTTTCTTATAGGCATTAACACAGTGTGGTATTTGATCCTTTGAAGAGGTTCTTGATTTGGTTCTCCTCTCAAATTATCCTCAGGAGAAAATACCAGGGATACCTGAAGGTTGCAGAATTAACTCAAGCATAGTATCACTCTTTTCTTCTCCTGTAGCTGCCATTTGCTAACTTCCCAATTAATTCTTCGCACCCGCCCTCCACCCACCTACACACCCTTGCATACGATCTGTCTTAGTCATTTGACACTATCTACTAGAATCAGTATAGTAGCACCTTGATTAGTATTCACAGTAATTGCTATTTCACAGATCCTTAGTGGAATGTACTTATTTTCTTCCAGCAAATTTTCAGGTTGCTTAAGGTCAAGCCCACTTCAATCCAGGAGGAGGTGTTCAGTAAACACTTTACCCTAGGATACTGAAATAATCATTTGCTTTCTCCAGGTTTGATTTAATTCTTCCAAAGGAATCCTATGTGAGATGACACTATAGAAAAGGTCATTGTTTACAGGGCAGAGGATGAGTTGGTAAGAAACCCAGGAGGGAGTTTGTAATCTCTGACCCAGTGGCAAAGAAGTTCTGAAATATGAAAGTGCTGCTCCACTGGAAAGGTCCAGTTCTCAAGTAGCAAATGACAAGAAAGTTGGGAGGAACTAATTTTTCTAAAGGATTCCGGTTTCTACACTTCAACCTACAGTATCCCCAAAAAGCACAAATAAATTTGTGAACACACACACATAGCCACATACATGGCTGTTGTGCAGCAATAACTCAGAACTACCAAGAGTATGTCCACAGCATAACTCCATGTTTTACTGTATTAGGCAGCAAACCTTTTAAAGACAGGAATTGGCCCTTATTTGGCTTTTTATCCCTAGCTTCTATCACAGTGCTTGGAAATGGTCAATGAACACACACTGTTGACCCAGTAAATAATAACAATAACTAAGCATTTTAATCGTTTGCCATTACTTTATTTAATACAATATTCACTAAAATGCTACAAGGTACATACTTTTAGTATCTTTATTTTATAAAGAAGGAAACCAAGACTGTTACTTGTCCAAGGTGTGTCCCTAGAATCTGCAATCATTAGATCATAAAGAATACCCTTTAAAGTACTTTTATGAAGACTCTCAAAACACATTTCCATTTTCCAAAGGATTTTCTTACAGTTATTTGAAACTCATGGTTTTTGCCACTCTCTTTTTTTTTTTTTTTTTTTGAGATGGAGTCTTGCTCTGTCACCCAGGCTGGAGTGCAGTGGCGCAATCTCGGCTCACTGCAAGCTCCCCCTCCCAGGTTCACGCCATTCTCCTGCCTCAGCCTCCCAAGTAGCTGGGACTACAGGCACCCGCCACCACGTCTGGCTAATTTTTTGTATTTTTAGTAGAGACGGGGTTTCACTGTGTTAGCCAGGATGGTCTCAATCTCATGACCTTGTGATCCGCCCGCCTCGGCCTCCCAAAGTGCTGGGATTACAGGTGTGAGCCACCGCGCCCAGCCTGCCACTCTCATTTTAAAGGTCTGGTGATAGAGGCAGAAGAGTAATCACTTATAGCCTGGGCAATATGGTAAAACCCCATCTCTACAAAAAATACAAAAAAAAAAATTAGCCAACCATGATGGCACGCACCTGTAGTCCCAGTTACTCAGGAGGCTAAGGCAGGAGGTTCGCTTGAGTCCAGGGAGGCCGAGGCTGCAATAAGCCATGATTGTGTCACTGCACTTCAGCCTGGGTGACAGAGCGAGACCCTCTCTTGCCCTGTCACCCAGAAAAAAAGAAAAGAGTAACTAAATGAATTCTGTATACAACCAGCAAGGAATAGATGAATAATATCATTTCATAGTTTTGTCGCAATGCTCATCCTACAAGATTTGAATGGAAATAGTCCTTCCAGCCACGTACTGAATATGGTATTAATTATTGCTGTGTCTCAGAAGGATCACAGGCTTTGTCAGCTTTTCCAGGATTCCATCTTGTCTTCACTCTTCTCATTTTGAGCCCAGATCTCTGCTTAATATGATTTCAACTGAACAGTCAGTACTTTGTTGTCTCATATGAAGGTCACACAATAGACAATAACAAGCACACTATTTCTCAGAATGGGGCCTAGAGCCTTCTCATCTCCTGTTATTTACCATCTTGTAATATTTCCTGTGTTGACAGTTGAAACCCAAAAGGGTCAGTCTTTACAAAGTCGTATTGACTATTCATTCATTTCGGTAATCTATAATAACAGTTCTTCCTGAATAATTCAATCTAAAAATCTGAGCAAAACTTGGGGGAAAGACTACCAATGGAGTGGTAAGCAGCATGATGTAGTTATATGATATATAGAGAAAACAAACCAAACGTCTTTTGTAATTTCACTGTAAAAGTCATTTCTTGTCTTTGTAGAAATGAAAGTCTGTATAAAATATGTTCCTGTTGGATGTTCTGTAGACATGTGCCATTCAAAAATGATACTCTGTTTGTCTCATTTGCAAAGATTTATAATAATCACTCTCCAAATTTCTGCTCAGAAATTCATATACATAAGTGAAATACCTATAGGTCTTTAAAATTTCTTTTTATTATTCTTTCCTGATTGTAAATGATTACATTCCCATTCCAGAAAGTTAGGAGAGTGCAAAAAAAGAATAAAGATGTAGGAAAAGAAACTGGTTGTCATTGGTTTAATTTATTGGATTATTTTAAATTAATTTTAAATGATAATAATAATAATTATTATTATTATTGTTTGCATCAATGGGAAAGGAAGAATCCTTGAAATAAAGATAAGGATACTTCCATTGTCTGGAGGGAGAGCCAAATAAGTAAATGTAATTCTAAGAAGTACATATTGCAGATGAAAATCAAGGGTTAAGAGGGTGACATGAATAAAACATCATTTCATACAATAGAGCTATTTGAGGTTTTGCAGAATCCAGCACCCGACCCCTAGCAGGCAGTACCCATAGCAGAGAGAGAGCTGGTTAGAGCTAATAATGTGTTGAAGATGCCTATTCTGGTATAGCGCTTTTAAATCCACAAATCACTTTTGTTATTTCACCCTCATAACAATGCTATGAAACTGAATTTATTACCCCTTTCTAAAGCTAAGAACACTGAGTCTCAGAGAGGTTAAATGGTTTTACCAAAGATGCAAGACTAATAAATGATAAAGGCAGGACTAAAAGCCAGGTCCTCTGACCCCTCAACTCCTGCTGCCTCCATGTGATGATGATGATGATGACAATCATGACAAAGCTAACATTCACTGAGCTCCTATTATGTGCTCTAAATACTTTGCATGAATTAATTCATTTAAAAACATGATGTAATAATCCCAAGAAATTTCACCATATAAAATTCATTCTGCATTTACAAATATGTAATTCCCTTTAGCGTTGTGCAAAGTTATCACCTTCACGGTTCTGGAATCCAGAGAATTTATGCTAGGTTGTGTGAAATGCTAGACAGCAGCATGGATGAAGCAGATGGCCACCCTCAGGCCTAGAAAGGAGAAAATGGACCCTGACTAGGGAGAAAAATCAGTATTATTTCATATAATAAAAAGGCTGATATTGTTTCAATGAGTCAAACACATTCCAAACAAAGTAAATCTAGGATTTCTCTCATCTTTTTCTAACTTAGTGCCATGAAGAAGTACAGTTGTCTTTTAATTTGATTACAGATAGGCTCAGTTTGCAGGAGATTAGTAATATTTCATTACTGTTAAATTCTGGTTTAGTTGTTTCTATGTGAAACACTTATTGAGGAATAATATGAGTTTCACTTTAGCGCAACACAGCAAAATAGTTTTAATAATGGCTAACAGGTTTATATATAAAATGAAAACCTACTCTATAAAATATCTGTGGAAATTTCTTCCCATTTTTTTCTCTCCTTTGTCCCTGGCCCAGAGATTCTTACATAGCTTTTAAAAGTGGGGTCACCATCTGCACTGGACACCTGTTGTGCCCCACTTTACATTCTTACAGCCCACCCCTTCAGCAACCATTGCTACGGCAACCAGCTTCAAACAGGTGTAACTTGACAGCACCTGGTCTCCACTGCATCACAAATCTCTCAGTTTTTTTCTGGGACTTTCTGATCACTGCACGAGATGCTCTTGGAAAACTACCCAGACACTCATGCATCAGTAGCATGGGTATGTAAGACAGTCAATGCTCTTGACCAGTGGGTGAGAGGGGTGAATAAATGCTGTCCTCTTCCATGGCTCAGGTGGGCAATTCTGAGGCACATTCTGCAAGGCTTTTTGAGGATTCTGATGGAGGGGAGCCCCAGTTACTCTCAGGGTGACCAACTCTTTGAATTGTCTTGAACTGCATCTCCATCTGGCTCTCCCCAGCTTCCTCTCCTGTTCCCTGAGATCACTTCTAAAATAAACTACCTGTACACAATTCCGTGGCTCCAACTCTGCTTTCTTAAAAATCCTTCCTAAGATAGTTGTTTTTGAGAGTGGCCTCCCAAAGCAGGCACTCAGAATGAGATTCTAGATTGGGATCTCTTCCAAGTGAAGTGGCGATACAGGCCTTATTTTCCCGTGTAGGTCTAGTGGTGACACTCCTGGTCTGCAGTAGCAACACAATTCCTAACTCTCCAGTGGTGGAAAGGGGAAGAATACAGTTAAGGAATAAAGCCCTGGCCTGTCGTATTTGAATGATACTGGAGCAGAGATAATCACAAGGATTGTTGAGCTGGTTGGCCTCTGTTAATTGCTTTGAAAACATTAAAAATATGTAAATAAAGTAGTTAAAAGTAAGCAACAATCGACCCAAAGCACAGTGTCAAATCAGAAGGCATATAGGGCAGCATTTTAAGAGATCTTAATTTTTGCAGCTGCAAAGCGGATTCTGCTGGAAATCAGGCTGAGAATTTGAGTATAAGGAGGGCAGAACAAAAAGGGGACTGAATATACCTCCTTAATATGTTGCCTGTGCCAAAATCAGAGTTGGGAGGAAAAGAGTGGATCCCCAAGACCTAAGATGGGGACTCTTGGTTGGATGAGCCTGAAAAAAAAAATAGAACTTCCAGATTTGCCTGTACCCTCTATGCCAGCAGAAACAGGCTTTCCCCCTTACTAGAGAACAACAGCTTTCTCTTGCCTGGAGACCCTACAAAGTCCTCACCTGGGGCAATTGCTCTTCCTCCTCCAGTTCTTCTCCTGATTCCCTTCCTTAGCTCTCCCTGGTTGTGGCACAAGTCTAGCTGAGAAATACAGTTTCTTCTCTGGGAAGAACTTGCACCCAAGAGACACCCAGAGAATTGCAGGACCCAATTAATACTTAGCAGTAGGAACTAGATGCTGTCAGGGTATGCCTGTTTGTAATGTTCGTGCTTATATTGTCATCTCTTCTGCTTCAATTCCATTTTTCATTGGCTCTTATTCACAGTGAGTTTCCTGGGGTGTGAGATAGAGGATGCTTACTGTGGGACATTGGGATTTCTTTTATAGATCCTAGAGATCTTTTGTAGAATATGTTAGGTACACAGCCAGAGCAGAAGTAAAGAAATCCACACTAAATTCAAGTGCAACTTTAATCCTAAACAAGTGACAAAAAACCACCATTGTATAATTTGTTGAAGAATTGCTGAACAACCTAAATATGTTGGAAATGTCCTGGAAATTAGAAATATCAACATGGAAAACTTTGTAAAGAGGACACCTTACAAAATATATATGTATGAATATGTATGTATGTATGTATTTATCATATGTATGTACACATCACACATATATGCACACCTATACATATACACATCACACACACTAATCTGTGGGTTGTGGGTGCCAATTCTCATGCAAACAGGTTCAAAGACGATTCTTTTCATTTCCAGTGCTGCTTTCCTCGATTCTTGAATTGAATGGAACTAGATATATTTCTTAGGAAAGGTTCTGGGCTGAAGCAGGCAACATTAGGAGTCAAATCATTGTGAAGAATTATTTTCTGAAAAGTAATTAAGACTATTGCAATGTACCAGGAAACAGTAAACATGAACTGTTGGGAGATATTGCCATATATACTGTGAGAGTTAATTGTATGTATCAACTCGACTGGGTTAAGGGATGCCCGGATAGCTGGAGAAACATTATTTCTGGGTGTGTTTGTGAGAGTGTTTCTGGAAGAGATGAGCATTTCTATAAGTAGACTGAGTAGAGACGATCACCCTCACCAACATGGATAGGAATCATCCAATCCTTTCAGGTCTCAAATAAAACAAAAGGTGAAGAAAGGGCATATTCCCTCCTTCTCATCTGCAGCTGACATCCATTTTCTCTTATGCCCTCAGACATCAGAGCTCCAGGTTCTCCAGCCTTCGGACTTCAGGTTTGCAGCCCAGTTTCTCAGGCTTTTGGCCTTGGACTGAGAATTTCACCATTAATTCACTCCCTTGGTCCCTCAGGCCTTCAGACTTGGACTGAATTATCCCATCAGGCTCCTGGTTTTCCAGTGTGCAGAGGGCCCATCCTGGAACTTTCTCAGCCTCCACGATGCCATGAGTCAATTCGCATAATAAATCCCCTCTTGTACATCTCTGTGTATACTATTGGTTCTGTTTCTCTGGAGAACCCTGACTAATAAATATATACTCCGTCCTCTGATTCAACTGACTGGGAAAGCAATGTTTGTAGTTTGCCCATGATTGTTGCTCTGACATAATTTTCAACACTACCCCATTTTACCTGTGAAAATATCCTGGTCTGGATAATAAATTATGGGTTACCCAATAGGTATAGAATCTGAAGACACACTGTTAGAGTTAAAATCCATTTTATCCACACATTAAACAGGTCAATTAAACTCTAACCTCAGTCTCCTGGTATATACCTGAGATCTCTTTTCTTTGTTGGAAGTGCAGCCACTTGGCTTTTCCACCCGTTCCAGTTCTAAGCATGTCTCTTTTAAAACAAACCCCATTTGTTGTGCATGAATTTAAACCTGAATTTTGAAAATAGCTTATCATTAGATTCACAGAAAGCCATATCTGTCACTCACTCTGGCATTGGCAAGAAGGAGGGTGCTGGAACTCTTCCTAATCTGTCTTCTGTTCTTTTCTGAGTGGGCATTCATATCTATATACCCCATGTCTTGGTCAGGCAGGTTTACCTCTGGTGGGCAGGTTAGGTGGAAAAGCAGTGAAACTGTAGCTGAGAGCAGATGCCAGTGTGGTGGAGGCTGATGGTCCTGCAATATCAGAGTTCCCGCCGAGAGGGAGATGGCCGTGGAAATGACGCTTTAATTGTCCTCGACACTGCAGCTCAGTTCACAGAGAACAGAAAACTATTATTTAAACAGATGGCAGGCCTGCCCATCCATAACCAGGCATTTAATGAGATAAAACAGAGCAGCCAGGGCTGTAGGTGTGTGAGTTCAGACCATTTTGGAAGACATCAATTTAATTGCACTTCTATTTTTGTGAAAGCTGTTCCCAGATGCCTATCTTGCCCTCTATTCTACCTTCCTTCTTTCTCTTTATTTTTATCTCTCTTGCCTTTCTGGTGTTTGGGTCACAATCAGATGGACGGTTTGCTTCCCTGACTTGCAGTGCCACAGTTTTAAAATTGCATATAATTGGGGCAGCCTGGTGAAGCTGATGGTATGTGGGCTGTGATGCCAGAGAGACTTGGGTGTAAATCTCTGCTCAGCTACTTAGTGGATGTTTCCTCTTCCATAAAAATGGTGATAGTAATCTCCATCTCATAGCACTGTTGTGAAGTTTGAAAAAAAAAAAAGTATGGAAAAATGTCAAGTATAGTCCCTAACCCTTTGTGGGTGCTCTATAAAAAAACAAAAACTGCTATTATTATTACATCCAGTTTTTCACGCGTGGTGTCGAATTTAGGATCTCCTGAGTCACCCTTTTCGATTCATTCTAGGCCTTTGGCATAATACCCAGTGTCCTGCTTAAATAAGGAAAATTAGGCCGGGCGCAGTGGCTCACCACCTGTAACCCAAGCACTTTGGGAGGCCTAAGAGGGCCGATCACTTGACATCAGGAGTTCGAGACCAGCCTGGCCAACATGGTGAAACCCCATCTCTACTAAAAATACGAAAGTTAGTTGGCATGGTGGCGGGTGCCTGTAGTCCCAGCTACTCAGGAGGCTGAGGCAGGAGAATCGCTTGAACCAGGGGTGGGGAGGTTACAGTGGGTTGAGGTCACACCACTGCACTCCAGCCTGGGCGACAGAACAAGAGCAAGACTCCTTCTGCAAAAAAAAAAAGGAAGGATAATTATATGGTAGAGTCTTGACCACTCTATTATTTTTATTCGTTGTCCCATCTGAATTTCTCCTACCCCACATAAAAGCACTGCCTTTTGTAGCCTCTGGGGACAGAAGACTCACTAGTTGATCACAATCAGTGAATAAGTTCTATTTGTTCCATTCAAGTTGATTAGGTTCGATGCTATGAATGTCCACATGTGTAAAAATAGAAAGCTACAGGTGCAGTGAGCTAGCTGCAGGTGACGACCTGTGCCTTTTGGGACTGTGTGGTGTGGACAGTGTGCGGCCATGGGGGCTCCTTTTGGAACTCACATCCCCTGCTCTGGTAAGTGTGGCTCTGCCGATCACTAGATGCTTCTCTTAGGAGGTGTCCAGAGCAGAAAAATTCCCACAGTTCACTCGGGGTATATGTGGCCTCTCACTCCCCTATTTCACACAGTCTCTTTAGCTAGCAAAGCTAGACACCACTGCAAAGTTCTGCTTTGAGAGACAAATTCCTTTTAGCAGTAGTGAGTATTATAGATGAAATTTTGATTATGAAGCCTTATAGTCTTATTAATATATTAAGAGTTCAAAGAATTATAGATTTTAACATACAGATTTTTTTTTCTTTCTTATGTTGTATTACAGGGAAAGAATTTGTGCGTGTATTCTCTCTTTCCAAATCTTGATCCAAACTAAACAGAAGAACTTTTCTAACTTTATTAGCTACAACTTTATCTTAGCATTTTCAGGATTAGGCTGAGTTCTCTGTAAAATGAGACAGGTTTTTGCCCTGCGACAGAAAGGAACTTGTAAGGCACCAGATCACAATACAAATGCTTTTAGGGACCAGACAGCAATGTGGCTGGCAGAGTTGAAGGCAATAGGGAATGGTAGAGTTGGTGGCTAAACAGGGGAGTGCAGGTCCTACTTAAGGAGATACAAATGAAATTTTTTTAATGAGAAAAATTAAACTCTTCTGCAGGCTGACTTTGGTCTAAGGCTTTCATTTGCAAACCTTGCTTAAATGATTCAATAATATTGCTTGAAACCGAGATTTTTATTGCTAGGTATTTTAAGCTTTGTTTATAAAACCCAGTATGCTAGTTGCTTTTCCAATTATCTTATTTTAGTATTTCCAACTTAACTTTCATACATTTAAAATTATATTTTCAAACCTCAATGTGATCCCTATTGTTCCCACTGATTTTTTTTCATGCTGAAATACTAGATGTGCCCATTGAGTAGAAGTGCAGTAAGCTCAAGATTGTATATGTTCAAGTATTTGAAATTTACTTGAAACCATACAGTACATTTCTTAACATGGAGTGAACTCTTTCACTAAACTTACTTTTCTACTCTTAATTTACCAAATAGCTCCTAGGTATGAGGCACAGGATATGTAGGTCTTAAGTGTTTTTTTTATTCTACAAAATACAATGTGATAAGTTCTATAAAGGAGGGGTAGTTAATTTGATTAAATAAAAGGTGCTTTATCTAGGGGAATTGAGAAAGACTGAATTGAATAAATGAGACACAAGTTTACTCTAAAAGAAGGAAGAGTTTGCCAGCCTGGCAAGAGGGATAAAAATATTCCAGGCATCTACAGAAAACACTCCAAAGCAATATATTTTAAATTATAACACAGAGGTAGCTCTTGATCTTCACTGCCATGGGAATAATAAACCTTCCACTACACAAATTAGTATGTACTTTTAAGCATTTTTAAAAAATGAAATCAGAAATTATTTCAGAACAGCCCTGTCTTATAAGAGAACTGCCCACAGTTCTCTCTGCTTTCTTCCTTTTGGCTCAGCTGTCAAGAGCTCTCTGGAAACATAATCCTTGTTTTTCATGGAAATCTGTATTATAGTTCCCAAGATTTGGATAATCTAGTTTCAGAAGGTAGGGACCTCTTTTGGAATGATAATGTAGTGTTCTACCCCCAGTACCTACAACAGTACTAATTTTACCGAGGACCCTGCCCTCATGATGTCACTTAAACCTGATAACTTACCAAAGGCCCCATCTCCAAATACCATTGTCCTGGGGTTAGGGCTTCAATATGTGAGTTTTGAAGGGACATAATTCAATTCATAGCAGTTGGCATAGGACAGTGCTAGGCATATTACAAGTTCTTAATATATGCTTAGTGAATAAATAAATACATAAACAGAAAATGTCCAGAGATCTCTGTGTCCATTTGAAGTTGCTACGTCAACAACTGGACCCAGGAATAAAGGGTGTGCTCTAGCATCAGTGTAAGTATGGTCCCTTCGAGCCAAGAGGCAGAGAGCTCAGGAGCTGCTGAGAAGTCACAGTCACAAGGGAAGGAGACAGGAAAGGGAAGTCACATCAGGAAGGCTGAAGCCATAGCAAAGCCAGAGAGCTGGATCCCACTTCAGGGCCTACCATAGTGAAGCACTGGCTCTTCCTTCCTCTTTTCTTGGAAGCAGGGCCAGCTACATGATTGCAGGACTCAAGGCAAAATGAAAATGCAGGACTCTTGCTCAAAAAAAGAAAAAACAAAAACAAAAACAGAAAATATGCCATTAAAGATACTAAATATGAAGCCTTTTCCTTTTTTCCATGATCTCTCTTGACTTGCCATGTTGTTATTTATTTGCTATTTAATGTAGTTCTAAAGTAAAGAAAAATTAAAAGTTTTAATTATGAGCATGAATTGTACCATTGTTCAGTGCAAGTTTTAGAGGCAAATATAAGAACATGTAACTCTTCTGCCGAATCACCAAAATTACACAATTCATAAATTCACGTTCTGTACCTTGTATGCGCATATGTATTTCATTCTCACCAGAACAGTGTGAACGCCACACAACACTAACTCAACTCTTTTTTATTTCTTTATATTTGCACATTTTACCGATGCTTTCTACATTTGGCTTGTTGATGTGCTTTCTAAAAACAGAAAGAAAAAAGATCTGTAGGTTTCCCTATTTTTCCCTTTCCTTCAATGTCATCGTTTTCCATGTAATTGGTTGGTTATTACAAGGAAGTGACAGGAGTGAGAAAGGATACTTTAAGATCCCTTGGTTGTTTGTGTTTCTTAGAATGCTGTTGCCTTCTTTCTTGTTTGAACAGGAAGCATGACCACTTAGTCATAAACATGACACATTTCCCTTGTACTCGCCATGAGCCTCACTGAACTCCCACACATTGTGGGTCCACTGGAATTCTGTGTTCATGGGGCAACCAAATGCTCTAGGCAAATGGGGTGATATGGAACTTGCCTGCATGCTCCATTGTCCCCTTGGACTTTGCTTCCAAGACAGCTCAAGGTTGACAACAGGGCAGGGTGAGAAGGGCATGCAAAAGATGGTGGTGTGGGGTGGGCAGGGAAAGAAGGCCCAAGACTAAGCCAGTTGTTTGAAATTCTCTATATTCTTTCTTCATTTTGTCCATTTTTTTCTGTTTTTTTCATTTTTCAATGGAGATGGAAAGCACCCAGTTCTGCTTTCCCCCAGAATCACCCTGTTTGTAAGCAGCCTGGAATGGTCACTAGAAGCTGCTACCTTTTGCCTGTTTTCTAGCTAAGATCAGTAAGGAGAGGTGGTCTCAAGGCTGATAGAGATGGCCACTGAGGGAGCTGGCTGCTACCTGTGGTCTTATACACAAGACTTTTGCCCTCCATAGAACCACACATCTTCACTTAATGTTTTAAACTTTTTTTTTCAGGTCACATGAATTTAGGCATTAAATAAATTATTAGACTAGCAAACATCAGAACCTTTTTTTTTCTAAGAACGACAATAGAAAAGGCTCTTGTAGTTAACACTCTTAAATACAGAGGTATTTTAAATTAAAGATTTTTTTTAAAAAAGAACAGCCTTGTCTTATAAATAATAATGATTGATAATTATTCCTCAACGAAACTAAAGAAATGGTGTGTCTTCTATGCATAAAAAAACTAGTCTACTTGCACAAATATCATTAGACAAGAAATAATTTTATTATTTAAACATTATATTAAGAAAATCTTTTTAAAAAATTTTCACTATACGTTACATCACATAAAAATGTAAGGTAGCATGTGTGAACTGTTTAAAGAGCTTGTTAAAGATTCTTATAATAAGAAAGGCTGGGAAAAGTAGAGTCATATCTTATCAAAACAATCTAAGAATCTTAAGAATGCTGCTTTTCTAGTAATACATAAATATACACGAACATGAGCAAGAATCCAAGTAAAGAAACAGTTCTTATTCATAGGATTGACAGTTTTATTATTACACCAGCCTGAAATAACATATAATGGTGTGTGAGTGTGCACTGGAGTTTCTAAAAGCAGCTTTTCAGATAGGCTTAATGTGAGAAGGGTTCAACTTTCTTCTTTGAATTCTGGAGGATGGGGTCTCCTGGGGATAAAGGGGAAAAGGGGAGATAAACTTTTAATGCAATCTCTATTCTTGCCACGATTTATTTTATTTATTTGTTCAGCAATATTTATTGTGCAGTCACCACATGCCAGGCTCTGTAGATACAATGGGGACCTTGACAAATACACTCTTTGCCTTTCGGAAGCTCAGAGCACAGTCAAGAAACAGAGTATTAGCAGAGAACATTACTGGGAAACAAGGGATTTTGCAACTCTTGGTAGGGGAACCTAACACGACCACAGTGGGGAGCAGAAAAGAGCTTTAAAACTAAGAGCCCAGGGGTGTGTAAGGCATAGCCAGGTCAAGAATGGAGGAATGAAGAATGCTGAATCAGAGGGAATCCTGAGAAATTCCTTCTGGAACCTGGCTTCCTTAACTCTTATTAACCACGTGCTAAGACTCCTTTTATATGGTTGTGGGATGATTGGCTGCAATAGCACAAATTTATGGAACTAAAAAAACAAGTGTTTGGTGTAATACTGTAAGTGTTGGTTTGAATTTTGGATGCGTATGATTAATGAATGAGGCTGAATGAGACATGTAAGCCAGCTGGGCACACCTTGGTGGGGACCAATAGGAATGACAGCTACGCCTGATGGGGGCAGGAAGGGAAGCGCAGAGTTTCTTCTTTCGGCCACGCCTTCTGACTCCAGTGAATGCCTCCTTAAGGGGTGAGGAAGCTGTCAAGAAAATAAGCATATTGGCTGGCTCGGTGGCTCAAGCCTGTAATCCCAGCACTTTGGGAGGCCGAGGTGGGCGGATCACGAGGTCAGGAGATCGAGACCACCCTGGCTAACACAGCGAAACCCCGTCTCTACTAAAAATACAAAAAAATAGCCGGGCGTGGTGGCGGGCGCCTGTAGTCCCAGCTACTCAGGAGGCTGAGGCAGGAGAATGGCGTCAACCCGGGAGGCGGAGCTTGCAGTGAACTGAGATCAGACCACTGCACTCCAGCCTGGGCGACAGAGCGAGACTCTGTCTCATTAAAAAAAAAAAAAGAAAGAAAGAAAAAGAAAGTATTCATATTTATTTGGGTTAAGCCTAAACGTGTGTTTCTTGGTATTTCTTGGCGTTACAGCTAAAATAACCTAAAACACATCTGTATTGAGGTCTGTGACCCAAGTGCCAATCTGTAGCTGTCACAATAGTGTGTTCCAGGTAGGGGTAATAGCATGTGGAAAGGCCCAGAGGCGAAGGGGAGCCAACATCTTCAAGTGACAGGAAATACTTAAATAAGGGTGGGGCCCAGTGTAAGGGAGGAAGGTGAAGGGTGAGTCAGAGAGGAAAGCCAGCAAGATTTTGAGTATGGTGAGATTTTTCAACGCCGGACACGGAAAACCAGTTCATAGTTTAGACAGGGAAATGACTTGATCAGAGTTGCATTTTCAAAAGAATACTTTGGCTGCATTATGGAGGATGGACTTGAGTGAGGACAGCCTGGGAGGAAGAAGAGTTATCAAGGACAGAGATGAGAGTGGCCTAGAGTTGGAGACTGGCAGTAGGCATGGGGAGACTGTGGGATGATGAACTTAGGTGATTTACTGCGTGTGTGTGTGTGTGTGTGTATGTGTGTGTGTGTTGAAATAAAACGAAGCAAGGTTGACTCCCATATTTTCTGTTGTGAGGAGTAGGTGAATGGCTAGCATAGTCACAAAGACAAGGAATAACAAAAGAGGAGTTCATGCGTGCAGGGTTATTCCAAAGATGGCCACAACCTGGTATGTCCACTAATGTTGAAATGGAACCGAGTGTTGCCAGAATAATGATCATAGCTGTTTGAGGGGAGTGAAAATAAAACCATTTGTTAAAGAGAATAACACTGAGATAATTTTATAGCAAGAAGTGACTTTGACCCTGACTTTAGTCCTTTGCTTGTTAGCATCCATTTCCAATCCCTCTCACTACAATCATTTCCTTCTTTTCTGAGCTATAGGTGTGAGTCAAACCACTCTGAAACATAGCAGCACCTTTGAAAGAAGATGGCTGCTTCTTCCTCCGTCATAAAGCAGAGTGAACCACATGACAACTGTCTGTTCAAACAGATCTAAGAAAATAAATAAGGCTCAACCAAAAGTCACTGTAACCCATTTTATTAGTATTCTTTCTTTTTCCATACCCAACTTAAGCCTCATGTCCTGAGAAAGGATGACTTGTGCATACACCCTCTCTATCAAAAAGTATTTTTAAAGCCACTAGCAAGAAAGTGTTGTCATAACACCACTGCTAATAATAATGACAATAATTTTATCTGTCTTTATATACTGTCTATTATGTGTCAGTTATTTCATAAACGTTATTTCTGGTCCTCACATAAACCCTACAGGTTTAGCATCTCCATTTGCCAGATGTGTGAATGAGATCAAAGCTAACTGGGTCACAAAGGGAACACAGACCTTCACTTTGGTCCCCTTATCAGGGTCTAACCAATTGGCCTTTGCTTATACGACAGTAAGAGTGTGTTTTGGAATAAAATCATTTGCAGTAAATAGATGTGGGCAGTACTTTGGGTTCTGTCTTAATCTTTCCTTCTAGCCTAGGAGTTTCTATATAAAAGGCTCATTATTGTTTGGCTATAGATATATATCAATTTGTTTTTTGCACTGATGCATATGTATAATGACCTAGCAATACAAATAACCACACGGTAAATATTCATGCTATTCTGTTGATGAATTGGATTCCATTGTGTGGCTATGTCACAATTTCCTGGTCAGTGGGCAGCTTTCTTGCATGCTGTGATTTATAACCTAGGTCTTTTCATGTTGTAACATCACCAGGGCCTGATATCTATCATCCGGTCGGCAAACACTTCATAATCACCATGGCCCTGGCAATACTCATGTGGCCTCATGTAGATGCAAGATTTTTAAAAGGTAGCTGGTTGGACAGCTGTTTCCCAGTAATAACTCTATCCTATGGAAAGAGGAGGTTGGCAGTAGTTGGACACTTAGATGTCACCATCGTGGATGTTTAATCCATCAGTCTTTTCCTTTATGGTTTTCAACTTTACGGTTTTGTTAAAGAATTCTCTCCTCAGGGATTAAAGAAACATTCACCAATATTTTTTGGCCATTTTGATATTATTTTTCTAAACCAGGTAGTCAAACTTTAACATCATTAACATAAATAATATATTTGTCCGAAGTAATTTGAAAGGACACTCGAATCAAATACTGAAATAATACCGACACACACACACACACACACACACACACACACACATACTTTTTCTGAACTTTATTGTATACTATGATTCTTTTGTACTGGGCCCATATCAACACTAGAATATTTTAATTATAAACGTTCTGCCATTTAAAAAAATTATTCTGTGCTCTCCCTCCAAAATCAGTCTTAATTTTTTTCGAAATATTTCCCGGCTACAGTCTCACTTATTCTTATACATAAATATCTCTCTAAATCTCTTCCTCAACTCTAAAATAATCAATGTTTGAGTTTAGCTAATATAGATAGATAGATAGATGGATAGAGGTAGATAGATAGATAGATAGATAGATAGATAGATAGATAGATAGATACATGCATACATACATACATACATACATACATACATACATACATAGGGACAGATAGATAAACAGGCTGATAGATTTGAGGGAGAACTGATATTTTTCACTGTTAATTTTCCCATTTAGGAGCACTGTGTTCGTTTACTCAGATTTTCTTTTGTGTCACTCAGTTTTATGTTCCCAATGTTGGGAACTTGGTGAACATTAAGTATTTACTGAAAAGAGGACATTACCATATTGTGTATACTTCTCATTATATTCCTAGATATTTTGTTTTATACTTTGATTGCCTAATAAAAATATCTTTTTTTTGTATTACAGTTTTCAACTGGCTATTCCTGGTGTATAAGAAAGCTAATTACTAATTTTGGAGCATTTGGCTTGTAATCACTTAGCAGAAATGCATTACTTTGTAAAGTCATGACTGAGGCTGCGTTTCTGTTACTTTCATGCGTGCATGAGAGTTTCAGGTGCCGAATTCTAGGTTCAGAATATTTCTTTTCACAGAAAACTGCAAGCATGACTCCTACTATCTAAGGGCATTTATTGTAGCTGAGATGTCTAATTCTAACCTCACATTTTCCTCCTTTTGTTGAGTAGCTTTTTTCCTTGTTGTATACTTACAGACTTTTTTACACTATCATAAATTAAAATGCTTCACCCAAATGTGTTTATGTCCAATCCCCTTCATTGTTTTTCTTCTGGTATATCCCCAAAATCAAGTTTTCAACTAAGAAAATTTGTATCAATGATTTAATAATTTTTGCTTCTTTTTCAAGTGCCCTGTGAATAATATGAATTTCTATTACAAATATGTTTTTCTCCCGGGTATTTTCTCCTGTCTCTTATATTTTCTAGGCCATACTTATACTTTTCCTCTAAGTTACAGAAAATTTTTGATGGCTGGACTTGCATTTAATTAATTTATTTTCCTGAAGTATCAATTCTACTCTTCACTGCCTCATGGCATTTTAATTTGGGGAATTAAAAAATCTAAAAGCAAGTTTTATTTTATTTAATTGATATAGTTAGCCATCAATTAAGAAAATGATTTGGTATATATTTTAGAACCATTTTCCTGTTACTATTTCAGTAAGTTTATTTGCTGAGAGGTTATTTACTCTAAATTCCTTAGATTGGTGCCTGTGAGCGGAACTAATAAATGTTTTCATAACAATGATGTTTTTGTCCTTGAAGTTTACTCATCCTTAACAGGCCAATGCTTGCGTAGTTCTGTCAGTTAAAATAAGTTGTACTAGAAACTGGCTCTGTGTAGTCCCAAATAAAAGCAGAGGGGGGTTACTTTTAATAGTTCTAGTTTATTCTCAATTCATTTTCCATTTGTGGTTAGTATTGAGAGAACCATAACCAGAAGGGGCCACTGCCACTGTTACGCTAGGAGCCCGGAAGTAAGTGGGCACCACCCACCTTGCTAATCAGTGTGACGGCCTCAATGAACAGTTCATGTAGCAAGTTCCTACTTCACTCAACGGACCTTCCTCATCAAATGAAAAGCAGAGCTGGCCAGGTGTGGGGACTCACACCTGTAATCCCAGCACTTTGAGAGACTAAGGTGGGAGGATCACTCAAAGTCAGGAGTTTAAGAGCAGCCTGGGCAACATAGTAAGACTCTGTCTGAAAACACAAAATGAATAGCTGGGTGTGGTGGTGCATATCTGTGGTCCCAGTTATGCTGGAGGCTGAGGCAGGAAGATCACTTGAGCTCAGGAGGTTGCGGCTACAGTGAGCGAGACTCGAAGGAAGACAGAAAGAAGGAAGGAAGGAAGGAAGGAAGGAAGGAAGGAAGGAAGGAGAAGGGGAAAGGAGGAAGGAAGGGAGGGAGGAAGGAAGGGAGGGAGGGAGGGAGGGAGAGAGAGAGAGAAAGAAAGAAAGAAAGGAAGAAAGAAAGAAAGAAAGAAAGAAAGAAAGAAAGAAAGGAAGGAAGGAAGGAAGGAAGGAAGGAGGGGAGAGGAGGAAGGAAGGAAGGAGAGAGAAAGAAAGAAAGAAATGAGGGGAGGGGAGGAAGGAAGGAAGGGGAAAGAAAAGAAAGAAAGAAAAAGAAAGAAAGAGAGAGAAAGAAAGAGAAAGGGAGGGGAGGGGAGGAAAGGGGGAGGGGAGGGGAGGAAGGGGGAGGGGAGGAAGGGGGAGGGGAGGAAGGGGGAGGGGAGGGGAGGGAGGAAGGAAGAAAGAAAGAAAGAGAGAAAGAAAAGAGAGAGGGAGGGAGAGGAGGGGATGGGAGGAGGGAGGGAGGAGAGGAACGAAGGAAGGAAGGAGAAAGAAAGAGAGAAAAGAAGGAAGGAAGGAAGGAAAAGAGCGAGCTTGCCACTACTCAAAGTTCTGGCTAAAGGAAAGATTACCCTAAATTTTTATAAGCACATTGTTTGCAGTAGCTCAAAGCTAGCTAGCTCCCTTCCTCTAATTATAAACAACTGCTTTCAGATAGAGCTCACTGTCCTTGTTTAGTTAGGACACCATCTGGACAAAGTTTAGGGCAGGATGAGGTTCGGGGCCCAGGGTTCTAAGTACTACAATCATAAAGTGAGAAGTTCCCTTTCTGGGCTCTCCTAGCCTACAATTACCTCCAGATCCTGCCCTTTTCTTATCCTAGGAGTATCTGTGGACTTCTGTCCTTTTAGGTCCAACATAGACTTCTTTCACAAAAAAAAAAAAAAAAAAAAAAAAGAGAATATCAGGCTGGTTGATTTTCACTTAAATTAGGTCTCACCTGGGTTCCACATTCCTGAATTGCCTCCAAATTTCTCTTCAGTAAATAGTGAGTATACTTCCTGTGTGCTTTTGTGTGCTCATTCAGATCTTTCTTTATTTTTCTTCTATTTCTTTCTTAATTTCAAGGGAGACATTAAAGAACAGAATATTAAATGTCTGGCATCAAATTATTATTTTGAACCGGAAGTCTACATTTATGTCTTAGTTTTAATATTCTAGTTTTATTATCTTTAAATAGAAGAATTTTATACTGTGAATCTAAAGAAAAAAAGAAAGAAAAGAAGGAAGGAAGGGAAGGAGGAAAAAGTACTCAGACAACAAAGTTATCAAAACACCAAAGTGACTGGCAAATTTACAATGATAAACTTCTTCTAACTGAGAGTAGTTTGATAGCCATAAAACATAGGTGATATTAAATTTTTTTTTTTGAGATGGAGTCTTGCTCTGTTGCCCAGGCTGGAGTGCAATGGCGGGATCTCAGCTCACTGCAACTTCGCTCCCTGGGTTCAAGCGATTCTCCTGCCTCAGCCTCCTAAGTAGCTGGGACTACAGGCACCTGTCACCATGCCCAGCTAATTTTTTGTATTTTTAGTAGAGATGGGATTTTGCCGTGTTGGCCTGGTTGGTTTCAAACTCCTGACCTCAGGCAATCTGCCTGCTTCGGCCTCCCAAAGTACTGGGATTACATGAGTGAGCCACCATGCCTGGCCGATACTAAAACATTTTGAAGGGACAGTTACAGTAAAAAGAAATGTACTATTGCATGTCTAATTTCACCATTTAAGATGAAATCTTAAATCCACCAAATTCACCCTCTGGGTTTACAATACACCAAAGTCAGCCCTGAACTTGGAGTAACCTTATGTGGAAACCTTTCTGGAAAACACTGGAGTAGCTTTCATCTAAGAGTTCTCATGGCATGACATCTTGTGAAGGTGTTGCAGACCAAGTCAGTCCCTCCGGCTTTCCCATGGAATCTTGTAGATTACAAAACAGCTTTACAAATGGATGCAGAGATACTGAGCATGCTCACTCAGCTCTCTGTGGCCTGTTGGCACAGGAGCTCTTGGAAGACAGATTGGAGTCCTGCAGCAGTTGACCGTGCTGGATGAACTTGAATGCCGCCCCGCGCACTGGCTCCAGCTGTCCTCCCTTCACACATGGCTACCTGGCCCTGGCCCTGAGCTCCCCTTGCATTCTTACGTACCTGGCTTACCCTTTATTCATTTCTCTCTTAAACCATTCCCATTTTAAACAGGCAAATGAAGTAAATCCTCCGCAAATTTACTTGCAAGCAAACAGCACCAACTATTAAAAAACTAAGTTCCAAAAACTTTAATCATTTATGGTGTACTATGATGCAGCCATTAAAAATGTTTTTGAATTTTTTTTTTTTTTTTGAGACAGAGTCTCTCTCTGTCGCCCAGGCTGGAGTGCAGTGGCACGACCTCAGCTCACTGCAACCTCTGCCTCCTGGGTTCAAGCGATTCTCCTGCCTCAGCCTCCCAAGTAGCTGGGATTACAAGCAAGTGTCACCACGCCCAGCTAATTTTTGTATTTTTAGTAGAAATGGAGTTTCGCCATGTTGGCCAGGCTGGTCTCGAACTCCTGACCTCAGATGATCTGCCTGCCTTGGCCTCCCAAAGTGTTGGGATTACAGGCGTGATCCACCATGCCTGGCCTTGAAGACATTTTTGATGTGAAACTTTATTGATATGAAAACATTCTATAATGTAAAGCAAAAATAAAGGATATACATATAAAGATATTATATTACCTATGTAAAAGGAAAATATATTAAAAGGTGAAATAGAATATACTAACAAGATAACAGTTGCCTTGGGAAGATTGTATTACACATAATATTTTCTCTTTAAAAATATATTCGCATTTCTATCAAAGGCATTTTTCTTTATTTGTATCTTTAAATAAATGAATAACCTCAAGTTTTTAATAATTTGAAATGTTAAATTTTAAAATGGCACATTGTAAAGTTGTCATATAGCATGATTTCAACTAAATAATATATAACTAAGAAACTTGATGTAAATAACATATAGATAAGAGACGATGAAAATATGGGTAAATGTTGACAGGCATTCTCTCCTCTAGGAGGGATAAAGAGCAACTGCTGATTTCATTTCATTTCAAAATACATCTCTACTTTCAGACTATGCACATTGGTCATGTATTAATTTTATATTAGAAAAAAGTGCTTGGGTAAGACAGAGGAGAAACAAAAAATCCACTGTGCTCCTAATACAGTTGGCACTCAGCATTCACAGGTTCTGCATCCAAAGATTTAACCAATCAAAAATATTTGGAAAAAATATATAACAATACAGGCCCCAGTGTGTGATGTTCCCCTTCCTGTGTCCATGTGTTCTCATTGTTCAATTCCCACCTATGAATGAGAACATGCGGTGTTTGTTTTTTTCTGTTGTGGGGTAGGGGGAGGGGGGAAGGATAGCATTAGGAGACATACCTAATGTTAAATGAAGAGTTGATGGGTGCAGCACACCAACATGGCATATGTATACATAAGTAACTAACCTGCATGTTGTGCACATGTACCCTAAAACTTAAAGCATAATAATAAAAAAAAGAGACTATGTTCAATAAAGCAAATGGCTTCCTTATAAAAAAATATATATAACAATACAATGATAAAACCTACAAATAAAAAACAATAGACTATAGCACCTGTTTACATAGCATTTACATAGTACTAGCTATTGTAAGTAATTTAGAGATGATTTGAAGTATACGGCAGGATGTTCATCGGTTATATGCAAATGCTATGCCATCTTATTGTCAAAGACTTGAGGTATTTGGTATCTGCGGGTCATAGGGGTGGAGTGTCCTGGAACAAATCCCCCACGGACACCCAGGGACAACTGTACTCCAAATAAACCTGTCTACTCCAAAAACTTTGGATCAGAGTTGAGGAAAATCTTCAGAAACTCAGGAGTTTTCACTTCACGTATATCAACAATATTTTACACTCCGTGATTTACAAGTGGCAAAAAAGGTTTTCAAAAATATTCTTGTATTAAAGAGAAGTCAAACCAAATGAAAGGAAATCCTGTTAGAAAGGAAACAAAATTGGTCTAGCCAAAGGCTCATCAGAAAAAAGAAGCCAGGTGTGACTCTGGGATAGGAAGAAGAGGTCATGTAAATAGACTCTTAAAACTAAAATTTAGGACCTACACTGCTTTCTTCTTCCACTTTTTCTTTTTTAACAGCCTTTGGGAAGACACTGTGAAGCACAGATGCAGATAAAGAACTGTATCATCTTCTAATAGTTTCAAAAGTGGAGCAGAGTATGCTCTCTGCATCCAGCCTAAGGAATACACAGTTGAGGAGGTGTACTGCTGTTGGGGGTGTGTGTTTGGGTAGGTCAGGAGACACAAGGTAGGGGGGTAACTGGATTAGGACATATTGTTGCTATTGTCAAAGGAAGGAAGTGCTAACATCTCCTGGTGGAGCCACCAAACCATCAAGGTTAGACATTATTCCAGACATTTACAGAAACCTGCAGTGACATGATAATTTGTGTGGAACTCTACGTAGCCCATAGCTATAAAAGCAAAGAATCAGCCGATTTATCCACTAGGAAAGACTAAGACCATACTCAGAAGAACAAGATAAAATGCAAACAACTAAGCATTTTAGGAGATATCAGGCATGGACCTTAACTTTACTATGTCTATACAAAGCAGTAAAGAAGATAAATTTTGAATCCATTTATCTTTTCATAACCCTCAAAGTAAATAAATTAAAATCTTTATTCCATTCTGAGAATTTATTTTGGAAAAGAGATGTTTTAAGAAAACACTGGCAGTAACACTGAAATTTCTTTTTCATCTTCAATGAGAATTTGTTTCATGATTCATTTTGCACAATTTGATTATAAATTGCTCCTTTATTTTCTTTTTAAAACAGGAATTAATACATTTAGACATGAGAAATACAGCAAATTACATTTAATATAGCCTGGTCTCATACACAGAACACTGTGTTTTTCTTTTTAATCTCAATGACATTTCACCACCCAAAAGATAAACAGAAACATATTTAAATACAAATAGAAGTAAATAATAAATCTAACAAGGCAAACATTTGCTAATGAGCACATCCTGCGTGTCAGAAGTCCCATAGCTCTCAGAGGAATTACCACCTATATCATACATTATCAATTAGAAAACTTTGTATGTCTTAATTTTTTTCAAATTTAAAAAATATATGAAGTCAATATTGCAAAATATTAGGGGTACAGCAGACTGCCTGATTTTTATTAATAAAATGGTCTATTCATTTGCTCTAAAATTACCAGTCTTCAGCAAAAGATCCTTCGGGCACTTGAGGTTGCTTTTTCTGTCATACTTTGAGCCTAAATCAGGAGAAAAAAAGTGAAACTTGAGAGCTGAAATTTCAGCTCATTGTTTATTTGTCTTTGTTTCTCCACTGAGCTAATTAAATGAAGAGTTTGACATTCAAAGCTGGTTTGGGAAAAGAAAGAGGGGGCACAGCAAGTTGGGATTTAGCTCAACTACTAAGAAATATGGAAGACAGTAGTCATCGGAACAGCTTTCATGATGACTTTCTCTTCATTCACTACACTTTTAAAAATAGTAAAATGGATTATTAGCGAAAGGGAAAGAAGAACATCTTATAATTATCTAGCTTAGTGTTTAGGTTAGAGGAGTTATAACCATCTGAAGCAAAAATTCAATTCAAAATAATTACATTTCTAAATCTATTAGTCTCCAAAAGGTATCTTCATTATACTGTTTATTTTCAAGTGGAATTCTACTGCTCTATATTTTTTCTTAATACACTTATTACCCTCCATCCCAAAAAGCCAGAAGTACATTCAAATAAATAATTTAGGAAGCTTTTTATCATGTTATAGTATTATACTTAAAGGAGTTTGTGCTAAATTTGAAGAAACATAATATTTGTGAAGCATTTCATCAAGAGAATCTACATTTTTTCTGACTCACATTTAGTCTATAATTTTGGTTATAATATTTTAAAATAAAGTGCTGAATTTAAAAACTAACATGCTTATTATTTAAACATTCAAATAGTACAGGAGTCTCTTTAAAAATGTTTCTATACCTTAGTTCCTAGACCCTCAACTCTGAGTTTGGTGTGCGTCTTTCCACACCTCTTTTTATAATATAGAAACATATATCTAAACATGTGTACACACACACACACACACACACACACAGATGGGGTGTATATTTTCATAAAGATAATGCTCTATATGTGATTCCATAACTTAATTTCTTCGTTTCTCCCCTTATCCTTCCATCTTAAGCATACTTCTGTGTCAGAATAAACAGATCAACTCTATTCTTCCCAATGGGGGTCAAATGTTCCATTTTATGATTGTACCATAATTTATTTAACCAAATTTCTACTGATGACAGTGTCAGTTTTAGTCTCAGAGGAGTACATCCACATGTTTAAAAATTCAAACCACACAAGATCGTCTAAAACAAAAAGTTAAGCCCTCCTTCTCCTCCTCCAAAAGCTAATCAATTTCAAGCTTTTTCCAAGGTTTGATTTTTTTTCCTGACGGCCAACATTATAAATTGTAAATAATATATCTAAACATGTATTACTTGTTCTGTTACTTGACACACTGTTTGCTGATTTTCTTTAATTATAATGAATAACTTAGCATATTTACAAGGATCTGCTTCTTTCCCCTTTGTCTTCATTTTATTATTTTGTCGATGTTAAATTTCATAACTTTTAATTATGCTTAGTTTGAGAAATGTTACTAAGTCTTCCTTGACCAGTGTATAAACTGAGTCTAAGAACTCAGGCCCAGTGAAACTGCATTTGTGGTATTATGATTTGGAATTAATTATTTACTGCAGAGCCATATGATGTAATGGGCCCATGAAAAGAGAATGCAGCCCTCCAGGGAAGGCACACAATTTCCCCAAACATCGAGGTCCAAAAGACTCTTCTTTTAGTTGGTTTTATCTTTCTTAGCTGCATTCGGGTTTAATGGAAAGATGACAAAGTGTTACCAGCAACACATGGGTCTGGCTCTGCAGCTCACAAATTGTGAGGCCCAGAGCTAGTCCCTTCCATTTTCTGGGCCTTACCCTTCTCATTTGTAGACTGAGAGACAAACTAGTAATATGTCTCTGCTCTAGCTTTAGCATTTCAGTATTCTAAAGCATTGAATATCCTGTAGGCATTGTGGGTACAATGAAACCGCAGCCTGAGAAGAAGAGTTCTTACATCCCTATTTCTAATTCCACTCAACAGATCCTGAATGATCGCCAGAGACATGTTCTTCTTAATACCTTCATCATGTTTGGGGCTTGGAGATAATTTGGAAATATGAGGCAATCACCTTTAATTGTTGTTTTGGTTTGCTGCAAAGAAGAACGCTCTTATTAGATCCCAGCATGTGCATTTTTAAATGTAAAATTGTCATTTACCCCTCTCAAAAATAATCAGAGCTAATATCCTGGATAAAGCTAAGAGTAATAGTCATATGTTTTACTTAATAGGGCAAACTATTTTTTTCTGCACTTTTCTACACAGAGCCTAGAATCATTTTTATTTTGCTCTCTCTTCTAATGGTTGTGGGATAGGGATTGGAGATGGAGGTGTTGGTTCAAAAAGCTGGATTTGGGCATAAAGCAGAAAGTCGCATGGAACTCAACTAGGGCCTGTATGCAGTCTTCAGTCATTCTAGCAGGTCAGGAATCATGCCTGGTATCTATCACCGCCAATCTGATCTCACTGTTCCCTTCTCTTTCTTTCCAGGAGGGGCCAACCCAACACTTTGGCCTTATCAGCCCCCGCAGATGCTGCTCTGTGTCCCTTCTGCCAGTTCTGGCTCAGTGAGGTGTCTCCCAGTCCCACTGACTGGCGGTTGCCATAACGACATTGCGCACACGAGGGAGGCCTGGCGGAGCAGTGGTGGGGCCAGGTGGAGAGGAGGAGGTAGAACAGACAGCTGAGCCACACAGCATCCCAGCCAGGATGACACGGAGGCAGGTGACCATAGGAAGTGAGGCAGAGGAGGATGGGGAAGAAGCTGCAGCCCAGAACCATGATTGCAAATGAGCAGAGTCTGGCCTCAAGAGAGGGAGGAAGAAGCTGGTGAGGAAAAGTGGAAGGAGAAAATAAAATGGTTAGAAAAACACTATAGACAAGCATAAGAAAAATGGAAACCAAAAAGAGACATCGCTGCCACTGGAAAAATGTCGGTCTCAGACATCGTGAACACAGGAAAAGCATTCTTCTCTGCTGCCTATTTGCGTTTAGATTAATATGGGTTTTGGGGGTTTTTGTTTTGTTTTTCCTTGAGACAAGGTCTCACATTGTCACCCAGGCTGGAATGCGGTATTGGGATCACAGCTCATTGCAGCCTACACCTCCAGGCTCAACTGCCTCAGCCTCCCAACTGTCTGGGACTACAGACGTGCACCACTGTACCCGGCTAATTTTTTGATTTTTTTGTAAAGATAAGGTCTCACTATGCTGCCCAGGTTGGTCTCAAACTCCTGATCTCAAGAGATCCTCCCACCTCAGCCTCCCAAAGTGCCAGGATTACAGGTGTGAGCTGCCATGCCTGGCGACTTTATGGTTTTAACATGAAATAAGACCAATATGGCTTTAACATGAAATAAAAATCATTAACTTCAGTTCAGCTCAATATGCCAGTCTTGGTTATGATAGACTACTGGTTCAGGCCCTATTTAAATCTGTGGAAAATATCCATGTGTCTTCCTCTCTGAATTGTTATAATGACTTCGATGAATTGTTGAATATTCAAATGCTTGCTAAATGCTAGAACATCCTATAAATGTAAGAGTCATCATCGTCTCTTGATTTTATCATCATTGATGTTTAACATGCTTCTCTTTCACTTTCCCAGTCTCCTTTGGACTATCTTTGGAAGATTTTTTTTTTCTTTTTTTCCCCCATTAATTGTAGAGTATTTGGGCACATATGCTTTTCTCAGAGGAGCAACTGAAGTTTAACCTGTAAATCTGTAACTAAGCAAGGCCAGATAACTTTCATCTGCCTTAGTTATTATCATTAAAAATAAAAGTTGGAACCTAACTCAATTCAAATATCCTGATCTATATTCTATCAAAAATCTCTTTATGTTGTATAACTTTAACGAATTTCTTTTTCTCTGAACCAAGTGTGCTGGGGGAAGAATATAAAATAAGGGGAGGGAAAATATATATTGTACATACGTATATATAAAATCACCATAGCTGAAAGTGACTTTAGGGATCATCTAGTACAATGCTCTTTATTTCAATTTTTTTTGTTTGTTTTTTGGAAAAAAATTCTTGTTCTGTGGCCCAGGCTGGAGTGCAGTGGTGCAATCTTGGCTCACTGCAACCTCCACCTCTCAGGTTCAAGATTCTCCTGCTTCAACCTCCTGAATAGCTGGGACTACAGGCGTGCACACCACCACACCCGGCTAATTTTTAGTAGAGACAGGGTTTTACCATGTTGGCCAGGCTGGTCTCGAACTCCTGACCTCAGGTGACCCGCCCGCCTCCACCTCCCAAAGTGCCGGAATTACAGATGTGAGCCACCATGCCCAGACATTTTTAAGGTTTAATTTGTGATCAGTCATCTAGTAATCTTGATGAAATGCAGATTCTGATTTGGAAGGGTGGGACAAGATTGCAGTTCTAGCAAGTTTCCAGGAGATACTGATACTGTAAGTCCTTGAGAAGCAAGAGTCTATTACAGTGATATTCAAAGATTTGGCATTAAACACTTTTTAAACATAAAATCTGATAAAACAACTGAAAGCACACCTTCACACACTAAAGTTGTGGGGAGGGGAGGGTGGGGAGGCAGAGACCTAGCTGTCTTTCAATATTCCTTGGAAGGTTTTGGGTCATTTTCTAGCCACTTCGTTGGGAAACCTTGGAATCTGTAGAACATGATATGAAATGCACAAACTAATCGAAACACTTATTTTAGTCCTAAAGAGACAGACTTGAGAGAGTTTAAATAGCAATAAATGTATTTATAATATTCTATATCCATACACATATGCTCCAAACATATACATTTGAATACTCTCATGAAGACATTTGCTTTTGCATTGTAGAAAACAGTTGCTGCTTTTCAGCATCCAAACCCTATTTAATAGGAAGCCATCCGAAAGGTTAAATCTGACAGATAGCCGCCCTCTGTGCCTTAGCAGGTAAGCTGAGAGCAAGTGACCAAGGCTCCCCAATCAAAAGCTCATTCTAGAGACTTCAGACTTAGAGGGAAGGAAGCAAAAATTAAGGAACAGCTAAACAGCATTCA
The DNA here is from genome assembly GCF_000001405.40 of Homo sapiens. Classification (NCBI taxonomy): domain Eukaryota; kingdom Metazoa; phylum Chordata; class Mammalia; order Primates; family Hominidae; genus Homo; species Homo sapiens. The sequence continues at coordinate 41,173,210 of NC_000007.14, read as the reverse complement.
TGGTGGTGATGTTGGAAGCAAAATCTCAAGAATGGTGGTTTGAGGGGCTGCTGCTCTTCAAGGTCAGTCATAGGAGATGTCTCCAAGGAAGTGACAATTTACCTATTTTTATAATTGTGGAAAAAAAAAACAGTGACCACCATGAGGTAAGTAAAGAGACGTGCCAAGTAGGGCAAATAGACTATCAAACAGGGAGAGCAGAAGAGTTAAGAGGATTGGAGACAAGGTTTGATATTGGTAAATATACAGGGACAAGGCACCCATTTGGGGGGGTGTGTGAGCTAGCACAGGTGCCGCAGGGGCTGTCTTGATCTGTTTTGCATTGCCGTAAGAGAATACCTGAGGCTGAGTAATTTATAAAGAACAGAGGTTTATTTGACTCACAGTTCTGCAGGCTGCACAGGAAACATGGATATGGCATCTGCTTTTGGTAAAGGCTTCAGGAAGCTTCCACTTATGGCAGAAGGGAAAGGGGAACCAACATGTCACATGGCGAGAGAGGAAGAAAGAAAAAAGGAGTTGCCAGGCTCTTCAACAATTGCTTCTTGCATGAAGTAACAGAGCAAGAACTCAGTCATTCCAGGGAGAAGGGCACCAAGCCATTCATGAGGGGTCTGCCCACCCCCATGATCCAAACATCTCCCATGAGGCCCCACCTTCAACATTGGTATCAGATTTCAGCCTGAGATTTGGAGGGGATAAACATCCAAACTACCTCGGGGGCTTAAATAATTTGGCACATTACTTTGGACAACCTCTAAATTCCTTGAAAGCTGTATTTCATCCCCAATCCCAGGCAAAATTTTGTAGATGAACGGCTGATACATCTAAAAACACACATATTTGGCATCCCTTTGCACTTTAGGAACGCAGGACAATTAGAAGTTTACAAGGTGAGATTGGGACACCAACTAAGAAATCGCAAACTTCAGAATCAAAAAGAAATGAAAGAAAAAATTTATCCTAAAATCTCTATGGCTTTTTGACTGTTGCTTGTAATTCTGAGGGTATTGAAACTAGAGTTAGGAACAAAAGTGGAATAAGGGTGTATCCTTCAAGAAGCTTTCCAAAACAAAGTAAATATAAAGTGTATCAAATCTGAAATAAAGAAAAATGGTCACTAAGAAATTAAGAGGGTAAAAAACATCTATCAAATTTCAGCCATTATTATTTACATATATATATATATATATATATATATATATATATATATTTTTTTTTTTTTTTTTTTTTTTTTTTTTTTTTTTTTTTGAGACAAAGTCTCACTCTGTCACCCAGGCTGGAGTACAATGGCATGATCTTGGGTCACTGCCACTTCCACCTCCTGGGTTCAAGTGATTCTCCTGCCTCAGCCTCTGGAATAGCTGGGACTACAGGAGTGCACCACCATGCTCAGATAATTTTTGGATTTTTAGAAGAGATGGGGTTTTGCCCCATTGGCCAAGTTGGTCTTGAACTCCTGACCTCAAGTGATCCACCCGTCTCGGCCTCCCAAAGTGCTGGGCTTACAGGTGTGAACCACCGTGCCTGGCCAAGATTTTCAGTTTTATTTTGATGATTTCATTTTTTAAAACTTTGCAGCTGGGCATGGTACTGACACCTGTAATCCCAACACCTTGGGATGCCAACGCAGTAGGAGGATTGAGGCCAGGACTTCATGACCAGCCTGGACAACATAGCTAGGCCCCTTCCCTACAAAGATAAAAATTAGAAGGCATGGTGGTGTGTGCCTGTAACCCCAGTTACTCAGGAGCTGAGGTGGGAAGATAACTTGAGCCCAGGAGTTTGAAGCTTCAATGAACTGTGATAGTGCCACTGCACTTCAGCCTGGGCGACAGAGGAAGACTCTGTCTCAAAATAAATGAGGTAAATTAAAATTTTACTTTCTTGCTATTTTATTTGTATCTTTTCAGATTTCCTTCCTATGTTTCCAAGTTTTCTTTGTTTCTCTTACTTCTCATAATTTGAAAATTATGCATCCCATTTTTCCAACTAATGGTTAATTTACATTTTAAATACCTTTATATATCTCTATTTAATTCTATCTATATATATATTTATCACTTCAAAAATAAAGTATATGAATTTGAGAATTCCCCCTACACACATAAAACGAAAGATTTTGCAAGCAATTATTCACACTCCTACTCTAAGATTTTGCTGGTGTAATTTGGGAGTTCATATCCAGAATATTATCATTTTTTTAAACATTGTAAGTTTCTTTTGGAAAAATTACTTAAATTTTTTTCTACTGATTTAAACTTCTTACTATATTAAAAACAGTGATTTAAATATTGACTCTTTGATTGGTTTTCATTACTACTCTTTTTTTACAGCACAATCTAGTCTAATCCCAATTGGTTTTAATTACGCACCATACTTTCTTTTATTACACATAATCCCTATAATTTAGTTTTTCAGTTTGAGTCATTCTTCAGTCAGCTGGAATACTTTTTCAAGTTTTTAAAAAAATCTTTTTTTTTTTTTGCAGAAAAAGAATGTGGGTAAAAACATTTGGAGTCCTTTCATGTCTATTATTATCTCTCTATTGCTCTCAAATGTGAATGATAGCCTGTCTGGCTGTAACATTCTTGGGTTTCAATATATTTCTCTCAAGAGTCTTGAGTTCCTTTCTCTTATGTATTTTTCAAATTGTAGAGAGTCTGATGTCAACTTGAGTTTTTTCTTTTTATAAACAAACACTTTCCACCGTCATCTTGCTGCTTAATTTTTTTTTCAATTCAGGACTTTTATCATCATATTTTTAGATAGGCTATTTTGCCTTGGTTTTAAGCCCCATACTCCCCCTAATCCCACCAGCCCCCAAGAAAACAATCTTCTGTTATTTCGTTGGGAATTGCTTTTCCTGTGATTGCTCTGTTTTCTCCTATATGTATCTTTGACTTCTTAGATTTGTCATCAATGCAACTTACATTTTTGATTGGCACATTTATCTCATTTTTTTCATCTAAATACCAGGATAATTTCTCAACCTGGTATGATAATTCTCTGATTTGACCTTCTGTAATATTCAATATATGTTTTCTGCTTTCATGCCATTACAAGCCTTTGTTAATTATTCATTTCATCTGAATGGTATTGTTTAGGATGAGTGCCTTGTTCAGAGACACAATAACTCCACGAATCAGATAAATTTTGGAAGATTTTCTCTAATTTCCCTTGCGGTAGATCTGTTCCACAGATCTGTGGGAACATTTATTCCTCCGCAGGTTTTCTTCTTTTGAACTACTTGCTATTTCATGTATCTGGGCACTTTTATCCATTTGCTCATCTTGATAGTTACGGACGTATTTCCATTTTGTTTTGTCCTTCAGTACTAAGATAAGAAGACGATAACTGTAAAATGCACTGTGCTATTCTCACACCAGATTAGTGAGAAAGAAAAGTTTAGGTTCATTGTCTATTTATTTTGTTGTCTCGGACTTTGTCTTCACTATGGCAGAACGGAGCTGAGCGCTCACTAAGGGAAGTCCGGCCAGGGTAATATTGCCCGTTGACGCTGTTGCAAAGGATTTATTCACTGTGACTCTTGATGGAGCCCTTTACTCTAGCTGATGTGACTGTATCCATTAGACACTGGAGGAAGCAGCATGTGTTACAAAGCATGATGTCAGCACCACACATTTCCTGGAAAAGGACACTGCATTCATGCCTCTGTGGACCAACATCTTTGCACTTTCTCAGGATGTCGGTACTGCCCATTGACTTGTCATGGCTCACCTTTGCCTCCAGCACCCATTGTAAACTTCCTGAAGCCGGTGGGGTTTTCCTATCATCTCAAATTCTTTTTCCCCAGGCAAACGTTTCTATTAAGTCTGTTGACTCATACATTGGTCCGTCCTATCTCAAACCTACCTCTCCTACATTATGGCTAATAAAGTCCCTCCAAGAATCTGATGTAAAATATTATCCTTCCCTTCCCTTTAGTAATATATGGGGTTGTTCTCAAGTTATAAATCCTTTTGGTTATCTTAATGATAAATAGATGGAGAGTTACATAGTGGATGAAGATTGCTATCGTTATACTAAATTTGTTTTTCTCATTGTTTCTTTCTTTTGTTTTCTTTCTTTTGCATATTTCTGACAGTAAAGATGAGCTAATCCTCTTTTTATAAAGTTGATTAGTTAACTTCTGAGATTAACTGGAATCCTGGAATCTCTTAAATCTGTTTTGTCCAATAGAACCTTCTATGTTGATGGAAATATTCTTCTGAGCTGTTCAATTTGGAACCTGCTAGGCTCGTATTGTCGTTGAGCACTTAAAATGTGGCTAGTGCACCTGAGAAACTTAATTTTAAATTTTATTTAATTTAATTTAGACAACCTCATGTGCCTAGTGGTTACTGTAATGGACAGCACAGTCCTAGCAAAAACCTCTTTTAAATTTCAACCTTTTTTGAAAACGGAAGTTCCTATGCTTCACCCTAATATATAAAATCATAATGCTGGGTATGCATTGGGGTGGGGTGGGGCTGCATTTTTAGAAAATTATCTCCCTGATTCTTAATATGCATTCTGATGGTCTTGGAGGGTTGATTTGGTACCAGGTGTAATGGGAAAGAGGCTTGCTCGGCTTTATGAACTTGTGTTCTACAAGCTTTAATACAAGCTCAGAAACAGTGGATTACATACAGTTAAAGAACTTTGACTGGAAAAGACTGAGTGTGTGCCACCATCCCCCTCCCTTGTCTGAGGTAGACACTGTCTGTCAATCACTGTGTACTTTTCTACCGAGCCCAAAAGCAGAATCCTCAAAAAGCTTCCTGACAACCTCTAACTAAGGATCACCTAGCAAAGGGGCTTATTTGCTATCTGGATTAGGTGTTAACTAACTTTATCTGTATAGGTCCAGATAGTACAAATGTTGAGGATTATAGGTCATAAGATCTCTGTCACACCTACACATTCTGCCATCGGACCTGTCACAGGCAATACTGAAATGAATGGCTGTGGCTGTGTTCTAATAAAACTTTAGTTATGGACACTGACATTCGAACTTTATGTAATTTTCCCATGCAATCAAAACCCTTCTTTTGATTTTTCTCAACCATCTACAAATGTAAAAACTATTCTTAGTCCTTAGGCCATAAATAAACAGGCATCAGGCTGGATTTGGCCCCAGGAGATAGTTTGTCTATCCTCATTTAGATGGTTGCTAAGGTCTCTTCTACTTCCAGTATTTTATGAGTCAAAGGTTTTTAGCACTAACATTTTTGGAGTACGACATTACTATAACATGCTTTGGTTCTTTGTGTCTCCTCATACCATGCAATTCAGTGCATAAAACACAGATATCATAGTGAACATTTCCTGAGGTAAAATCTCTACAACATGAATAGTTACTGTGTGAAGGTATGAAGACAAATACAGTGGTCTCTTAGCTTTTTTCCTGTCTTAGTCCATTTTAGTTTCTATCACAGAAAATTACATACTTCATGGTTTATAAACAATAGACGTTTATTTCTTACAGTTCTGGAGGCTGGGAAGTCCAAGATCAAGGTGCCAGCAGATTCACTATCTGACAAGAGCTCTCTTCCTAGTTCATAGGCTGCTGTCTCCTTTCTGTGTACTCTCAAGATGGAAAGGGCAAAGAAGCTCACAGGGGCCTATTTCTATAAGGCCACTGATCCCATGACCCTATCACCTCTCAAAGGCCCCACCTCCAAATGCATTGGAGATGAGGTACCAACATATGAAATTTAAGGTGATATAAATATTCAGTGTATATAGTACTGCCCTTCAATCTGTATAAAACATTTTGAAAGACTTTCAAGTAAATTTCTACTAAATTTTATTTCAACACCATAGGTCAGCAAAACTTTTAATTTTAAAATAATCCATGTCATTTTCTTTAAAAGAACTAGGATTCTATTTATATCAAAATTGCAGTTATATTCCGAGGACAATGTTTATTTCTACAGTTCCACTCCTAATTTTATTAACATTTAGCTTCCTTCTATGCAGATTAAAGTGGATGGATAAGCAACAAAAGCAAAAGCTTCTTTATAGACAGACTAACCGATCATTGTGAAGATTTCCCCAAACATCAGCTGCCATCACCCAGTAACCCCCTTCCATTTTGTCCTCCCATACCACTCAAGATTCTAGGAGAGAGCACCTTATTGGGATGGAGCCCCAATCTCAGCAGGGCTTCACATTTCCCAAACACCTCCGTACTTCAGGCTTTGGTGATTTGCTAATTGTTATTACTATTGTTCCCACCCATATGTTACACTTCTCTTCCCATTTCATTTATGACAGAGTCAAGATGCAGAACACAGTTAAATATCAAAATGTGATTCTTATGCATTCAAACCTTTAAAATAAGGACATTCCACTCCTTTTCAACCATTATTGGGGAAGTTTATATTTAGTATTATTTTTCTAACCAAAGACTTGAAACACATTCTCACACATATCAGGAGGTCTACGATAGGCACAATGTATATCTAAATTGCAATTATGTTCTAAGAGCAACATGTATTTCTACAACTCTACTACTAGTTTTAGTTAACATTTAACTTTCTTCTATGTATATTAAAGTGAATGAATAGGCAACAAAAGCAAAAGCTTTCATAATCTTTTTTTCTATAGATTGTCTTGTTTTGAAAGCTATTATTTTCTTAATTTCTAGATTTACATATTAATTGCATTTTTGGTCATTTCTTTTTTTATATACTACTCTGTTGAAAGCAAATTTCAAAAGTCTTCTCTAGCTAATACTCACAACTCCAGCTTATTTAATAAAATCTTCTTCCTAAGCAAATGGGAAATTACTAGCAACCTCTGACTGGGTTGTTAATTACTATCCTGGGGCCAAGTTGATGTAACATTTTTAGCAATACTGAAAAACAAAGCCAAAAACACACAAAACAAACTTTTCTACAGATTTTAAAGTATATTTACCAAAATAGAAATAAAGAAAATGTTTCCCATGTGCTTATTATTCAGCATTTTTCTTAAGTGAAATTTACTAAATGACTGAAATATTGAAGCAGGGAAAAAAAAACTTCATTAAAAGAGAAATGTAGACGCACCACTTCTCCATGAATTCCACACATAAAAATACTTAAACATTATGTAAAAATAAGAGAACCAACTCACCATTATATTTTAAATAAAAATGCTTAAGGTTTTGCCCCACTTTGATCAATCTATAGGATGATATGCACAGATCAACTCTCAGAATTTTACAGGTAAAAAAGAATTTTTAAATCCACTTATTTTATAGAAAAGAAATAAAGTCTAGAACAGCAATTCATGTTCATTAGTGGTAGAATCAGCACAGGAATCTAAAAGATAGTTCTTTAGGCTGCCTGTAGTGGTGAAAGAGTTACATTAAAATGATTTGATTTCTGGTGGCTTTTGGGGGGCTTCAATAAAAAGATGTTTGATATTAAAAAATAGCTCACACTTATATTATATCTGCCATTTATATTACTTGTAGGCTAAGACAACCAATACATTAATATTTCCCCCTACAGCCCCAAATATAGGAAGCACCACTCATGTGGCATTTATTCTACTATTTGACCCCCATCCAGTGGAAGGTGGAGGTATATGAACAGTCATCATCATCATCAACATCATCCTTGATTTTTTTAAAACATAAAATACACTTTGCTACAAACGTCTATGCCTGATACACACAGGTGACCAAGATGATATTTTCCCTTGGGCGACAGGAATAACAAGTTAACATTGAGAAAAACGGGAAAAGGGCACAGACTTCAGAGTCTGAAATACCTTGGTCTAAATGAATGCTTCCCAGCATAGGCAATGGACTTGTGAACGTGTTGAGCTCATGTGTCAAACAAATTAATAATGAAAGATAGCATGGTACTGTCTTGAAGATAAGTGAAATTGAATGTAAAGTATTGGTAGAGTTTTGGAAATAATAGTCAGTCTATGACAGTCTTCTTTCTCGTGTCTGTCTCTCCCTACAGGAGGTCTTGTGGTAATTTGCTAAATATTACTATTCTGGTCTGACAGAACTCTTAAAATTTTGCATACCTAACTGCTACAATTACTTAAACAAGGATGATATATAATTGCTGAATTATAAAACCACTAGCCCAAGAGATTAAAAACTATCACAAGAAACTCAAACTTTTTCTTATTTCTCAAGACCACTGAGCCAAAAATGGAGGTGATTGATTCTCCTTCTGTATCTTATGAGAAGCACAGAAATAGAAGTTTGGAAGAGTCAAACTTCAGATTTCTGGTGAAATGAAACTAGTAGGCTAATTTTCTTCTTTTTTTAAAATTTTTTTTAGAAAGAAAAGAGGTTGAGGATTTTTGCTCTGACAGCTCATTCAATGACTCCAGAAAGTGGTGGGAAAGAATTTGAAAATTTAAACTTCAAATGAAAATAATATGAACATATCTCCATGTAATAAATAAGTAGCCCTGCTTTACCCATAAACCCTGCTATTATTAGGCCCCACTGGTTAATTAGACAAAAACATATTTGGCTAATTTCCCTTCAAATTCACCATCAATGTCAACACATTTAGATAATCCTAAAAGGCTGGGAATTTACAAGTCATAAACATTTAACAAAATAGCTAAGCTTCTTAAAATACTTTCGCCATCTGTGTTAAACCACAGAAAATCTAACCGGAACAATATTATATCCCCCAGCCTACAGGAGTTTTTATTAAAGATAGTAAGTCACTTAGAGCTCTGTTCTTTAAGTGTAGAGGGGAAAACACAACACAACCAAATTAAAAAAAGAAAAAAACAGACTTTTGTTATATTAATACTCCAAGGTTAGTAGGAAAAAGTAAGAATTAACTTGTAGTTAAACAGCCCTTTTTCACTGGGCATGTATATATTTCACCTTTCACATATTAGTTTTTGTTCAATGACCCAATTGGGAATTACGTACCAACAAGGCTCTGCACAGTCTGGCTCTCCACATCTCTCCCTCTTCCTCTCTGCTGAAGCCAGCCTTGTCTTCCATGCATTCCTTAAATTTATCAGCTCTTTCCCTTCCTGCGGGCTTCACACATCCTGGAACACTCTTTATCTAACTGCTTGTCTCTTCTTTGCTCAGTGCAGCTATCTGCATGGATGCCATCATCTCAATGATACCTTCTCTGATTGCTCTTTCATAGAAGTTCCTCCTCCCCAGGAATTCTCTATCACAGCACCATGTTCAGTTCTTTCACTGCACTTTCCGTAACTTGTAAATATATATATAAAACCACCCTCTACCCTCTTCAAACAATTTTTGTTCTCTCATTCAAAGTCTGTGCCTGGCTGATTAAAAGTTTCCTTCTACTTCATTCACCAATGTTCACTCAAACAATAGCATGGTACTTGGTACACAATAGGTATGCAGTAGAGATCTGCTTAATGAATCAATCCACAAAGAACAAATGGACGAAAGAATGGATGGATGAGTCCCTGGTCTTTAACTGTTTTTGTTTTAAATCAGAACAAATTATGAAATGTCATCATCCTGTCAAACTTTGTCATATTCTCTCTATAAAAATCTAACAACTTATTATTTAGATTTCTGGTAACTTTGACATTCTTTCATTTAAATATGATTTTTTTAAATTAGGAAAGCTAAAATGTCCAGTTTGTGAATAAATATGCCACATTACACAAGAAGTAATCTAATTGGTAATTAGAAGCTGAAGCCTCATGGTATTTAGAGTTAACTTATTTTTTAAAACCTCCTTTTGGCTTATATGTATACTTTCAGCTTTTACAGTTTGGAAGAAAACACACACCATTATTTCTACTAGGCCTTTCCAAGTGCTTAACTCTCTGCTCCTCAAAACTTTAGCTTTCTAAATGTCATTCTCATGGTCACACTTCTGGCTCCTGCCTTACCACCTCCCAGCTCCCGAAACAACAACCAAACACCTATTTTCTTTCATTCTCATTCCAACCTAATTCAATTGCATATATCCTCACCTCTACCTGTGTGCTTCTGTTTTTGGCTCAACTTCTAGAACCTTTTATTTAGTTCCTTAGAAGTCTTGTTAATTTAAGGGTAATTTTTTAAAACATGTAAATGTGTTTTCACTGTTTTCCTTCAAATTATCATCTGGACAGTGAAGCCTGGCTTTTATCCTGATGACCTAGGAACCTCTTCAACTCTCTTATGGACCTTTTTATTCCTTACTCTGCTTAATGCACTAAAGGTCTGGGCCTTGGCCCCCAGGGCTGCTTTTTAAACACCGATCATCTCTCATCATTTCACTTCTTTACATTGGGAGCCAATAGTGTCTACTTCTATCAGCCTCCTCACCACCATTTATCATCCTTCACAACTCATTACCTTCCACAACCATTTCTGTGCCTGATTCACCATTCTGCTTTCTGCCCCTTCTCTTCTATCATCATTAGTGACTTAAACATTACAGCTGATATTCTGACTCATCGCTGTTCACCCTCCTCCACTTTGACCTTCAACTCCAGTAACCATCGTCCTCTAATGAGCGCAGTCATATCCTGGATCTTGACCCAACATCTTTGAGGTCTCAAATATTCTTGTCTTCTCTGAACATGAGCTGATTATAGATCACACAACCCTTTATCTCTAGTTTTTTGAATTATCTTTTCGCTTTCACCAAGTTCTCCTGTTACCCATTTTTCTAATGGCCCCTGCCAATAATGCTTCTTGTCCCATCTAGTCTACCTGCCTAGTCACTTCAATGTGCCCTCACTGACACATTCAGCCCCATGTTTCTTGGCTTCCCCTGATGCCCACCTTGCTTTTCCCAACCTTGTATTGCTTGTACTTCTTAAAGGATCCTTCTGGACGAGTGTCCAGAGAGCTATCTCCTGATCCTTCTAAAGTAGACACTCTCCATGGAGCTCAGCTGGTTGGGAAGTTGGGAAGACACACTTCTACTCCTTTTCCTGAATCACCCTTTGTCACATAGTCCTCAAAATAACAGAACTTAGGCTTAAAGTTTCACAAATTCTTTCATGAGGGAGCCTTCATTTTTTCTCCTCTGTACCCTTTCATCTGCTTCGTACATTTCTCCAGGAGAATTTCTCACCACACACAAGCAAATAAGAAAACTCATCTGCAAACTAAACCAACAATCCCATAGCAACAACAACAATATATGCAACAATCTCCATCCCATGATTTTTCTGCAAAACATCAGCAAAACATCCACTGCCACTTCCGTTGCACACACAGAAACTCCAGTTTTCTCTATGATTAGATACTAAGATTGCATTTCTGGTTTTGAGGGTAACTACCTACCTAAACACACACACACAAACACACACACACACACACAAATTATTTAAATTGATTTTAAATATCCATTTGTCTTCCCATAACACTGACTGCCAGCCATTGAGTACAAAGTAGTTATTTTCTCTAGCACTAGCTAGTCCCTCCTAAAGACATTAAGAATTCCATTGGTAAACTAATAGCAATTCTGACTTAGTAGGTCTGCAGTGGGGCCTTCACTCTGTATTTTAACAAGACCATAGGTGATTCTAATTCACACTTTTTAGAATATTGCTTACCATGGCCTGACTGCTGCTTGGGGACTAGTTTGAATGAAAGAGGCATCAGTGGGAACCATGATATACGGACTTGCTCCCTGGGACATCTGCTCTATTGCTAATCTCTTGGCAGATCTTCTGAGATAAGAAAGCCTTCTATAAGAAAGACCAGCTTCCAAGGCATTCCACGTATCCATTTATCTATTCTCCTGGGGTGACATCTAGGTTGCTACCAGTACTTACTACCATGAACAGCCATAAACAAGTATTTTTCTGGACAATTTGCTGTTGGGAGAGTTTGCTGACTCATGAAAACTTCTCACTTAGGTTCATCTAGAATTGTCAGATTGCCCCCTAGACTTGCTGCTTATTAAAAATGAGACTGAGTGAGTACTCCTTCATGAACTTTGAGTCGCTCAAGATGCCCCTTTCATGAATCAGTTATTATTATACACGAACGTTTATTCTGCTGGATTGTGTATCTTCTCTTGATTTTCCACATTTCTTTGTCCAGATAAACTTGTTAGATCTAGATGCTTCAAATGCCATTTCCAGTATGTGGTTTCTGTTAGCTTTGCCTATAATGATTTTATTAGACAGAAATTCTGAATATTATGTTAAATACATCCCTTTCTTTATTTTTTGTCCTTTCAAGAGCACATAGGTGTTAAAAAGTCCTTCTCCATACCAAGATCACCATCCATTGACTCACATTTTGCTAATAGATTTATATTTATTCCTATCATATTTAAGTATGTAATCCTCCTGTATATTTTCTTTTTTTAATGGAAGAATTCTAATTTATTTTTCCCTATGAGTTTTTCTAACACTACTAAAGAACCCATCTTTTCTCTACTAAGTTTTGTGCTATCTACTTTATATGTTTCAACATATACACAGATCCATTTCATTGAGCTGTGTGTTCCTGTACCGACACTACACTCTTTACTAATATGGTTTAGTACTTTGCCTGAAACACTGGTAATGCAAGTCATCTTTCCTTATTCTACCTTTTGAAGGTAGATTTAGCTATTTGTGAATCTGTATTCATCCATATTAAGTTTACAGTAAGTTTGTAGAGTTCTTAACACTTCTATCATAGTTTTTATTAGAGTTGATATTAATGTACAAATGAAACAAAATTCATTCCAACCATGAACATGATATCTGTCTCTATTTAGTCAGATATTTTTTCCATTGTGTAATGTACTTTAAAGCTTATTTCTTACTTGTTTTACAGATATGTTATAATGATATTATGAGATATTTTCTATTCTCTTTCTTATGTTCTTGCTGGAAAAGGGGACACAATATTTCTAAATTAATCTTGTATATGTGACTATTTTACTGACCTCTTTGCTTTTTCTAAAGATTTTTTGCTGTTTTCAGGGATTTTCTTTGGTAATTGATCATATAACCTATAAATAATTAGAATTTGCAACATCCTTTTAGATCTTTACCTCTTGTTCCCTTTTCTTATCTTATTGCATTGTCTAGGACTTTTGAAAACATCACTAATGGTAACAATGAATGGTGGGCATTTTCATCTGGTCTGTAATTATAAAGTAGATTCATCCAAACTTTCTTATTAAGTAAAATATTTGATCTCAGTTATTGATAGAAGAATAACTTAAAGAAGGATTTCAACTATTTTTAATATACATATGCCTTGAATTTCATCAAATGTTTTCTCTAAATTTATATGGCATTTTGCATGTATTTTAATAAGTGAAATGGGCCCCACATTTTGTTTCTTTATAGTAACTTTATCTACTCTTGGTATCAAAGTTACATAAGCCATGTAAATAGGTTGAGAAACTTTCCCTGTTTATATATTTTTTAATCCTCTTGTATAAGACAAAGATTATTCTACCCTTGAAAGTTTGAAAGAACATCCATAAAATGCCATCTGAACTTTTATTTGTTTATTTAATGGCTTTTCTATTTCTCTTGTGTCATGTTGGCAATTTTATGATAGACAAAAATATATTTTAACAAGACTTTTAATTGTATTGATAAGTAATTGTTCATAGGATTTTTGTTATTTTTAAATTATTGCATAGTTGTCTATATTTTTTTCTTATTTTTACATGTCTTACCTCTATCTTTTCTTCCTCAGGGCCAAATTTTTCCCATTTATTTATCTTCTTTAAAAAGACTTTGCTTTAACTAATCTCTCCTATTGTTTTCATTTGTCTTTAATTTATTCTATAATTTTTAATATTTTTTCTTATATCTTTGAGTTTATTTTGAAACTTGTCCTCATATTGAGTTGAAAGTTTTGCTCATTTTTTTTCTATTTCTTATTTTTTGATAAGTGTACTGAATGCATCCAATTTGTCTTTAGGTGCTTCTTTAGCTGTGTTTTGGAAGTTTTGATGGTGTTTTCTTTTTCATTCCATTCTAAGGATTTTGTAATTTTTCTGTGGTTTAATCAACACAAATGTTATTAAATAATATACTTTTTAGTTTTTAAGCTACCATTTCATTATTGATTTCTAATTTTATTGCCTTAAAGTGAGAAAACAGTCTGTATGTTACTGATTCTTTGTAATCTGGTACATAGTTTGTGTATGTGGAAGAAGGATTATATATGTGCTCAAAAATAATTTGGAACCGCCACTTTTTGGATATAAATTTCCCTATATATCTATCAGTTAAAACATAGTATGTTATTGCTTTATTCTATAACTTTGCTAACTTTTTTCTAATTTTGATGTTTCTAAATTTCATTTTAATACAGCTGGATATTGACTTTTTCCCCCTTCCTTAGGAATACTGTTTCATACTCTAAGTCCTTTCAGCCTGAGTTCTTTCATGTCACTTAAGTTATGGCAAATGTTCTATAATTAGTTTGAAAACTATTTTCTTCCTCCCATGTATGTTTTTCTCTTCCTTTTGAGATTCCTATTATATGAATGCTGACATTTCTACTTTTATCCTTCATACCTTTTAAATTTTATTTAAAATCTTCCTTCTTTCTCCCTTCTTGTTGACTCATAATTCATTAATCCAATTCGACAGCAACTTATTTATTCTTTTGCTGTATCTATTCCACCTTTCAATGTCTTTTTATTTAGTTTTTAATCTGCTATGTAGTTTCATACTTAATCTTCTCCATTTGTTTTTCATAAATATTTATCCCTGTTTCTTTTTATCAATATTCTTTCTTACCCCTTTGAGAAACTTACTATGCTGACCTTAAAAAGTTATTCTCTCTAGACAATTCATTTCATGATGAATAGGTTGTTCAGTTTGTTTGTTTGTTTGTTTGTTTGTTTTGTCTCTCTCTTAAAGGAGTATTATTCCTCAGAGGTTTTGTTATTATTCTTTAGGATCTCACATTTCCTTAGCTAGTAATATGCACCCATAGGAGGAGCGAAAGTCTAGACCCTAACATGTTTCCCTCTTGATAAGTTTCAAGTGGGTCAGGGCTCACCGGAAAAAAGCCTATCTCATGACAAGCTGAGTTCCATCATTCCTTATTGACCAAACCTTTGACAAATGGCACTGCTCCACAGAAAATCTCCCAGTACCCCCATGCAGGCACTGATTCTTTCCAAACGCAACGTTTCTTTCTTGTAATCAGTCAAATCTTGGGATGGATACAGGGTTACCGGAGGAGAAAATACTGAGGAGCAGACTGGACCGTCTGTGCCTGTTGTGATACACTCACTAACTCCAGACAGTATAGGGAACAACCTCTGGCCTGTTCTTACCAGGTCGGCCTGTTTTCTGTCTCAAAGTGGCATAGGAGAAGGAAATGGTCCACTCCATGATGTGTGTGTGAGAGGAATCTGCAAAAACACACGCATACACACACAATGGAAAGGTCTTGCCCTGCCCTTGGTCTCTGGACTTTCTTCTCTTGGCTAGTGCATCACCCCTCAGTTGAGCCCACCTTCTCTTTCCAGGGCTTTCCCAGGATGTAGCAATAGACTGTTGTTTCTATGGCATCAGTATATACAGTATTTACAGTGTTGTGTTGGGAAGGGAATTAGAGGATTATGTTCATTCACTATCTTGCCAGGGACTAAATTATTCCCAGGTATTAATAATAGGTGCATTTCCCTCCATGTTGAAAATCTTTATTATTTCTCCACTATGAATAATTTTGGCTATTCATTTACAAATGTAGTGTTTCTTTTATTAAAAGCAAAGTGCCAAGGTACTTTTTAAACTTCCTGAAATCAATGTTTCTTAGAAATGTATATGTAATTTTCAAAGAATCTGTGGTAACTTCATGCTGATTGTATTATATTGACAGAGTCTCATATTTAAACATTTATATTACTGGATATATTTTACTTGGTTATGGGAGATTATTCTTTTATTGTATTATGTAATTTTTATTTTGGTTTTTAAATAAAAATTGTATATATTTAAGTTGCACAATATTATGTTTTGATATACATAATCACAGTAAAATGATTACTACAGTCAAGCTAATTAACATCCATCTCTTCATTTAGTTGCCTTTGTGTGTGTGTAGTGAGAATGCTTAATCATTTGTATTTCATTTAAGGGTTCCTTGTGTACTTTTATAAGTGAAATCCATCTCTATTTTCTCATATTATTTGTATGAAATGTAATTATTTAAGAAATTGTTACATTTTCTTTTTAGAATAAAAGGTATGGCCACCTGTATCCATCCCTTGAATGTTAGAAGGAATTAACCAATCAATCTATCTATGAGTTGGAATACATGGAATTCGTAATAGCCATGTAGATTTCACCTATAAAAGCCAACAATAAATATGATTTTATTCATTTGAATATTAGAGTGAACATTCCTTCATTAGTGTTCCAATCAAGTTTTTACTTCATTGGGAGTAAACATTGATATATTGGTACTGATTTTTGATAAAGCAGAAAGGCATTCTTAATTTCTTTTCCAAACCTACCACACACATTTAGAATGATATGAAGATATATATTTAGAAATAATTCTAGAATTTTTGTAAAGACAAAAAATCCCTTTATTTACTAATATTCTCACCTACAACATTCTAGACAAACAATATAGCAAAATTAGTTTCATCTATCTGTTGCTTGACTCATTCACTCTGGCCTTTCTTTCCAGGCAAAATACATGGGAAAAACAAAACAAAACAGTGAACCAAGAACTCAAGGGAGAATCTTTTGAGCTCATTTTCTGGGTGAATGCTTCCCTCCTACCCGACCACCAGAACAGAGGAGCTTCCAGGAAGTTAGAGAATTGAAAAATAGAGAAAAAGAATGAGTCACAAGAGGGTCTTATCATCTGACTAAGTGGGAGACTGGATAAAAGCCTTGTAAAATCATTGCAGCTTATATACATGTGTATGGTTATCAAGTAGCATTCTATTTCTCAAATTAAGCATATACCGCAATTATTTTGTGAGACTATAAAATTCTTCTAGAAAGAAATAAAGAACATTAAAATTCTACCATTCGTGTTTTAATGTAAAACAGTTTTTGTCTTATAAATGAAACTATATGATAGAGATTTTGGGATTTTAATAATAAAGTGCCCTTGGATACAGTCCAGTATAGGCTTTCCACATAAAACATTATGTTTTAAAAGCAAAAGATAGAATATTAAATTTCCAGGGCAAAATGCACACACACACACACACACACACACACACAAAGAATGATCTTTGTGTTAACCTCAATTTGTTTTACATATAGAAGACAGTTTTGTAAAAGTAAGATAATGGCGAGAACTAATTATTAACTTGTTTTACCTTCAGAAAATGTATTTTGGGATGGATTCCCAGACTTCAGGGTTGTTTAGGTTCGTGAGAGATAGGTCTGTGTTTTGGAAACTCTCCTCTCCATAGCCTTTGCTCTTGCTCTTCCTGCGGCCATGAGGGCCCCTGCTTTTCCTGGCCTGAGATTCTGAACCTATTGCTTCTGCCTTGATAGCATTCAAAGTTCATCTTTTAAAGATGGCTCCTCAAAATTTTCCCCAAATATATTTTGTGCTCTATTGACCACTCTCAGGTAGAATAGTTGATATTATTCCTAAGAGAGTGAACCACACCCTCTATGATCCAGAAAACCCTCATTCATATTCTTAAATTTTTCTTATTAGTCATTTTTTGGGGTTGTGTTATACAGTCCCCTCTCCTTGAGATTATCTTTTTTAAAATACGAACATCTGGGAAAGATCCACCATGGGGCCTTTACTACTTTAGTATGAATAAGATTATTAGACAATGTTCCTTTGGAAAGAGAGCTCTCAGCAGGGTACTGGGTACCAAGATGAGAGGATGGATGAGGACAGAAAAGAGAGGCAGAGTCCAAAGCAAGACCAATTTATGATTTTTTTCTCCTTTGTCTTTCCTTATTTAGAGCATAACTATATTTTGGTTTAGTGCAAACCGCTGGTGGGAATGTAAATCAGTTCAACCGTTGTGGAAGACAATGTGACGATTCCTCAAGGATCTAGAACCAGAAACACCATTTGTTCCAGCAATCTCATTACTGGATATATACCCAAAGGAATATAAATCATTCTATTATAAGGAAACATGCACACATATGTTTATTGCAGCACTATTCACAATAACAAAGACACAGAATCAAACTAAATGCCCATCAATGATAGACTGGATAAAGCAAATGTGGTACATATACACCACAGAATATTATGCAGCCATAAAAAGGAATGAGATCATGTCCTTTGCAGGGGGACATGGATGAAGCTGGAAGCCATCATCCTTAGCAAACAAACACAGGAACAGAAAACCAAACACCGCATGTTCTTACTCATAAGTGGGAGCTGAACAATAAGAACACATGGACACAGGGAGGGGAACAACACTTACTGGGGCCTGTCGGGTGGGGGCAAGGGGAGGGAGAACATCAGGATAAATGGCTAATTCACGCAGGGTTTAATACCTAGGTGATGGGTTGATAGGTGCAGCAAACCACCATGGCACACATTTACCTATGTAACAAACCTGCACGTCCTATACATGTATCCCAAAACTTAAATCAAAATAAAAATTTTTAAAAATCCAGCTGTAGAAGGATGTACATCAAAATCCTATCAGTAAAAATCAGAATTGCAGTGGTGAACCACTATCTAATTTTTAAAAATTCCTATGCAAGAATGTATTACAACCATATCTCCAAAAACCGTGTTTGGATAATGTTGATTTATTAGTACTGTAGAATTCCACTAATTAGCACAAATGACAGGGGAAACCCACTGTGGATTATAGAATTTTGCAAATTAGTGAGTACATGAATAAACAACAAAAATCAGGAGTCCTGAACTGAAAAAAAAAATAAAGATGATGGAGTCTGTAGTCAAATTGGCCAGGTTAAAATCTAGGTTCTACTACTTACTGTATTTGTGATTTGAGCAAAGTGTTTCATTTTTCTATGCTTTGGTTTTCTCCTTTGTAGAATAACGTTGCTACCTCACAGGGTTGTCGAGAGCACTAAATGAGGTAGTACAGATAAACTCTTAGAACAATGCATGGCATGGAATAAACACTCACTACTATCTTCGTTTGCTTTGCTCTGCCATGTGGAATTCAATATGTGCAGTTCTAAGAACAAGGGTCCTGATATTTTAAAGGATTTATGGTTGAAATCCTCATTTGCCTCTCTTTATAAATCATAATAATCCATACATTCATCTATGATTGGCTATTGCCTAGGACACCCTGCCTATTCACAGACACACATTTCCTGAAGATGAAGGTCTCTGTGAAGTCACCGCCTGGTTGTTATTAGCTCAAGATAATGGGAAACTTGTGAACAAAGAGTACCTCATTTATCTCTACATCCCCAGTGCCTTACACAGCATCTGGAAAATGGTAACCAAGGGAAATATTGGCTGCACTGAAAATATATTATTAATTGTGATAATAATAGTAACATTTAGAGTTTCCATTGATAGCTTTATAGTTCCATTTCTCTAAGAAACTGAAAGCACTCTATAAACTATATAGAGAGTTGCTCTGCCAACTATATGATGCTATACTTGTTTCACATGTATTTGAATTGGAAAATTATCTCCATTCAGGATGAAAAGAAAAAGCATTTATTAAATACCATGATCCACAGGTGGGATGCCCAGTGTTATGGGAATTACAAAAAAAAAAAAAAAAAGAAAAGACCCAGTTCCAACTCTGGTCCCACCTCCCTCTCTTAAGTACAGCTGGAGTTTCTGAAATACAATGTTTTTCCCTGTCTGGTCTATGGCATCCCTCTCATTCCTCATGATATCTCCATGCATACCCAGAATGACTCCATAATCACCTTAGTGAGCTCTGTTCACACTGATTGTTGCAAAACTTATCAAGACCTTTCTTGATGCTGTTTTTTAGTACTGTTTTATTCTACTCTTTTTTACCCTGGTTAACAGTAGCCTCTTAACAATACTTGCAATGTAATTTTAATTTGGAAGGCTGTTTACCTCAGTGGAAAAGATAAAAACAAATAGGGGCTACTCCATGTTATCTTTTCTTTAAATTGTGTAATATTTATGCAACCTTCTCCAAACAGTAGGGCTATACATCCTTTGCCAACTTTTTTATTCCAAGCGTATGTGCAAAAATATTATTTATCTATTTATTTGCTTGTGTTTAGCAGTTATATAAACATGAGTTTATTCTGAGCTTTCCCTGGTACCATCCTCAGGGCTACATGGCACTCGTTAGGCTTCCTCTTTGGTTAAATACATCATTGTTCTTTCTCTTTTTTGAAATCTGAGAAAACTTTTCCCAGAAGCTACATGCCCTAAGTGCTCTTTCTGCTTTCTTCTTACTAGGATGACATAAACATTTATTTTCCAAGGCTCTTCTCATTTGCTTCTCACCAGTCACTGAAGGATTGCATGGTGGATCCGATGGATCACAGACTCTGAAGCTAAAGTTTTCATTCTAACTCCCTCATTAATAGTTACTGCCTATAAGACAGTTATTAATCTGAGTATTTACTTCCTCATCTGAAAAATAGGTCTAAAAATTGTACTTCAGTTGGATTTTATGAAGACTCAATGAGATGAGGGCTGCAGAATGCCTGGAAGAGTTTGATGAGTGTTAGCGCTTCTACCCTATTTTGTCGTTTAGATCAAGGCTAAAGTAAACCATTTTCCTGGGGATTTTTCTAGCTTTCGAGTCATAAAAGATTCTTCTGGTTACATCAAGAATATATCAACTGTTCTGCATTAAGGCACTACCAACAGAGACTAATTTCAATTCAAAAAGCATTTTGCTGAAATCTAAAGGGAATTCAAAGATGAGAGAGGTAAGGTTTCTGACACTAATAGCCTGAATACTAGAGTTATAATCTATATTAGGAAAGCATCAGTTGTATCTTCTCTCTCTTTCTTTGAGCAGTCTGTGGTATCTCTCAGAAACACCATTTTTTTTCTCTGCTTGTCAATATCCTTTTTAATACACTGTTTAACAAATCAATCTACTTTCAACGCAAAATCCACTTTGTACATTAAATCTCTTTCCTTTAAGACAGATCTTATCTTTTCCAGTGTTGTCATACATATTTAAGACTCATCCTGCCAAGCCATAGTGATAGCCATGGTATGGATTTTACCTATGTAAAATTGGCTATATTAACTAAATGCCAGTTGCCAAGTTGCTCATGTTACAACTCAAAAAGATAATTTAGATTCTGTAGGATATACAGATGCCTATGATAAATATCACATAGTGATAAAGGCAGAAATGTATTTAAGAAAAGATGGAATCAGTAGCATGGGGCAAGATACCAAAATGAATGGGGAAGAATAGATAAAAAAGAAAAAGGGTGCGTGTTTGAAGCTGAACAGAAGACCAAACAGCTAGGTCAGTCATGCTGAAGAGAAGAAGGGGGCTGTTGGAGGGGAGAAAGGTGAGGAGACAGGAGAACTATAAACTCAGAAGGAAATCAGGGACACAGCAGTCAAACTTGGTCAGAGAAATAAGGGGATCAAGATCTTTAGACAATTCAGGTACTTTCTGAGGCAGCCACCCTAATATTCCCCTCAGTTCTGCCCAGTTTTTAAAGTATGCTTACTCCAGAGTGATTGAGAATTTGTATGAATTCTGAAGAGCTTAGCTGAAGTCACAGATACTGTTCAGGAACTATCTCTCTATGACACTTCTGTTAATTGTGCTATAATGTCCCATTCTGCATCTCAGGTTGTAATTCACCTTCCTCCACAAATTTCCAATTTAAGACCTGCTTGATCAGTTTGGGAAATCTCCTGCCACATATGTTTTTTCCCTCAAGTTGATGTGAGCTAATAATATGGTACAGTTGCTAAGAAAGTGAACATAATAGCAGATATTTTAAATATTAATATAAATTTATGGTCCTGATAATAGAACTTCTGGAACTCAGAGTTTTCAAATCTCATCTAAAGTACTTTATACAATTTTGGACTATGCTTTTTAAGGAGTTTTTGAGAAACTGAAAAAGATCAGAATGGTAAAATTTCTACATATTATTTTGTAATTGAAATATATGATGGACCTGGTGCAATTTTTATTGAAGTGTACTAAAAGGAGAGATGCCAGCTGATCTTGATTTTTGAAATATTCGCTTATTCAGAGAATAGAGTTGTTCTGTGTTATATCAGAAGGTGAACTGAAAAAAATGGATTGATATTTTAAGGGGGGAGATTAGAGATTTATCCATCAACAACACAGGTGTCAAATCTACCCAATACAGTCTGATCCCTTGAGATATTTAGCATGCATTTTCACTTTAGTATTAAATTCAGCATCACTCCTTGAAAGCTGTTACACGTCTCCAAAAGATGCCAGGTGCTACACTAAAAAAAGACGGTCTGATTCCTAGTTACCTTTCCTTATTACCTTTGCTCTTCTCAACTCTCTAAGGTTCAGTCCTTGCCTTGCTCTTTATATTGATGTAAATTTTTTTTTTTCTTAGCTACAATTTTGACTTTTCTCAACAAGTTTGACCCATGAACCCTGTCACCACTCCCTTCCAAGCAATATTTGGTATTCAGGCAGGAAAAAGTAAACTACATATCCAAAAATATATAAAAGGAACCTGCACTGTGTAAGAAATTCTATCATCCACCATTTGTAATCCTTTTCAAAATTATGATATAACGTCTTATAAATTACATTTTTCCATCTCTAGAGAAACAAATGTCTTTTTTATGGGAGAAAAATTAGAGAGAAAATCTTTACATTTTTAGTTGTTTTGACCCAAGTAGAACTATATTATGTTACAAATTAATAATTATTGATGTAAAAATTACAAACATATCATATTAGGAGTTTTATTGATGGCATGGTAATTCCACACAGGCTGACACTGTTGAGCAGGAATTCTAGGTCTTGCTTTGCATTCATTTTCAAGTAAAGAACAATTCATAAGTAATATTTAAGGTAACAATTGTGAATAAAATATATTATTGCCCCATTCTCCACTTATCAGTCCTGGCTGCTTTCTTGAGTAATGCCAGTGGAGTTGAAACTACAGCACTGGCACTGTATTCAATCCTGGACAAGAAGGCTTGCTTCTCTTGTCTATGGTGGTGGAAAAGAATCAAAGTCTATTCTTTGTCCTTTGACCCTAGCTGTGTCACCCTGAAACATCCCATTACCCTCCCTGGCAGGGTAAAAGCCAGGATTCTCAGCTGCAACTGAATCTCAGGAGGATGGTGGAGTAATCTAGGACCCAAGAAAAAGCTGCAGTAGTAACCACAGAAGGAGGCCAAGTAGAAGAATCAGCTGACACGACAGGGCAGAAAAGACCAACATCCATTTTGCATGATTCCTGGTCTCCATTTCTAAAGTATCACTTGCAGGCCAATGGGTTCCACATGGAGAGAAGGCCACGCCCACAAGAGCGAGGGTGGAGGGTGGAGGGTGGAGACCGGAGCCCTACCCAGCAGCCCCCACGGGAATGGCAGAGGAGCAGGGCCTAACGAGACAGGAGGATCTAGGCGATTGCGCAGGTGGGGCCCGGGCCTCCGCCTCAGGTGGCACCAGGGGGCCTGGAGCAGCCGCGGCTTCGCCCTGACTGTGAGGAGAGGCCTCACACGCAGGCCAAGTGTATTGGCTTTGTGAAGAGGACTTCCCAGGGCCCAGACCGAGTTGGGGACTGTGGTGCGAACCATGCTGCTGCCGGGTCTCTGAGTCCCTGGTGCAGGTGATTGCGGGGTGGAACGTTGAAGCAGGTACTGATCCTGCTCTGGTCCGTGGGGCTGTGGAAAAATCATTTTCAGTATTTCTGGTCTCTTCTGGAAGACCTTCGCTAACAGCAAATTCTCATCTTGGACGATGTCACGCGGCTGTCGTGGGACTGTGTCCCCAAAGCAGCAGTGAGGAAAAAACGGGCCCAGTAGTGGCGAGACCTCGGCCCTGGCCCTACCACTAGGTGTGTATAT